>NC_000014.9:103853715-104156716 GCF_000001405.40 Homo sapiens
TTTGCTAGGCCTACCATAACAAAATACCACAGACTGGGTGGCTTAAAAAAACAGAAATTTATTTTCTCACAGTTTCGTGGTAGTTTTCTGGAAGTCCAAGCTCCAGGTGCTGCAGGGCTGGACTCTTCCAAGACCTCTTGCCTTGGCTGGCAGATGACCACCCTCTTGTGGGCTCCTAACATGATCTTTTGCTGTGTGTGCACCTGCCTGGTGTCTCTCTTTTCATAGGTCATAGTCACATTGCATTAGGGCCCAGCCATAGGACTTCATTTTACCTAATTACCTGTCTGAAGACCCTACCTCCAGGCCCTTGTCCACCCACCTCCCTGTGTACGAGAAAGCACTCTGTGTATCCCTCAGAAAGGAGTGCTTCCTGTTCTGTTGAAAATCAAAGCCTTCTTCTGCAGCATTTCCCCAGATCGCCCAGGGATGACGCATCTCACCACATTCCTCCAGACTGCCCAGACCTGGGTCACGCATCACAATCTGCCACCTTGGAGCTGTCTATGTACCTGTTGCCCCAGGGGCCAGCAGGCTCCATGAACAGGTGTCGCCTGGTTTCTTCCATGTACCCACCCAGGTCCAGGCCCTGGTGACACAGCCTTGAGCAAAACAGTGAGGTCCCTGTCCTCACAGAGTTTGTATTCCGGCCAGGCAAGAAGACGATAGACAAGAACACAAATGCTGGTAAGTGTATTTTTAACAATAAGTCCAGGCCGGGCGCGGTGGCTCACATCTGTAATCCCAGCACTTTGGGAGGCTGGAGTGGGAGGATCACTTGAGGACAGGAGTTAAAGACCAGCCTGGGAAACATAAGGAGAGCCTGTCTCTACAGCAAAAATACAAAAAGTAGTCAGACGTGGTGGAGTGCTCCTGTAGTCCCAGTTACTTTGGGAGGCTGAGGTGGAAGGATCGCTTGAGCCCAGGAGTCTGAGGCTGCAGTGAGCTGAGATCGCACCACTACACTCCAGCCTGGGCAAAAGAGGGAGACCCTGCCTCAAAATAGTAATAACAACAATAATAATAAAGCCAGATAATGTGACAGAGACAGCTGCCTCTGCCAGGGAGTTGCAGGCTGCAGGAGCAGGGAGGGGGAGGAGCAGGTAAGGAAAGTGCTGGAGGCTATGGAGGGAGGTAGGGTCAGGCTTCAGTTTGCGGGCTGTGGCGGGTCTGGATTTTGTTGGCCCTGAGGGCAGAGGGCCTTCCCTCTGGTGTTTCCAGGGGAAACTCTTTCTGACAGCTGATTTACAGTCTTAAGCTTCCGGTGGAAGTTGGCTGGCCTTCCGCAGCAGTGGAGGAGGACGGGCCCTTAGGATGAGGAAGGTAGAGGAAGTGGATGTGGGGAAGGGCTTCTATCTGGGGTAAGATTTGAAGGGTGGGAGTTGGGAGGAGGAAAGGAAGGACTCAGGATGGCTCCAGGCTTTGGGGCTGCTGTGCAGGGCCTGCAACCTGGCACCCACAGTGCCTTATCCAGGCCTAAGAGAGGGCGCTGTGGGCTCTGTGCTGACATCTGCTTGGCCACGCTGTCCCCAAGAAGGCCACATTTCATGACTCCCCTTCCTGTCCAGCCTGGGCCTGTGGCCCACTCTGGGATCCATCTGGCACTGCAGCCAAATGCCAGGTGTTACCGTGCCCCTCACCCCCTCAGTCCTTCCCCCACAACACACACACCTCCTTTTTTCTCTGGCCCCACCCCAACCTGAGCTGCCCTCACCTCTACTCCAAGTTAGCCTCCCTCCCGCTGGAAAATCCGACCCAACCACTCCCCACTGGGACCCCTCGGGGCCTCCCTTCTGCCCTGACGGTCAAGGGTAGTTAAACCCCTGAGGGCTTGGGTTTGCGGCTCTCCAGCCTCATGCCCTCACCATCCCCCGCTCCAGGCCGACTCCCACCCCACCCTAGGCCCCGCTGGCAGCCCCTCCCCAGTGTGGGGGTGGGGACTCTGGGACAATGGGACGTGCAGCTCCTGTTCCACCCCCACAGCTGCCCGGGGAAACCTGTTTTCACAAGTGTTGGCTGTGAACCAGTCGTGGTTCCATTTGCTCCTCTGGGGCATTAAGTAATATTTTTTGTTATCCAGGTTAGAAAATAAGTTGGTGGGAAAACACCCAGCGATCTGCTTGTTTTTGGTCTTTTGTTTGGCCGTGGGTGGCCCCTGTGGCCTGTGAGGCTGCACTTGTGTCCCCCACCAGATCCCCAGTGCCCAGCACACAGTAGACACCTAATAAATGTGCATGGAGGGCAGACTCCACCGCTGCCTCCACCAAATAAAATACAGCTGGAAACCCAGCGACATCCACCCCAGGCCACAGAAAAGAGTGTCCCTGCCAGGAGTTCCCACACAGGAGTCTTGGAACTCAGAGAGGGGGTCTCCGGAGCCAACCCACCTGTTTTCATTCCTGCAACAGGCCTCTGTCACAGGATCACTGTCCAGGGGTAGGGGTCGCCATGCCCAGAACTCAGCAAGTGTTCAGCTGACTGCAGCCTCATCTTCCTGCGAGGACTCAGAGCGGGGCAGGCGTTCTCTGAAGCCCAGAGAGGCTTTGCCACTTGCCCAGGGCCACAGAGCTACGGAGCCTGTGACTGGAACCCGGAGCCAAGTCTATGGCCTCCACCTGGTGGCCGCTGCCTCCAAAAACTCCCAGCTCCACAAGTCCCGCCCTCTGCCTTGGCAGGGTTTGCCTGGTGTCCTACACACACTGTACTGGTCTTTCAGGGTCTAAACCTCTCTTTCTCCCTTCCTTCTGGAATCTGTCTGGGGCCCCTGTGAGGAAGAAAAGGCTGCTGGGCCAGGACACTTCATCCATTCATTCATTCCTGACCTTTCTTGCGTCCTCCGTGCTAGGCCCGAAGGAGGGTAGGAGTCTTGGTCCCTGCACACAGCGAGCTTTCCCTCTGGATGTTGTGTCAGGCCACACACTTTAGTCTTCCGTCTTTTCTTCTTCACCAAGCATCCCACCCTAAGCGCCCGCTCACTCCTGCCTTTATTTCGGGTTTTCCCTGACATTCTTCTACCTAACCCACTGCTTTTCCCCAGCTCTCTGCCTCTTGGCTGCTTCCAGTTCCCGCCATTACTCACAACGCTGTCACATCAGTCAGGGTCCCATAGGGAAACAGATGGCTTCCTCAAATTAGGGAAATTCCAGGAAGGCGATTTACAAAGGGGGATGCTTACAGAAGGAAGGGGGGACCACTAGGGGAGGGCAGGACTCTGGGACCAGCATTAGGGGGACTCTTTCCACCATCAGGGCTGGAAGGAAGAGAAAGGGGAGCTCTCCAGCAAAGAAGAAAGTCCAGAGGAGGCTGGCCTGGAGGGCAGTGGCATTGGTCAGAGGCAGGCCCAAAGAGGGAGGGGATCCATTCCCGCATCGCTCCCTCTCCTGCCTTTGACCTCCCACAGGGCACCTCCACATCTGGCTGCAGCCCATGGAGGTGGCCCCAAAAGGCAAAAGCAGGGTGAAGGATGGAGCATCAATCTGGGAGGACGAGAGCCGGACACCCAGCACAGGTGTGCAGGAAACTTCTGCACAAACACCTTTCTTCTTTGTAGGGGGTTTCTGTAGTATGAGACATCAAGAGAATTCCTGAGCCAGAGCCTTCCTGGTTTGTAAGAACAACTGCATTTTAACAGAACCCCAAAATACGTATGTCACTACCCCACTGAAGGCCCTTCCATAGCACCATCTATGGCTGTCATGTAACAGCCACACCTGGTGGCCTCGCCGGCAGTGCCCCAACTCTGCTCCCAGCAAGCCAGACTGCTGTGTTCTCCACAGCCCCTGTGGTCCGGGCTGTGGCTCTCCAAGGCCCCTCTCTTCCATTCTAGGTGGATCTGCTGACACGTGGTCTGTCCTTCAAGGCCTCCTCCGATAGTGCAAATGTATTTCCAAATACCACCACCTTAAGGGTTAGGATTTCAACACATGAATTTGGGGAGAGCACATTCAGTCCATAACAAGCAGAGCCTCATGAATGGGATTAATGCCCTTATAAAAGGGGTCTTAGAGAGACCCCTCACCCCTTCTGGCATGTGTGGACACTGTCAAAAGGTGCTGTCGACCGGGTGCGGTGGCTCACGCCTGTAATCCCAGCACTTTGGAAGGCTGAGGCGGGCGGATCACCTGAGGTCAAGAGTTCAAGACCAGCCTGACCAACATGACAAAACCCCGTCTCTACTAAAAACACAAAAATTAGCCGGACGTGGTGGGCACCTGTAATCCCAGCTACTCAGGAGGCTGAGGCAGGAGAATCACTTGAACCCGGAAGCGAAGGTTGCAGTGAGCCAAGGTCGTGCTGCTGCACCCCAGCCTAGCGACAGAGCAAGACTCCATCTCAAAAAAAAAAAAAAAAAAAAAAAAAGGTACTGTCTATGAAGCTGAAGCAGAAAGCAGGCCCTCCTTAGACCCTGCACCTGCTGCTGCCCTGACTTTGGACTTTCCAGTCTGCAGAACTGTGAGAAATACATTTTTGTTGTTGACAAGCACCCAGTTAATGATACTTTGTTACAGCAGCTGCAACTAAGACACCACCCCTACACTACCCCACTCACTCCCGATTCCCCAAACCCTGTGCAGAACTTAGCAGTGCCTAGCCACATCCCTTAGCAGTGCCTAGCCACATCCCTTAGCAGTGCCTAGCCACATCCCTAAAGCCGCTGCTTCTCCATCTTCAGCACCTGAGAATCGCCTGGAGGGCTGGGTCCATCCCCAGGGCGTCTGCTCCAGTAGGTCTGGGATGGGCCCAAGTATTCGCATTTCTAACAAGTTCCCCTGTGCTGCTGATGCTGCTGGTCCAGGGACCACACTTGGAGAGCCACTGCCCCAGGCTGTCCCCACCCGACCCGTCTGGCAGCCCCTGAGGCTGTGGGAGGCCACTCCACCACGATGGCTGCTGCATAGGAGCAGTCCTCACAAAGACTGGGGCTGGAGGGTCCCCGGCCCCCTCCCCTGACGGGCCGGCTCTGCTTGGATGCACGTTCCACACAGCTGCCCAGAGGCCACTGAGCCCAGGCAGGCGCAGGGTACCCTGTTCAGCTATGCACCCTGTCCTCTCTCCTTCCCTCCTCATCTCGCTTCCTAGGATCACTTTCCAGACCCACAGCTGGCCCTGGAATCCCAGTTTCTGGGCTCACCCTCTGGACAGCCAACCCAGGATGCTCTGTTCTACTTTTTCTCTTTCCCCTAACATATATTGCCTTCTAATATAACATTTTATTCACATATTATATATATATATATATATATATATATATATATATATATATATATATATATATATTTTTTTTTTTTTTTTTTTTTTTTTTTTTTTTGAGACGGAGTTTCACTCTTGTCGCCCCAGCTGGAGTGCAATGGCGCGATCTTGGCTCACCGCAACCTCCGCCTCCGGGGTTCAAGCGATTCTCCTGCCTCAGCCTCTCCAGTAGCTGGGATTATAGGCATGTGCCACCACGCCTGGCTAATTTTGTATTTTTAGTAGAGACGGGGTTTCTCCATGTTGGTCAGGATGGTCTCGAACTCCCGACCTCAGGTGATCCACCTGTCTCGGCCTCCCAAAGTGCTGGGATTACAGGCATGAGCCACCATGCCTGGTCTTATTATATTTATTGTTTATTGTCTTGCTCCTAGTAAAATATAAGTTCCAGGAGAGCAGGGATCTGTATATGTGTCCCAAGCACTTAAAACAGTGCCTGACACTCAGTAAGTAACCACTAAGGAAGGAAGGGAGGAAGGGAGGGAGGGAAGGAAGGGAAGGGGGAGGAAGGAAGGAAGTGAGGGAGCCAGGGGAGGGAGGGAGCGAGTGGAGGGAAGGAGCCAGGGAGGGAGGGAGGGAAGGAAGGAAAGGAAGGACCACATGAGCTGGCCGGGTGGGGACAGATGTGGGGCCTTCCTGGCACCTGGTCCCATAAACCTCTGCAGGTGTTTAGTGAATGTTGAGGGTGGGGAAGGGAAAGGGAAGGAGGCCTGAGAAGAAGGGGTGCCTCTTCTCGGCTGACCTCTGAAATTGGCTGACCACCTCCTTGGAGGACAACTCCTTGGCTCCCTCACAGGTAACTAAGGGGTGGAGAGTGTTGCCAGTTCTGCCCAGTGAAGCTGCTGGCAAACCATTCCCAGCTCAGACCATCCCTGCTCGCTCCCTTGCCAGTGTCTAGCCTCTGTGCTCCCTCGGCACCCACCTCCCTGCAGTCCCCTGGGTGGGCACCCAACGGCCTGCCTCCGTCCAACTCTCGGTCCGAATTCTCTGTTCCCTGGCCCACCTGGAACTCTCCGACCATCTGTGCTCCCTGTCACAGGGGCTCCTGGTGGGAGGAAGTTGAGCCTGGGGAGAAGCGACTCGGCTGGCACGCTGGCTTCCAGCCCTGCCCTGTCCTTCCCGCCGGCCAGCTGCTTCCAGGTCAACCTTGGGTCCCACTCCTGAGGACAATGTCCCTTCACTGTCCCAAGCAGGAGCGCTGATTCCGTCATCTGTCATGTACGAAAACCCCTTCTTGAAGCTTCTCAGATGCCCCTGCCTTTCCTGGCCAGGGGTTTCTCTCCTAGTCCGTCTGCTGTGGTCTTTCTAGAGGGCCGAATCAAGGCCAGTTCTGAGTGCTCCTTAATTTATTTTTATGTTGAAATTTAATTTTGATTTTCAAAATTGTCATTGCATCATTCCCAAGTGTTTCAAAGGATTTTATCTCACTTGCCGGTCGCTATAATCCTGTGAAGGAAATACCATTTCTCCTTCATTACAGATGAGGATATGGAGGCTTTCCGGGTCTTTCAGCCTCTGAGTGGGAGAGCCAAGATTCAAATCCAGCTCTTCTGACTCTAAATCCTGCACTCTCTACAATGTATACACTTTGCATTGTTTTATGAGCTCAGGATCCATTTGGCAGTAACTACTTGGATATTTTGTAGCAAGAAGTTAGCAAAATGTGCTTTCTTTTCTTTCTTTCTTTTTTTTTTTTTTTTGGAGATGGAGTCTCGCTGTTGCCCAGGCTGGAGTGCAGTGGCGCAATCTTGGCTGGATCTCAGCTCACTGCAGGCTCCGCCCCCTGGGTTCACGCCATTCTCCTGCCTCAGCCTCCTGAGCAGCTGGGACTACAGGCGCCCGCCACCTCGCCCGGCTAATTTTTTGTATTTTTAGTAGAGACGGGGTTTCACCATGTTAGCCAGGATGGTCTCGATCTCCTGACCTCGTGATCTGCCCGCCTCGGCCTCCCAAAGTGCTGGGATTACAGGCGTGAGCCACCGCGCCCGGCCCAAAATGTGCTTTCTTTCACACAGTACCTATGAGCTTGGACTGTGGAGCTAGAGAACATCTGCCACTTAGTTTCGGCTGTGTAATTTTGGGCCAGTTACATAACGTTTCTGTGCCTTAGTTTGCTCACCTGTAGATGGGGATAATAACAGTGCCTCCCTCAAGGATTATTATTATTATTATTATTATTATTATTATTATTATTATTATTTTTGAGACAGAGTCTTGCTCTGTCACCTAGGCTGGAGTGCAGTGGTAAGATCTCGGCTCACTGCAACCTCCACCTCTCGGGTTCAAGCAATTCTCCTGCCTCAGCCTCCCAAGTAGCTGGGACTACAAGCGTGCACCACCATGCCCAGCTAATTTTTGTATTTTTAGTAGAGACGAAGTTTCACCATGTTGGCCAGGCTGGTCTCAAACACCTGACCTTAGGTGATCCACCCGCCTTGGCCTCGCAAAGTGCTGGGATTACAGTAGTGAGCCACAGCGCCCAGCCTCCCTCAAGGATTTTTGTCAGTTACATGAAACAATGTGTGCATCACATGGTGAACACCACATCGGCATTTGCTGTGTCCCTGCACTGGGTGAGACGCTGCTGCCTGCTAGGGAGGGCCCCATCTCATGGCCAGCCAGCTCATCTGCTGATCTGCCTTGAGTGAGAAGGCTGCCGACCTGACCTTGAAACACTCCCACCAGCTCAACAGCAGCATCTTCTCACTGGCTCACCCACACCAGCCTTCCCCACATAGACATGAGTACAGAGGGGAACAGGGTGATCTGTCCTTTTTGCCAACACCAGAGAAGGCAGCTGGCAGTGGCATTTGGAGATAAGGTGGCTGACTGCTGCAATTGGTGCTGGGGTGCCTGAGATGGTTCTGAAAAGTTCAGGAAACACCTCTCAAGTGAAGTAGGAGGACATGGTGCATACCTCCCAGAAACGCTGAAAGGAAGTTGCTGGCCCCTTAGCCTGCCCGGAGCCAGGGGTCTGCTCAGCTGAGCGAGGTCTGAAGAGCACAGGCAAGGCCAGGAGGGGCTTTGCTGAAGGATGTTGGTCTTGAAAGACGGGTCCAGCTGGGGCCAGGGGGGAATTTACACACACACACACACCCCCACATACATGCACATACCGGCGGATGTCTTGAGGCCAGGAGTTTGAGATCAGGCTGGCCAACATGGTGAAACCCCATCCCTACTAAAAATAGACAAATTAGCGAGGTGTGGTGGCACGCACCTGTAATCCCAGCTACTCGGGAGGCTGGGGCACAAGAATTGATTTAACCTGGGAGGTGGAGATTGAAGTAAGCCTAGATCATGCCACTGCACTCCAGCCTGGAAAACAGAACGAGACTCTGTCTCCAAAAAAATCATCATCATAATAATAATCCATGTACTTGTGTCACCAGTAGAGGGTCTTGACTGCAAGTTTTCCAGGTTCTTGGCGTTTTGAACAAAGAATTGGACAAAATGCCCAGCAACGCAAAGAAAGAATGAAGCAATGAAAGAACGAAAGCAGGGATTTACTGAAAATGAAAGTACACTCCACAGTGTGGAAGCAGCTGGAGCAGCTCAAGAGCCCGGATACAGAATCTTCTCGGGTTCAAATACCCACTACAGGTTTCCTATTGGCCACTTGGTAGTCACCTTATGTAAATGAAGCAGTGGCCCACAATTGGTTGCGGAAAGCAGTCAATCAGAGGCTGAAGTGAAGTTACAAAGGTCACACTCCTGTGCAAACATCTGATTGGCTATAGAAAGTGACCAATCAGAGGCTAAAGTTACAAAGTTATACTCCTGTGCAAATGAAGACTCGGTCACCATTCAGTCTGATTGGTTGCCAACAGCCAATTTCCCATCTGCCATGAAGAAAAGGTGTGGGTTCAAGCCAGGTGCAGTGGCTCACGCTTGTAATCCCAGCACTTTAGGAAACTGAGGAGAGCGGATCACTTGAGGTCAGAAGTTCAGGACCAGCCTGGCCAACATGGCGAAACCCCATCTCTACTAAAAATACAAAAAAATTAGTTGGGCGTGGTGGTGGCACCTGCCTGTGGTCCCAGCTACTCGGGAGGCTGAGGCAGGAGAATCGCTTGGACTTGGGAGGCAGAGGTTGCAGTGAGCCAAGATCATGCCACTGGCACTCCAGCCTCGACCACAGAGACCCTGTCTCCAAAAAAAAAAAAAAAAAAAGGAGGTTTGCAAAAGAAGTAGCTTCGGCTCCTTTTGTTATTTAGGCTTGGAAAGTTAGGGTTTTCTTTTCAATTTAGTTCTAGGAAGTTGGTGTGAAATGCCCTTAGATTCCCTGCCTCCAGACCCTGTTCTGCCTGGCTTGATTTTTTAAAAATATTATGATAGGCTTTATTTTTTAGAGAAGTTTTAGGTTCACAGCCAAATGGAGTGGAAGACACAGAGCTCTCCCATAGACCGCTGTCCCTCCACCCCATGCAGCCTCCTCCACTGCCAACATCTCCCCTGACAGTGGCACGTTTGTTACAATCAATGAACCTTCATTGACACATCATGATCTCCAGAGTCCATAGTTTACATTCGGGCTCACGCTTGCTCTCATACATTCTATGGGTTTGGACAAATGCATAACCATATGTATCTGCCACTCTAGTGTCATACAGAGTAGTTTCTCTGTCCTAAAAATCCCCCGTGCTCCACTATTCATCCCTCCCTCCCCAACTTCGGGCAACCACTGACCTTATGCTGTCTCCGTAGTTTTGCTTGTTACAGAATGTCCTGTACTGAAATCATACAGTATGTAGGCTTTTCATTTTTTCGTATTTTGGGTTTTTGTTTTTTTTTTTCAAATAGGGCCTCACTCGGCCAGGTGCAGTGGCTCACGCCTGTAATCCCAGCACTTTGGGAGGCCGAAGCAGTCGGATCACGAGGTCAGGAGATCAAGACCATCCTGGCTAACACGGTGAAACCCCGTCTCTACTAAAAATACAAAAAAAAAAAAAAAAAAAAAATTAGCCAGGCATGGTGGTGGGCGCCTGTAGTCCCAGCTACTCGGGAGGCTGAGGCAGGAGAATGGCGTGAACCCGGGAGGCAGAGCTTGCAGTGAGCCGAGATCACACCACTGCACTCCAGCCTGGGTGACAGAGCGAGAGTCCGTCTCAAAAAAACAAACAAACAAACAAAACACACAAATAGGGTCTCACTCTGTCACCCGGGCTGGAGGGCAATAGTGCAATCTTGGCTTACTACAGCCTCAACCTCCTGTGCTCAGGCCATCCTCCCATCTCAGCCTCCCAAGCAACTGGGACCACAAGGTGCACACCGTCACACTGGCTAATTTTGTTGATTTTTTGTAGAGATGGGGGTCTTACTATGTTTCCCAGGCTGGTCTCAAACTCCTGGGTTCAAGTGATCCTTCTGCCTCAGCTTCCCAAATTGCTGGGATTACAGGCCATGAGCCACTGTGCCCAGCCATGTCTTTTTATGTTTGATAGCTCATTTATTTTTAGTGCTGAAAAATATTTCATTCTCTGGATGTACCACAGTTTATTTATCCATTGACCTACTGAAGGACATCTTGGTTGCTTCCAAGTTTGGCAATTATGCATAAAGCTGCCATGGCCATCTGTGTACAGATTTTTTTTTTTTTTTTTTTTTTTTTGAGACAGTCTCACTCTGTCGCCCAGGCTGGAGTGCAGTGGCGCGATCTCAGCTCACTGCAAGCTCCACCTCCCGGGTTCAAGCCATTCTTCTGCCTCAGCCTCCCGAGTAGCTGGGACTACAGGCACACACCACCACGCCCAGCTAATTTTTTGTATTTTTTTTTTAGTAGAGATGGGGTTTCACCATGTTGGCCAGGATGGTCTCGATCTCTTGACCTTGTGATCCGCCCGCCTCGGCCTCCCAAAATGCTGGGATTACAGGCGTGAGCCACCGTGCCCGGCCCCCTTTTTTTTTTTTGAGATGGATTCTTGCTCTGTTGCCCAGGCTGGAGGGCAGTGGCACCATCTTGACTCACTGCAACCTCTGTCTCCTGGGTTCAGGCGATTCTCCTGCCTCAGCCTCAGAAAGTGCTGGGATTACAGGTGCATGCCACCATGCCCAGCAAATTTTTGTATTTTTAGTAGAGACAGTTTTTTACCATGTTGGCCAGGCTGGTCTTGAACTCCTGACCTCAGGTGATCCTCCCACCTCGGCCTCCCAAAGTGCTAGGATTACAGGCGTGAGCCACCGTGCCTGGCCTTCTTATAAAATTTAATGTGTGTGTATATATAGTCCCACTTCTAGTCATTTACCCTTGAGAAATGATAACATATGTTCATACAAAGACCCAGCCTGGGTAATATGGTGAAACCTCATCTCTACAAAAAATCTTTTTGTAATGCAGCGTAAAAAATAATGAGTTCATGTCCTTTGCAGGGACATGGATGAAGCTGGAAGCCATCATTCTCAGCAAACTAACACAGGAACAGAAAACCAAACACCGCATGTTCTCACTTATAAGTGGGAGTTGAACAATGAGAACACATGGACCCAGGGAGGGGAACATCACACAGTGGGGCCTGTCAGGGGTTGGGGAGGCAAGGGGAGGGAGAGCATTAGGACAAATACCTAATGCATGCAGGGCTTAAAACCTGAGCTGAGATCGTGCCACTGCACTCCAACCTGGGTGACAGAGGGAGACTCCATCTCCAAAAAAAAAAAAAGTTGTTCACCTGTGACTTCTTTTTGGTACTTAACTTTTTTTTTTTTTTTTTTTTTTGAGACAGAGTCTCGCTCTTTCGCCCAGGCTGGAGTGCAGTGGCGCGATCTCTGCTCACTGCAAGCTCCGCCTCCCGGGTTCACACCATTCTCCTGCCTCAGCCTCCCAAGTAGCTGGGATTACAGGTGCCCACCACCACGCCCGGCTAATTTTTTGTATTTTCAGTAGAGACGGGGTTTCACTGTGTTAGCCAGGATGGTCTCGATCTCCTGACCTCGTGATCCGCCTGCCTCGGCCTCCCAAAGTGCTGGGATTACAGGCGTGAGCCACCGCGCCTGGCCTGGTACTTAACTTGATAGCATTCACAGCTCTCCCTGGAGGAAGGTCACGCAATTGTCACCCACAACTTTTCAGGTGAGTGAACAGAGTCAGAGGAGTTGAGCAACTAGCTCAAGGCCACACAGGGACTAGGTGGTAAGGCAGAGACTTGACCTTGGGCCACTGACCGAAGACCCGTGTGCTGGGAGCCCATGTCACACCATTTATGGAATGAGGCCCTTGGGGTGGGACTCAGCTACCTGCCAAGTAGTTTTGGGGCTGCTGACGGGAACTTGGAACTTGCTCCTCTTTACTGGAGCCTTCCAGAGCCAATGCCTGCCTCCCTCGTCCCAAGAAGGAACAGCTTTAGCAGGGCACCACAGAAAGGACTCCCAGCTGGGCGGGGGCTGCGGGGGGACTCCCTGGGCATCCTGGAAATTGCACAAGCCCCTGGACAGGGATGGTGCAGGTCACCTTCTCCCCTGACGATGACGGGCCATGACCAGTGGCTCCAGTCATTCCACTCTTTTTTTTTTTTTTTTTTTTTTTTTGAGACGGAGTCTCGCTTTGTCGCCAGGCTATATAGTGCAGTGGTGCGATCTCGGCTCACTGCAACCTCCACCTCCTGGGTTCAAGCAATTCTTCTGCCCCAGCCTCCCAAGTAGCTGGGACTACAGGCGCACGCCACCATGCCCAGCTAATTTTTGTATTTTTAGTGCAGACGGGGTTTCATCATGTTGGCCAGGATGGTCTCGATCTATTGGCCTCACGATCCGCCTGCCTCAGCCTCCCAAAGTGCTGGGATTACAGGTGTGAGCCACTGCGGCTGGCCTTTTTTTTTTTTTTTTGAGACAGAGTGTCTCTCTGTCACCCAGGATCTCAGCTCATTGCAACCTCTGTCTCCCGGGTTCAAGCAATTCTTCTGCCTCAGCCTCCTGAGTAGCTGGGACTGCAGACGCCCACCACCATGTCCAGCCAATTTTTGTATTTTTAGTAGAGATGGGGTTACACCATATTGGCCAGGTTGGTCTGGTCTCGAACTCCTGACCTGGTGATCTGCCTGCCTTGGCCTCCCAAAATGCTGGGATTACAGGCGTGAGCCACCGAGCCGGTTGGCCATTTTGGTCTTGAAAACCCAGGGACACACTGCAGGGCTGGGGGGGTGGGGGGGCAGGGGACTCACAGGATGTTCTGTAGAAGAGTGGAGGACCTGCAGCTATGCCTGGAGGAGCAGCGAGGCGCTCCATTGCTGGAAGGACGCTGAGAGGGGTTCAAACATGGGCAGATGTTCCAGAACCTTCCTGCTGGAAGCCTTCCCAGGCACCTTCCGCCACCTCCTGACCCCCTCGAAGGTGTGTGGACTTGTTAGGTAGCTCTGACTTTGCTTTGTGGGGTGCTGCCTAATCCTTCCTCCCCTGCGCCCTGGCTGGAGCTCCCCGGGGCCTTTCACACACATTGTCCTTTCATCCTCAAACAGTCTCCAGGAAGCAAGCACTGCTGTCATTCCTACTTGACAGATGAGGAAACCAAGGCCGAGAGAGGCGAATTAACCAGCCATTAGGTCACACAGGCGGGATGGGGCCTGGAGCCCCTGCAACCTCAGACTCAGCTCCAGGTGCTCCCAAACCTATGGGCAGTGGTGACTGTGCATTTCCACCATCAAAGCAGCCTTGCACAGGGCCCAGCTGAGTGGAGTGCCAGGCAGTGCCGGGAGGGAGGCGGGGCTGGGGGCTGGCAGTCACGCCTGGGCCTGCAGGCACTGGCTCGGGGCCTGCTATCCCAGGAGAAACAATCATCTGGCTCGTTGTCAGGCTCGGATTTCTTACCTCCTCAGAGGGGCGCGTGCCACCGGCTGGCCATGGGGAGAGCTCAGTGGAGCTGGCTCCTCTGAGGCCTCTCTTGGAGCAGGGCCCCTGGTCTCCAATCCCCTGACTTCCATGCCCCTGTGCCCTCCTGGTCTTAGGCACTGACCAGACCCGACTGTAACTGGGCAGTGGTGCTGCCCTAGAAGGGCTGATCTTGCAGGCCAACAGTGTAGGGTGTGTGTCTGGGAGGTGGTTCCCCAGGCCTCCCTGGTGCTGCTTCAGAGCTTGACACAGAAGTGACCTGCTGGTGTCTGCAGGGCCCCAAGTGCTGAAGGAGGCCTGCCCTGGCTCCTGCTCCCCTCGGCCCTCCATTCCAACTCCTCTGGCTTCACCTCCCGCTCATCATTCCCTTGCCTGCCCTCCGGGCCCATCCTTGCTCATGCTGTTGGTTGATCCCAACACGTCCCTGCTTCCATCCTCGCTAGTGAAAATTGGACACGGCCTTCAAGGTTCAGCTCAGGCACTTCCTCCTCCAAGAAACTGTTCCTGATCTACCTAGTCTCAGGGAGGCCAGCCTCGCCCACAATTCCTGCTCTCCTGGGCCCCATCACCCAGCTCAGAAACTCAGGGCAGGCCGGAGGGAAGGAGATGGGCTGAGCCCTCGGACCCCCTCACCTGGGGGCTCACCCTCGGCTTCACTTTAAGGGATCTCCTGCCCCAAGACTGGAGATGCTCCAAGGCTCTGGCAGGGCACACCTGGCTGCCCAGGAATACAGGGAGGGGACTTCAGCACCCTGCCCACTCTGGGCCCCCAGGGCCTACACTCCCACCCGACAAGGATGGCTACTCACTGACAGTGACTTACTCACCCTGGCCCTCAGTCTCTTCATTTGTGCATTGGAGATAATGAAACTTACTTCAAAGCCCAGGTACGTGCTGCCAAAGTGCAGGTTGCAGCATGTCAGGCCTCTTTAACTGTACCGGGCTTCACACCTATTGGTAGTTACTGGGAGCTGCTACTAATGACATCCGTTCCTCATTCCTGCCCATGAGCAAGAGCCAGTGCTGGGTGCTGGTGCCTGGGGGAGAGGGCGGTGACGGCAACCCCTGGCTCTGCCTCATCCCACCTTCAGGCACCAACTCTGATGTCCTCACCCTGACCTCCTCCCTCTCCCTCTTCTCTGTTCCCATGGTCACATGTGCCACCCCCCATGTACATGTCTGTTGTTCTACTGTGTGTCTGTACCTCTCTGTGACCCCATCACTCTGCAAGGGCCTGGGCAAGCTGGGGCTCAGGGCGGTCAGGGCTGGCCTAAAGACATAGCGAAGTCGGCCGGGCGCGGTGGCTCACGCCTGTAATCCCAGCACTCTGGGGGGCCGAGGCGGGTGGATCACGCGGTCAGGAGATCGAGACCATCCTGGCTAACACGGCGAAAGCCCGTCTCTACTAAAAATACAAAAAAATTAGCCACGTGTGATGGCGGGCGCCTGTAGTCCCAGCTACTCGGGAGGCTGAGGCAGGAGAATGGCGTGAACCCGGGAGGCGGAGCTTGCAGTGAGCCGAGATCGCGCCACTGCACTCCAGCCTGGGCGACAGAGCGAGACTCCGTCTCAAAAAAAAAAAAAAGACGGCAAACTGGGGCAGCGTTGGGTGGCAACAAGCCAAACCAGGGACCTTAAACCAGGTCTTTGGTTTGATCTCAGGTGGGGATCTGGGTTCCGGAAGGCTCCAAGAGCTGCAGTTACAGGTTAGTTTTCAGGACAGCGTGCAGGGCATCCTGGGGACACGGCTGGGCATCCTGCAGCCTGCCCCGGCTGGAGCTCCGGTGTCTGGGTGTCTGTAGCAGCCTGTGTGGCAGGGGTGGGGGATGGGGCGAGTTACTCTCCACAAAGGGCTTCTGGGAAATCAAGCAGCACTCGCTCTGCTGGGTCTTCAAGGAAAGGGACAGGGCCCAAAGACTCACGGTGCTACGACTGTCCCGGGGCATCCCTGGGCTTTCTCTGGATACCAGCCCCTTTGCTGTACCCCCTGGTCCCTGCACAGCCCAGGCCCCTGCTGCCCCTCTTCATGGACAGCAGTGCCATTCACTGGGGTTCCTGTCCCCAGCCACACCCTTTCCGCATACTCACACAGTGGCCTGTTGAAACTCAAATCTGATCAGCCCATCCATCCTGAAACCTTTCTGGCTTCTGATTGCCTGCAGGATAAAGTCCAACCTCCTTTTCGTGACATTCAAGGCTCTTTGTCTCTTCCTTCAATGTCTGAACTGCCCTGAAGAGAGGAGGGATGGGGTGTTCCATAGACAGGAGGTGGTAGTGCGGGGCCCTGTCAAGATGTGGGCTCTTGAGGCTCCACCGTCCAACTCCCTCCAGGCCTGGTCTCAGGGGACCTTACAGGAAAAGTCTGGCCTTGGTCAGAAAAGCCTAGAGGTTGGCCACAGGCTGGTACGTGGGGGCCCAGAACTGGGCCTCTGACCCCTGCAGAGGGAGTCTCAGGCCTGGCCTGGCTCCCTGCCACAGGATCCCTAGAGCCACATGACTGGTCCTACTCTCCCCATTCCCCTGCTGGGCTCCAGCTCAGTCGCAGGAGCCAAGCCAGATTTGAGGCCAGAGGGCTTGACCAGGTTGGTTCCTGCTAGGTGGCTCTGCGCAGAACCCTCTTACAGCCCATCCAACTGGCCGGGTCCCTTCCCTTTTGTACCATTCTTGTTGGTCCCTGTCTGCCTGACCCTGTGTGGCACCTCAGGGCTGCAGCCTTGGTCTGGGTCCCAGCCACTGGTCACCTTCTGCCCTGAGGCCTGCCCTCCCTGCTGTCTGGGGCTGTCAGCTGGACCTTGGAGCATGGCCATCCCAGGCCCATTCCTGGCTCTGACCACTGTGAGGGGCCCTGGTACCATCCTCCCTGGGCACAATCCCCCTGGATGCTGGCTGGTCAGGTGGAATCACTTGTTAGCGGAGTATAACGGAGTAACAAGCCAGGCGAGGTGGCTAATCCCAATACTTTGGGAGGCCAAGGTGGGAGGATCGCTTGAGGCCAGGAGGCTGAGGCTGCAGTGAGCTATGATAGTGCCACTGTGCTCTAGCCTGGGCAACAGAGCGAAACCCTGTCTAAACAAAACCTAAAAACCCCCCAAAAACCCAAAAACCAAAACAAAAAGAAAACTATCCTTGACACTTTAGTGTAAGTACATCTAATGATAGCTGTAATTATTTCGAAAGCATATGTTGTTACGAGTATGGGGACATCTGGACTTTCTCTTGTAGGAGTGCATCCTTGCAGGTATCTTTAGGCTGTTCCCTTAATTGTAAGCTTCTTGTGACCACAAGTTGTGGCTGGCAAGGAATGTGCCTTGTTAGTCTCAGGATGGAGATGAACTTACAATGGCATTGCTCTGGCTGTCCTGGGCTCCTGCTTCCCTAATGCGCTGGGCGCTGTGGCTCAAGCCTATAATCCCAGCACTTTGGGAGCCCCAGGAAGGAGGATCGCTTGAGCTCAGGAGTTCAAAACCAGCCTGGGCAAAACATATTGAGACCCCATCTCTACAAAAAATTGAAAAAAAAAAAAAGCCAGGCATGGTGGCTTGCGCCTGTAGTCCCAGATACTGGGGAGGCTGAGGTAGGAGGGTCTCTTGAGCCTGGGAGGTGGAGGCTGCAGTAAGCAGAGATCAGTCCCTGTTAAAAAAAAAAAAAAAGTGACAGTCCCCAGGAAGGTGCAGGTCGATGGTGGCAGCCACTGTGGTGGCTTGTGGCTGGTGTTCTTGTCCTATGTTTGTAGCCATCCCTAGGTCCAGGGTTCAGGGCTTCCTGTTCCCAGGAGGGTTCAGATAAGAGGCCCCGAGCAGCCACTCAGGCAGAGCCTCTTCCTGGGGAGAAGGTGCTCCCTGGGGCGAGCAAGTGGGCAGGCCTTGGCTCTCTCCATTCCTGAATACCTTCTACTGTCTAGGTAGTAGAACACCTTCTACTGACCCTGGCCCAGGCTCAGATACGGTCCAACCCGGCAGACCCTTCCCGGGGGCCTGTGACGGTCCCAGGCAGGGAGAGCCACGTCGGGGTGGTGGTCACCCCCAGCGCCCTGAACCTGCGAAGGCCCAGTGTAGGGGTGAGCGCGCACCGGCTGGGGGGACGTTGGAGAAGCCAAGCAGAGGCAGCCGGGCGCGCCTTCCTGCCCTCCCGGTGGAGGAGGACGCGGCAGGGACAGGCGGGCGGCCAGCCGGCTTCAGGACGCTTGACAAGGGTTTTGGCTGAGGGTGCGCCCTGGGCTCTGGAGCGCCCAGGTGCCCCGCCACCCACGGGGGGCGTGGTATGGGGGCGTGGCCTGGGCGTGGCCGGCACCGCCTCTTCCCTTTCCTGAGTCCAGAGGGCCCCTCCTGCCCGCCACGTTTCCTTCCTGCTGGGGGGCTTCTGTTCTCCCAGACCGGGTCGGTGCTCTTTTCCCCCGGCGCCCCTCCCCCACCCAGCCCGGGCCTTGCCTGCCGCAGCCACCTTCTTCTCTGATGCTGTGTCCTGGACTTGGTGACAATGGCAAATTGACAAGAAGGCGAGCCTGGGCCTTTCCTGCGGCGACATCCAGCTTCCCCCGCCCCTCCCTGGGTGGGTGCCCACCACACGCCCAGCCTGCCGCGTGCTTATCCAGGCCCTCCAGGCCAGGCCTCCGGGTCTTATGGAAGAAGGCCCCGTGTCTGGGCAGTGCCGTGGCTGTGAGTGAGCATCCGGGGCCAGTCAGATGTGCCGTCTCCGGAGGTCACTTCCATAGTGGCCATCAACAGCTTGGCCAAACTCGGCCGCAGGATCTTTTCCTATCAATTGCAGGATGGACTCTTCCCGCAGCCATGCGACCTGTGGCCCGCGGTCCTGCTCCCTGAGCTGGAGGAGGCTGAACAGAATGAGCAGGTTGAGGCCTGTGGGAAGGAAGAGCCACATCTCCTTCATGTTTATTACCCCCTCCGCAGGCCATAGCTAGGAGGCCTTGAAGGTTTTTTTAAGGGGGAAAGGGGGTTTCCAGAACCACAGCCGGCTCAGCAGAAAGTCTCCACCAACAGAATCTGTGGGCGCACATTCCTCAACAGCTGAAGAAGGGGCTGGAGGGGCTCATGGCATCCCCTCCAGAGGCAGGCCCAGGGCCCTGTGTGCAGTGGGGGGTCCTGCATCTGCATTGTTGTTAAGAAAGTGACATTTGGCTACATGGAGTGACTCATGCCTGTAATCCCAGCACTTTGGGAGGCTGAAGCTGTCAGATTGCTTGGGCCCAGGAGTTCGAGATCAGCCTGGGCAACTTGGTGAAACCTCATTTCTTTTTTTTTGAGACAGGGTCTCACTCTGTAGCCAAGACTGGAGTGCAGTGGCACAATCTCGGCTCACCGCAACCTCCACTTCCCAGGCTCAAGTGATTCTCCTGACTCAGCCTCCCGAGTAGCTGGGATTACAGGTGTGCACCACCACGCCTGACTAATTTTTGTATTGTTAGTAGAGACGGGGTTTCACCATGTTGGCCAGGTTGGTGTTGAACTCCTGACTTCAAATGATCCACCTGCCTTGGCCTCCCAAAGTGCTGGGATTACAGGCCTGAGCCACTGCGCCCGGACTTTTTTTTTTTTTTGAGATGGAGTTTCGCTCTGTCACCCAGGCTGGAGTGTGGTGGCATGATCTCGGCTCACTGCAACCTCCACCTCCCAGGGTCAAGTGATTCTCCTGGGTCAGCCTCCGGAGTAGCTGGGATTACAGGTACGTACCATCATGCCTGGCTAATTTTTGTATTTTTAGTAGAGACAGGGTTTCACCACGTCTGCCACGCTGGTCTTGGACTCCTGACCTCAAGTGATCTGCCCACCTCGGCCTCCCAAAGTGCTGGAATTACAGGTGTGAGCCACCATGCCCAGCCCTCATTTCTACAAAACATACAAAAATTAGCCAGGCTTGGCACACACCTGTAGTCCCAAGTACTCAAGAGGATGAAGTGGGAGGTTCACTTGAGCCTGGGGAGGTAGAGGCTGCAGTGAACCATGTTCTTGCCACTGCACTCCAGCCTGTGTGACAGTGAGGCCCTGTCTCAAAAAAAAAAAAAAGGCAACACTTCTTGAGGCTGCTGGTTTTTCAGCCCTGCTGTGCTGCATGCTTTTGGCGCTCACTCTAATTCACAGGGCCTCGAGGGCGAGACTTCGGCTCACAGCTGTATCCCAGGGCCTAGAACTGTGTCTGACATATACCAGGTACTCAATAAACCCTTGTCACACAAACCCCCAAGAACATTTCACAATGCTTTTCTTTTTTCTTTTTTTTTTTTTTTTTTTTTTTTTTTTTGAGACAGAGTCTTGCTCTATCGCCCAGGCTGGAGTGCAGTGGCGCGATCCCGGCTCACTGCAAACTCTGCCTCCTGGGTTCACGCCATTCTTCTGCCTCAGCCTCCCGAGTAGCTGGGACTACAGGCGCCTGCCACCGCACCCGGCTAATGTTTTGTATTTTTAGTAGAGATGGGGTTTCACCGTGTTAGCCAGGATGGTCTCGATTTCCTGACCTCGTGATCCACCCGCCTCGGCCTCCCAAAGTGCTGGGATTACAGGCATGAGCCACCACGCCCAGCCTTTTCTTTTTTTTCGAGTGCAGTGGCGCGATCTTGGTTCACTGCAACCTCTGCCTCCCTAGCTCAAGCGATCCTCCCACCTCAGCCTTCCGAGTAGCTGGGACCACAGGCACGTACCACCATGCCTGGCTAATTTTTTGTATTTTTAGTAGAGACAGGTTTTTGCCATGTTGCCCAGGATGGTCTCAAACTCCTGAGCTCAAGCCATCCACCCACCTCAGCCTCTCAAAGCGCTGGGATTACAGGCATGAGCCACCAGACTCAGCCTTGTTTCTCATTTATACAGGTAGCGATTGGAGGCTCAGGAAGGGAATTCATTGCCCAAGGTTGAACACTCAGTGGGAGAAGCAGGCCAGGACACAAGCAGGAGGGGCTCCAAAGCTGAGTTTGTTGCTGCAGAGCCTTTCCTGAGGTTGGGGAGGGTGTCTGCAGAAGGAGGCTGGAGACTGCTGTAGAATCACTACTACTGGTGACATCGTTGTTCTTCTCTGACCTGACCCCTGAGTTGGTCAGACTTGGCCATGTGGACAACCCCCTGCTTCTCCCACTCTCTGCTGCCCTAACCTGAGACTGGTTATTCAAGTGTCTTCCTCACTGTCTCCCCCAAACAGGAAGTATTTTTTGATGCTCTTGCATCTGGGGCTGACCCAACACTGCTCATCCCATGTGGTCATTGCTGGCTTACAGGTCAGTCTGGCCCTTGCATTCGATGTTCTGTAAGGACAGAGCTCATGGTGCTGGCTCTGAGAAGGAAACAGGAAGTGGCAGATGGAAGGGTGGGTAGGTGGGTAGGTAGATGAATGGATGAGCCGGCGGATGAGTGGGCAGATGTGTGTGTGTACGGACAGGTGGGTGGATGCATGGATGGACAGGTGGATGAATAGATGGGCAGATGGATGGATAAATGGAAAGGTGGGTGGGTGGATGGATGGATGGATGGGTGCGTGGATGGTTGGATGGTTGGATGGATGGATGGATGGATAGATGGGTGGGTTGGTTGGTGGATATGTGGATACATAGATGGATTGATGGACAAGTGGATGGGTGGATGGATGGATGGATTGATGGACAGGTGCATGGGTGGGTGAGTGAATGGATGGATGGGTCGATGAGTGGGTGAGTAGATAGATGGATGGATGGATGGACAGGTGGGTGGGGGTGGGGTGGGTGGATGGATGGATGGATGGATGAATAGGTGGGTGGGTAGACAGATAGATGGGTGGGTGGATGGCCAGGTATGGTAGCTCACATCTGTAATCCCAGCACTTTGGGAGGCCAAGGCGGGCAGATCACCTGAGGTCAGGAGTTTGAGACCAGCCTGGCCAATATGGTGAAACCTATCTGTACTAGAAAAAAAAAATACAAAAAATTAGCCAGGCATGGTGGCATGTGCCCGTAATCCCAGCTACTTAGGAGGCTGAGGCAGGAGAATTGCTTGAACCCGGGAGGCGAAGGCTGCAGTGAGCCGAGATCATGCCACTGCACTCTAGCCTGGGCAACAGAGTGAGACGTCTCAAACAAAAAAAAAAAGATGGGTGGGTAGGTGGATAAATAGGTGGATGGGTGGATGGGTGGATGGGTGGATGGATGGGTAGATGGATGGGTGGATGGGTGGATGGGTGGGTGGGTGGATGGGTGGTTGGATGGATGGGTGGATGGGTGGTTGGGTGGGTGGGTGGGTGGATGGGTGGTTGGGCGGGTGGGTGGATGGGGAGGTGGGTGGATAGGTGGATGGGTGGGTGGATGGGTGGGTGAATGGTGTGTTCTCAGCAGCAGCCAGAGGACCACTCCTGTCTCCCTGTATATGCTGATTTGCTGGGGTTTCTGGCCAGAAAGAATCATATAGGCTGTCCATAAAACAGCTGGAGAGGTGGGTAAAGTTTACCCTGCAGATGACAAGGCTCAGGGGAGCAGGAGAGCTGCCTTTGAATATTTAGAGGACTGTCCCTTGGGAGTAGGCAAGGACACCCCTCCTGAGCCTCACGGCTCCACAGGTGGACCAAGAACCAGTGGCAGAAGTACCAGGGAGGCAGATGGTTTCTTGAGGCTCAAGCTGCCTGCTGGTTTCAGACACCTTCTCTTCTGGGGCTTCTGCCAAATGGTAAATGGAACCCGATCTTTTTGCAAACTTACATTTTTAGTTCTGAAATTGTTGATGACTCCAAACATTTTTATAATTAACAAAGTGTCTTGGCTGGGCATGATGGCTTAGGCCTGAAATCCCAGTGCTTTGGGAGGTCAGGGTGGGAGGATCACTTGAGGCCAGGAGTTCCACACTAGCCTAGGCAGCATGGTGAGACTCTGTCTCTACAAAAAGTTGTTTAAAAAAGTAGCCAGAAGTGGTGATGCACGTCTATGGTCTCAGCTACTCGGGAGGCTGAGGTAGGAGGATTGCTTGAGGCAGGGAGTTTGAGGCTGCAGTGAGCTGTGATCTTGCCACTACATTCCAGCCTGGGTAGCAGAAAGAAACCCTGTCTGTAAATGAACAAACAAATCAACAAAGCATCTTTTTTTAAAAAATAATTTTATACTTAAACATATTAAAAATTATATTATTGTAATAGAGATAGGGTCTCACTGTGTTGCCCAGGCTGATCTCAAACTCCTGGGCTCAAGCCACCCTCCTGCCTTGGCCTCCCAAAATTCTGGAGTTATAGGCGCAAGCCAACGTAGCTGGCCAACAAAGTGTCCTTTGAATGAAAGCAAAACAGTCATAGTCATAAATGACACAGAGATTTTTTTTTTTTTTTTTGAGACGGAGTCTCGCTGTCACCCAGGCTGGAGTGCAGTGGCGCGATCTTGGCTCACTGCAAGCTCCGCCTCCCGGGTCACGCCATTCTCCTGCCTCAGCCTCCTGAGTAGCTGGGACTATAGGCGCCCACCACCATGCCTGGCTAATTTTTGTATTTTTAGTAGAGATGGGGTTTCACCGTGTTAGCCAGGATTTCCTGACCTCGTGATCCACCCGCCTAGGCCTCCCAAAGTGCTGGGATTACAGACGTGAGCCACCGCACCCGGCCGACACAGAGATGTTTATGATGGGAAGTAACACTGTGCCCCCAACCTCCCCACCCCAGTTTTTCTTCCCAGGGTCTCCCCAAGAGCTGCTTCCTTTGACTCCTGCTGTGTGTAGTTCTGCTGACAATGACCTGGACAGCTCTGCGCCATGCACAGCGTCTCTTTTCTCCGACTTACCAAATTTTAGACACTACTGACTCCTCCATGTGAAAGATGGGAATTCAGCTACATCACATTACCCTACAAACTTTATTGTTAATGTAATTATTTTTATTTCTTCTACTGCTTTTTTGGTAACTTTATTTATTTATTTATTTATTATTTATTTTCGAGATGCAATTTCGCTCTTATTGCCCAGGCTGGAGTGCAGCGGCACAGTCTCGGCTCACTGCAACCTCTGCCTTCTGGGTTCAAGTGATTTTCTTGCCTCAGCCTCCCGAGTAGCTGGGATTACAGGTGCCCACCACTACGCCCAGCTAATTTTCTATTTTTAGTAGAGACGGAGTTTCACTATGTTGGTTGGGCTGGTCTCGAACTCCTGACCTCAGGTGATCTGCCCACCTCAGCCTCCCAAAGTGCTGGGATTACAGGTGTGAGCCACCATGCCCAGACTTTTTTTTTTTTTTTTTTTTTGAGACAGTTTCTCTCTGTTGCCTATGCTGGAGTGCGGTGGCGTGATCTCAGCTAACTGCAACCTCTGCCTCCCGGGTTCAAGTGACTCTCCTGCCTCAGCCTCCCAAGTAGCTAGGCCTACAGGCGCGCACCACTACACCCAGCTAATTTTTGTATTTTTAGTAAAGATGGGGTTTCACCACGTTGGCCAGGCTGGTCTGGAACTCCCGACCTCAGGTGATCGCCCACCTCAGCCTCCCAAAGTGCTGGGATTACAGGCTTGAACCACTGCGCCCGGCATATGTTTTAATTTAATTTTTAAAGACAGGGTCTTGCTCTGTCACCCAGGATGGAGTGCAGTGGTGTGGACACAGCTCACTGCAGCCTCGAACTCCGGGGCCCAATCGATCCTCCCACCTAGTCCTCCTGTGTGACTGGGACTACAGGCGTACACCACGCTGCCAGCTACTTTTTGTATTTTTGCAGAGCGGGGTTTCACCGTGTTGCTCAGGCTGGTCTTGAATTCCTGAGCTTAAGTGATCTGACTGCCTCAGCCTCCCAGATTGCTGGGATTACAGGCATGAGCCACTGCTCCCGGCCCTTGGTAACTTTAAATAATATTCTTTCTGCTATTAGGGAAACAAGAGCCTAGGAGAGCCAGGGTCACAACATCTTAAAACAAACTTCATCTTAAAACTAGTAAAGGACATTCCTTGCCAGTCACATAGTACTGAGATATTTACAAATGAGAAAACAGCTTAAAAATACCTGCAAGGACACACTCCCACAACGATGAAAAGTCCAGATGTTCTGATAGACACAATAATATATGCTTTCAAGATAATTCTACTTATGCTGTTTGTACCTGCATACTAAAATGTCAAGGATAGTTTTCTTTAAATCAACCGAATAATAAATTCTGTCATGCTATCAGCCCACCCGCGCACGTGGGCACAGCTTAGTTTAGTCTTTATACAGATAAGACCCCCATATAAAAAAAACTTAAAGCGGGCGCATTTTCTCTGCTTTCTGAGGTCGTCTCGCTCTGTAACTGAGTGGCTTTCAATAATGAGCTTTTAGGCCAAGTGCAGTCGCTCACGCCTATAATCCCAGCACTTTGGGAGGCCGAGGCAGGCGGATCACCAGAGGTCAGGAGTTCGAGACCAGCCTGGCTAACGTGCTAAAATCCCATCTTTACTAAAAATGCGAAAATTAGCCAGGCGTGGTGGTGGGGGCCTGTAATCCCAGCTACTCGGGAGGCTGAGACAGGAGAATTGCTTGAAACCGGGAGGCAGAGCTTGCAGTGAGCTGAGATGGTGACATTGTACTCCAGCCTGGGCAACAGAGTGAGACTCCGTCTCAAAAAAAAAAAGAATATGTTTACTTTCACACTCACCTCTGACCTCCTCTTGGGAAGACGAGGTTACCGGTGCCTTCCCTTCTCTTCCACTTTCAGATTTCTTCCCGGTCAGCCCCAAACACTGAATGTAAATACGGTCCAACATCAACCTGCAAACGAACACTGACATGAAAGTGCAGTTGGAAAGGATCTCGCAAAGGAACAGAATCTGGTGATCCTAATCGTAATGAACGTGATCGCCGGGTATTGAGAGCTTGCAGGTACCAGGGCTCCGGCACTACGTGTTTCACAGGGGCCACTCGGTAGACCTCTTGGTGACCTTGAGGTCAGGTACCACGTTCCCATTTTACAGAGGAGGAAACTGAGATAACCTACGACAGCGAAAAGGTAGCAGAGCTGGGACTGGTGCCCAGGCTCGCCGAGTGGAAAAGCCCTCGGCCACCGTGGAGAGCTCGCTTCCTGTGGTCTGAAGCGTCGCCCCTGCACCGGCTTCTGCTGCCAAGGATGGCTTTTCCTCACTGGTGCCCACCTACGCTCACTTGTGTCATGTGGTTAAGCCCTTTTGGCAACATAAGACCTTTCCCAAGAATGTGCCTCGGTGCAGAGGAAGACGGTGGGGGCAGGCCCCCTCCCCGGGATGCTCCACCCTCCCTGACCTCACACGGGTGCAACCTGGGCCGTGGCCGAGACCTGCTGTGTGGCAGACAATGGGAAGCCTGTGTGTCGTCCTGGGTGCCGGATTTAGACAATATTTAGCTTTCCCTTGGTGGAAAAGCCTTTCCCCTCCTGCTTTGGGCAGGAACTGGTTCCTGTTGGGCGGGGCCTGGCTGCTGCCCCACCCCCACCCGGCCGGGCACCTTGACCGGCAGCTCTCCGGGCTGCTCCCTGCCTGTGTCCCTGAGCACTGACTCCAGAGGTTTAATCATTAACGGGCACGTTTGGCCTTCGGTCGTGGGCTGGAATTTGGGACCTGTGCCCGGGAACAATGATCTCCGACACATTATTTTGTGTAAAATCACTTTTAGCTGCCATTAGCTAATAAAGCTGGAATAAAGTGAGGTCCATTAACCAGCACTGGCCTCTCGGCCTCTGGGGCTCCTTGGGAGGGACCCAAGGGACTCACCTTTTGAGGACCGTGAAATCGCCGCTAGAAAATGTGCTTACAATTGTGGTCCAGCACTGAAGCTGCTCAGTATGTTTTCAGTCCCCTCTGTGGCAACCCCGTGTGTGGTTTTGGGGACTGGCAGAGTGCCCTGGAAGCGTGCCCACGTGCTGCAGATCCACCAGAGGAAATGCTCGGGAAACGCTGACGCCTGCTTTGCCCCCTGTTTCAGGGTCACCGAATGAGAAGCTGTTGGGATGAATGGCTCCCCCACCCTCCTAGCCCGGGCCAGGGGTCGCCCAGCAGCAATGCCCACCTCCCTTCGTCATGGGAGGAGCTAGTGCTCCAGTCAGCCCTTTTCATCCTGAGCTGTTTGCTGGAAGTCACCAGTGGGTATCCACAGCGCAAGCCTCCTCTCTCTCCTTCCCCCAACCTCTGAGACAGCTGGCTGGATGCTCCCTCCAACCCCATTCCCCTGCCCTCTCCTGAGGACAGCTCTGTCGGGAGCAGGGCCTCCCAGCAAGAGCCAGCAGCTGCGCTGTTTCTGCTGCTCCAGCATTTCGGGGGCAGCTGGCTGGAAGGGTAGGGGCGATTTAGAGAGGCCCACTGGCAGGTGTGGTGATGGGACTCCATGTCTCCCGCATGGGACGCCCCCTCCTCCCTGGGCTTCATTCTTAGGGTCCCCAGTCATTCTTCCCTGGGCACAGCCCTCCCTCTCTGTGCCTCATTAGCTCATCCCCAAGTCCACCCTACAGCTGGTCACCTCCGTCTTGGTGCAGCCTGCCTCCATGGCCCCGCCTGAATGCTGAGTGCCCAAGGGCCAGTGTTGCAAGGGGACCCCACCAGCCTTTCTACAGAGGCAACCAGAACCCTCTGGCCTCTCCCCATCTTCCTGCCCTCCCACATTTCTGCCTCCCTAGCTCTGCCCCCTGCCCCAGGAAGCTGAGGCTGCAAACTCAGAATCTGCCTTCGCCTCTGGTGCGCTGCCAACTCCCCCTTGGGCAGGCCTGTCGCCTGCAGCCTGTGTCTGTGCTGCCCTCCACTGCCGTGGCAGTGCCCAGGCCAACTGGTCGGCATGCTTGGGCTCAGGGACAACTTCACGGTCAGCACGTGGCTGTGCATGGCCTTGGACACCTGGAACGTGGAGCCGGTCAGCCAGCAGCTTTCAGACAGGGAGGGGCCGAAGGGTCCAGGCCACACAGAGGGCCAGGGCCAGCAGCCAGGCACTGGCTGCCACCACCCGTTTTCCCCCAGCAGCCCTGGGCTCTCCCTTGGTGGCTCTGCTCTGTGACTGCGGGCTGGTTCTTGGACCTCGGTTCCCTGCTGTTCTGGGAGGCTCGGGGCCTAGCTGAACTTGGGGCCTTCCTGCCTGCCAGCCCCTGACTCCGGATGGCCAGACACACTCCCAGAAACTCCACCCGGCCTCTTGTTGGCCACCGGAAGGGCTGGCGAGAGCTGCAGGATGCGCACACCCCTATTGAGGGCTTGCCCGCTGCCCCTCTGGGAGCCTTCCTGGAATCCGGGAAATGAAGGCGCTCTCAGGCAGGACACCCAGTCAGATCCGTCTCGTGCAGGGCTCCGGGCCCCGTTCCTGGCCCTGCCAGGGAAGCCAGACCCGGCTGCCCAAGAGCAGACCCTGCCTGCAGAAGCGCTCCCAGGGGAGACAGCCAGGACCTCACTGGGAACAGACCCCCCAGGTTATTTCCAAGCCTGCCCCTCCTTTGCCTCCCTGCTGCCTCCTCATACCCCCCCCGCACCCCGGCTGAGAGCAGCCACCGCCCAGCTTGCCCTGCCATGGTTCTCTGCTCAGGCTACAGCCCCCTGGATTAGAGTGGTTTACTGGTCTCTGCTACTTTTAGGATCAAACCTAAACTCTTAAAGAACTTGACCCACAAAGAGCTGGCTCTGCAGATCCGTGGGGGAAAAGGTAGACTACTCTGTACATAGGGTTTGGACAACTCTCAAGAGAGAAAGCTGGTTTATTTCACATCACTGGGAGAGATCCACTCCAGAGGGATTAAATAACTTACAATATAGAAAATATTCGAGTGTGGGCCCTCCTTCACCCCCAAAGTGGGGTGGCTCTCCAGGGTCATCACTGAAAACACTCGATTGCATAAAAGCCCCGTCGGCTCTGGGCACAGCCAGGAAGGTGCATCTCCCCAGACAAACAAGCTGTATTATCTCCAGCATGTAGGACAGGGAGGTGATGTTCTCCAGATGTTAGGAGCTGCCTCCCACTCCCCGGCCCTGCCCAGGCTGAGTGCCTGCTGAATGCTTTATGTAAGTGCCAAATGGCAGCGCTTGCACCCTGGGGCCGGATGGAACAGCAAGGAGGCCTCGGGCCTGGGTGGGGGCCTTGGGGCCCTGCTAACACCATGGGAGGACCTGTGAGGACCAGCCCTGGGGAATTGCACCTGGCCTCAGGCCCTCCCCTCCTGGCCTGGGACAGAACTGTACAGCCTACTCCAGTTCAGTGCCAAGTGGAGCCACTCCTGCAGGGCAGTGGGCTGGGTAGGGATGCCACATGTGAGCCGCAGTCTTGGCAGGGACCTGGTTAACCTTGCCCTGCACGCAAGGTAGTCCCTGGACACCACAAAGACCAACCGGCTCCAGCCCGGTCCCAGGGAGCTTGTCTCAGAGACCGGCAGGCAGGGCAGGCCCGCTTCAGAAGCTGCCCTGACGGGACATTGCGCTTGTCGAGGCGACACAGACAGACCTGATGCAGCCCCTGCCGCTGCTCTGCGACCCAGTTCCCTGAGCTTGGCTTCTCTCAGCTGTGGACAGGGATAAGAATCAGGGCACCTGCCTCAAGGGTGGCTGTGAGGGTGAGATGGCGCAGCCCAGGTGCCCGGACATAGTCAGCACTTGGGAAGGTGCCCTGGGTGTGCCCCAGGTGCATAGTGCACACAGGGTGGGGATGAGGGGCTCCCACAGGTCTGGAAGATTTCCTGGGTCTGCACTGGGTGGCCTGGGCTGACACGTGGGCAAGAGCACCCTGGCCTGCAGGGCACAGGATGTACAGAAACTCCAAGGCCAGGGGGATGGTGAGAGGCTGTCCCACTACAGGGCCTGGAGAGCCGCTGTGGTCTGGGAGGGACAGCGTGCCAGACTTTCCTCCTGGGAGTCTCCTGGCCTCCTGCTGTCTGTCATGACCGGGAGCCTCCCGGCCTCCTGCTGTCTGTCATGACCGGGAGCCTCCCGGCCTCCTGCTGTCTGTCATGACCGGGAGCCTCCCGGCCTCCTGCTGTCTGTCATGACCGGGAGCCTCCCGGCCTCCTGCTGTCTGTCATGACTGGGAGCCTCCCGGCCTCCTGCTGTCTGTCATGACCTCCTCTGGCTCCCAGAAGGCCTGGGCTAGTTCATTTCCCCTCAAGATTCCCAAGCCAAGGGTGATGGTGTATGCCTGTAGTCCCAGCTACTCTGGGGCTGAGTCAGGAGGATCACCTGAGCCCAGGAGTTTGAGTCCTGAGGAACATCTCTGAAAAAAAAAAATTAATTAAATTAGAAAACGATTCTCCCAGCACTTTGGGAGGCTGAGGCGGGCAGATCACTTGAGGTCAGGAGTTTGTGACTAGCCTGGCTAACAGTGAAACCCCGTATCTACCAAAAATGCAAAAATTAGCCAGGCGTATTGGTGTACGCCAGCTACTCCAGAGGCTGAGGCAGGTGGATCACCTGAGGTCAGGAGTTCGAGACCAGCTTGGCCAACATGGTGAAACCCTGTCTCTACTAAAATACAAAAATTAGCCAGGCATGGCGGTGCATGTCTGTAATCCCAGCTACTCCTTAGGTTGAGACAGGAGAATAGCTTGAAACCGGGAGGTGGAGTTTGCAGTGAGCTGAGATCATGCTACTGCATTCCAGCCTGGGTGACAGAGCGAGACTCCATCTCAAAAATAAAACAAAATAAAATTAAAATTAAAAAAGAGTCTCAAGATGCCCCCAAAGGACTTGGCAAGTGCCTAGTAATGAGGGCTCTGTAAATGTCCGTTTGAGAATCTATCTCGTCTCAAGATTCTCCTCACTCTCCTTCTCCCCGCACTGCTCCAGCGATGCATGAGCTTGGTCCTTGAAGTTTTTTCTTTTTTTCTTTTCTTGTTTGTTTGTTTTTGAGACAGGGTCTTGGTGTGTTGCCCAGGCTGGAGGGCAGTGGCACCATCTTGGCTCACTGCAGCCTCGACCTACCAGGCTCAAGTGATTCTCCCACCTCAGCCTCTTGAGTAGCTGGGACCACAGGTGCACACCACCACACCTGGCTAATTTTTGTATTTTTGTAGAGACAGGGACTCGTTATGTTTCCCAGGCTGGTCTCAAACTCCTGGGCTCAAGCGATCCTCCTGCCTCAAAAGTACTGGGATTACTACTCAGCCTCCTAAAGTACTGGGATTGCAGGCGTGAGCCACCATGCCTAGCTGGGTTTCTTTACAGAAGAGGGAAGTGAGGTTTAGGGAGGAAAGAGTTTGCCCAGAGTCCCACAGCTGGTCCAAAGCCTGTCCCAAAGCCCATTGTTCTCCCATGGGGCAGCCCCGGTTCTGCCATAATTGCTGTGTGTCCCTGGGTTAATCATTTTCCCTCTCTGGGCCTCCATTTCCCCATCTGCAAAACGATGATGTCTGAGGCCCCTTCTGGCTTGGATGGCTCCACAGTGGACTTTCCTGCCTGGTGGCTGTGGCGGCTCCTGAGGAGGGGGCCCTGGCCTCGCAGGGAGGCCAGTCACCAGCTTCGCTACGAGATCCAGCATGCCAGCCCCAAGCCGGATGCCCTTCATATGGATCCTCGACCACCAAATGCTGCAAACTCTTCATGTTACCGTCCCTTCTCCAGGCTCTGGTTAGAGAACCAGCATTCAGAAAAGCTGATCCAGGACTCCCAGGAAGCACAGTGGGGGGCACCCTGGCCTCTACTCCCCTATCCTTTAAGTAGACTCTGCCCCAGCCTGATGAGGTTTTATCAGGGGACCTAACGGGGACCAAAGAAGGGGCTGGTCTTGGCTCCATCCACGGCCACTAAGGATGGCCCCTTCTCATACCATCTCCCAAATTCCTGTGGCCCAGAGTCCCCCCCATGCCTGCTCCCTGCCAGCTGTCAGGGAGCCTGGGGGAGGTCTCCCTCCGATGGTCCCTCCAGCAAACTCCTGCATGCTCAGGAGCGTCCTTGTCCTCCCACAGCCGAGGTCAGGGCCGGTGGTGCTGACCTCGAAAGTGGCCATGGCCATGCCGCCTCTGCTGGCCTGCTCCAGCGGGCGAGTGCCCCACCCTCGCCTGCAGCCCCAAGGTTCCTGCATGCGGGTGCCTACCTGTGAGAGGGCAGAGGGCAGACCAAGGGCATGGCTCAGCCTGGAGGTGGGAGACTCTGATGGCAGCCACCACAGGGGACCACAACGGCAGGGTAGAGCCCACTGTGGGGGCTCCTAGCCCCTACCCTTCTCCAGGAATGTCCCTGACATGGAGTGGCCCAAGTCTGGACCGGGTCATCCTGTCCCACGGGCTTCAGCCGATTGGTCCCCCAGTGGGCCCTGACTCTAGTTGAGGGTCAGACTCTCCTCCTGAAGCCTGATGGGCCAGGGAGGAGCCCCCGGTTTGTGGGGTAGGTATGAGGAAGGGCCGTAACTGCATTGATGGCAAAATGAATATGTTAAGAGTCCACATACAAACCTTTTCTTCAACCTAAAAGTCCATTTTCTCCTGATTTTAGAATAAGTGAAATCATTTCCATGAGCTTCCTGAAATATCACCAGCCCCGGCACTGAGCTGGCTGTGCCTCAGGGAGACATTGACCTGCCTAGAGGTGGCCCCAGTTTCAAGGCTGCAGACTGGAAGGGTGGGCTCCCCTTTCACCTGGAGACACTCCACCTCCTTCCAGGAGAGTCTTCTTTTTGCCTGAGTTGCGCCCGAACTGGTGTCTGAGTGCTGGTGGCCGAAAGAACTGATAGCCACCGTCCCCCCACGGCTGTGACCTGTGAACCCCGCGGGGCCGTATCAGTTTTCACTGCCGCAGCAGGAACGCATTTCACAATTCACCGAGATTCCCCCCAAGTGAGAGAGACGCGATCCCTGCTTCTGTGGATCCACAGCCAGGGGCGCCAGAGATAAAGCTCAGAATTGTTCTTTTTAAAGAAAACCAGGCCAGGCAAGGTGTTGCACACCCACAGTCCCAGCTACTCGGGAGGCTGAGGCGGGAGAATCGCTTGAGCCCAGGATTCCTGTTTGAGGCTGTGGTGCTCTGATCGTGCCTGTGAACAGCTTCTGCACTCCAGCCTGGGCAACACAGCGAGACCCTGTCTCTAGTGAAAACAAACAAACAAACAAACAAAAAAGCGAGGCAGTCTCCTCTTGATTCCTCCAGCCCACTCCTTCCTCCTCTCTGGTTCCTCTGGGTCTGGCAGGATGCCGTGTGACAGAATGCATCTGGGGGTGGGAAGTGTGGGGTGCAAGACAGACAGACATGTGGGCAGTGGCTGCGGCTAAGCAGAGGCATCCCCAAGGCCGCCCTGCAGCAGAAGGACCCTCTCTGGGGAGGTGTGTAGGAGCCCCCCATTTCATGGTTCTGCCCAGAAAGTGGGATCAGGCTTGGGTGAGAAGCCAGGCCCCATAGAGCCCCTCAGCCTTTACCTAGAACCGGAAAAGAAGCAGGAAGTATGGATGTAAGAATAGACACTCCAGCCAGGCTGAGCAGGACCGGGGGCGGCAGCACCACGCCTTCCATCTGCCTGGAGGCTTGAGGGTGGGCTTCCGCAGGTCCAAGCCCAGCCTGGCTGCCCCCTGCCTCCCTCCCCTTTGCTCTCTGGGTACCTCTGGGCCACCAAGGTGTCTGGGCTGGACACTGTGGAGGGGGCACTGGGATTCTCTGGGGAGAGGGGGGCCAGCCAGGCACCGACTGACAGAGCTGAAACTGGCCCAGTGAGGCGGAGTGGGGGTTGGGGGACCCGGACCCCACACTCTCACCACAGGCCAGGCATCTCCTCTGCCTGGGAGCCAACAGATGGGACCTTGAGGAGCCTGAAGTCAAGGCCCATGAGACTTCCCAGCCAGGAGGGCGTGAGCACACTGTCCGCACCTGAGCCTCCACCTGTCGTGACAGGTACTGCCAGGGCCATGAGACGAAAGCTCAGAGCTCCTGGTGGGAGCTCGGTCTCCCGCCCCATCCAGCTGGAGGGTGGATGGTGCCTTCTCACCTCTGCCCCCTCATCTACCCAGACACGCTGTGCCCTCCTCAGCTGCCTCTGACCTCTAACTTTTCCCTGCCAGGCAGGTGAGACCAAAGGCCTCAAAGGGGCTCATGAATGCCCTCCAGGCCTGGCACCTGCTGTGCACCCACCCTGGCTGCTGCCCTCCCTCCTCTCACCGTCTGGTGGGGCCTCCGGCTCTCCTCCCTCTCCCCTCAGCTCGGGCTGAGCCTGGCCGACCCAAAGGACACTGGGCTCAGAGTTAGGAGACTGGCAGTGCGTTCTGGCCGCCCTGCTGACTAGGCCATCAGGGCCCCTCTGGAGCCTCCATGAGAGAATGGGGTTGGGGGGACCTAGCTGTGCAAACTGTAAAGAGCCACACCCTGCAGGAAGGTCTCTAGGAGGCAGCAGCAGAAACTCCCCAAGCTCCTGCAGGATGGCCCCCGGTGATGTTTGTCTCCTTTTTTCTTTTTGAGACCATGTCTTCCTCTGTCACCCAGGCTGGAGTGCAGTGCCGTGATTTGCAACCTCGACCTCCTGGGCTCAGGTGATCCTCCCAGCTCAGCCTCCTGAGTAGCTGGGACCACAGGTGTGTGCTATCATGCCCGGGTAATTTTTATATTTTTTGGTCTCACTATGTTGCCCAGGCTGGTCTCAAACTCCTGGGCTCAAGTGATCCTCCTGCCTCAGCCTCCCAAAGTGTTGGATTAGAGGCATGAGCCACCTTGCACGTTTGCCTCCTGACCTCAGGTCCCCACGGAGTTGGTCATCTTCTGGGCCTCGCTCAGCCGGTGCTGAAGGTGAGTCATGCTCGATGATGACCTGAGGAGCAGAAGAAGGTGCAGGTGAGTCACCTGAGGGGAACTGGGTCATGACCAGAGCTGTCACCGCTAGGCCAGAGCACAAGAGTGACATCACAGCCAGTGGTCTCCTGGCAGGGACAGGAAGCACCTGCCATGCTTCCCAGCGGCCGTCCCTCTGTCCACCGTCTGTTCCCCGGGGCCTATGCTGGGCCTCACGGCTGAGAGGCAGAGGGGCTGAGGCCCAAGTTCAGGCTCATGGGAATTGCGGGCACAGAGCAGGAGGCAGGGCCATGCCTGGAGCCTCCCTCACCAAAAGCCTCCACTATAAGCCTTTACCACCTTCCAGTGAGTTACACGTGGGGTTCTCAAGTGAAAGGCTGCACTGTGAAATGTAAACTTCCAGGCAGATCATGGTGTTTGATTTGACACGCCCTCCCCGTCTTCTTTTTTTTTTTTTTCCATGACGGAGTCTCGCTCTGTCGCCCAGGCTGGAGCCCAGTGGCGGATCTCAGCTCACTGCAAGCTCCGCCTCCCGGGTTCACGCCATTCTCCTGCCTCAGCCTCCTGAGTAGCTGGGACTACAGGCACCCGCCGCCACGCCCAGCTGTTTTTTTTTTTTTTTGTATTTTCAGTAGAGACAGAATTTCACTGTGTTAGCCAGGATGGTCTCGATATCCTGACCTCGTGATCCGCCCACCTCAGCCTCCCAAAGTGCTGGGATTACAGGCCTGAGCCACCGCACCTGGCCTTTTTTTTTTTTTTTAAACCCAAATCCTCATACAATGCAAATATCTGTGGCATCTAAGGCTCCTGGGAAGCCCCTTAGAGGGTCCAAGCTCCCATGGCTGGGACGAGGGTGCAGGGTGCAGCCAGCCAGCCCCCCCGGGTGGCATTGTGGTAGGCCGGGCCGCAGCCTTGCAGAAGGCTGGTGGGCCCTTAGAGGCCGTGGCCCTCAATGCTCTGCCCCAGGAGAACATGACTCACCTCGTGCAGTGACCAGCTCTGCTCTGCCAGCTCCTCTGTGTACATGGGGGAAATAGGCCGCCAGTGCACACGTTGGTCTGGGACTGAGGGATCACGCATATGGCTCAGTGGGGTGCTGCCTGAGGGCCGGTCCACTCACGCCACCCAGACACCAAGGGCAGGGTGGAAGCAAGGTCTCTTTTTCCTTCCTGGCGGAGGCAGCCTCCACACGGCCTCAGCGGGGGACCTGGGGCAAAGGGCTGAGATTGGGAGAATGGGGGCCCGTACAGCCCCTGGGCAGGACAGTGCACTGCAGTGGAAGCCGAGGAGTGCATGGACTTCTTCAGGGTTCGAGGCTCGGCCGTGGGCGGAACGCCAGTGCCTGTGGTCGGGGTGGTCAGGCCTGGACACGGAGACTCTGATCTCACCGGGAGTTCCCCAAGCCCCGCCCACAGCACGATCCTATCATCTGCTGCCCGCCCCAGCTGGACCGGGGCTATTACATTATTGTTTGTAAAGCGTCCTGTTGTTATTTTCTGATTACCAAGGCGGTACATGTTCACTTAAGCACCGCGTGGGTGGTGGTATTTGCTCCAGTTGGTGGATGGGGCGGTGACTTGCCCAGTTGCAGTTCATCAGCATCAGCAGCAGTGATAGCAAAAAGGATTCAGTCGGTGTCCCTCAGACGCAGCACTGGCAGGGCCATTGGCAGAGACTCAGTGAGCCCCAGCCCCTTCCGACCTAAAGCTGACCACAAATTCGGGTATTTTCTAGACAACTGGGTGCGGCAGCCGGGACCCACCCCAGGCCAGCCTTGTTTCTCCAGCTGTCTCCTGCTGTGGGTCTGGGGATGGGGATGGAGGCGTGGACCCCAAAACTGCTCTGACTGCCTGGAGCCTCCCCAGTGATAGAGGAGGCCACTGGGAGCACAGGGCCCCTCTCCCCGACGGGAAGGCCTCTGACAGCCCATTCTAGGCGGGCTGGGCGCAAGGCTCCTCTGGGGAACCCGGAGCTCAGGCAGGAGGCCTGAAGAGTGGCTGCACTGTGACTGTTTTCCTGGCCCTGATTTTAGGGCTGACCCCTCCCCTCAACACACACCCCACCGTCTCAAATCGTAATATCCAAAGGAGCGTGGGTCACCTCAGTGCATTCTCAGGCAGTCTCACCATGGCCTGCTGATGTGGACGTCACAACCTCATTTGACAGATGAGGAAACTGAGGCTTGGGGTGGAGATGAAGTTCCTGACTCAGTCACACATTGCTAAGTGGCTGAATCTGACTTGAACCTGGTGTCATGTGATGCCAGACAGCCCCTCTGTACTGCTACATGGGCAGCAGGTCTAGGCAAGAAAGTGTCAGCAGCTGGGAGGTGGGAGGGGCGGAGGGTCTTCAGCCCGACCCTGGGCCGGGGCTCCTGTTCTCACACTGATTTGGGATGGGTGGCACAGTGGGGTGCTAGGAGCTGGGACTCTGGCTTCAGATGGCCTGCGGGTCTGAATGCAGGCTCTGCTGAATGCTAGCTGTGCGCCCGTGGGCAGGTCACTTCCCCTCTCAGTGCCTCATTTCCTCATCCTGGAAAGTGGGGAGGATGACCTTGTCTACCTCCTGAGCTGCTGTGAGATTAACTGAGCTGACGTTGCTGGTCTGTGAATGCTGGCCGTGATCCCTGGGCAGGTGGAGTAGGGTTAGCAGCGTCCACCTTGGGGCAAGGCCCACCTGGCCTGGCTCCCAGAGGCCACGCTTCCTGGCCAGGATCCTGAGAAAGGCTGCTCCCTGGCCTGCTTGGAGCTCAGCACAGAGCCTGGCACGCAGCAACACCACCCTGTGTGGCACTGGGGGCTCCTGCCTTTCTTGCCCTCTGGTTCCCACACCCACTGAGGCTGCCCGCAAGCCCTGCCTTCCCACAGGTGCATCAGGGGGAGCCTCAGGTGCCCAGTGTCCACAGTTCTCCAGCGAGTGTCTGACAGATAGGCTCTGCCCGTGAATGCCGGGATCCTGTGAGTCTGGCCTAGTTCCTACACTTGCTTTTCCTGGCCAGGCCTCAGCCAGGACCTATTTCCTAACCTTCGGCCCTGGCCTGGGCACTGGTTCCCTCCCACCTGCCAAGGACGTCTCTGGTCCTAGGCTTCCCCTGTCCATTGCTGGTGTCACTCCGGCCTGCCCAGGCAGCTTCCTCCTCTGCCCTCTAATTGGGCTCTGCACCCTCCCCAGCCTCAGCTCCTGCCACAGCTCTGCTCTCCAGGCCCTGACCCTGTGCACCCGGCACTGCTGTCTGCAGACAGCAGTTCTTCCCGGATGCTCTGGAGTCCCGCAGAGCCTGGCAGCAGGTGAGACCTCCAGGGAGGTTGCCCTGGAACTTGTTTTTCCTGGTGCCCTCCTGGAGACTGCATTCCACCGGGCCTGACATACACCTACGTTCCTCCCAGGTCTCTGGGGAGATCCTCTGGCCAAGGTGACCAGAGCTGGGGAATGTGCCCCAGTCCACGGGGGACCCTGGGAACTGCGCTTTTGGCTGGAGGCTGCACCCTAGGGCCAGGCCCAGAGCAGGGGCTTCTGGGAGCAGTTGCTGAAGGTGCCCACAGGGATGGGTGATTGTGGGCACACTTGGCTGGCTTAGAGACACCGGGGCGTTTGGGTCCAGAGGCAGGCTTGGGAAAAGTCATCGGAAAGGGGCTGGATGCTGGTCTGGGGAGGACTAACGGCAGAACCCCGAGGATGCCGCCGACAGCGCGGGCTCCGAAAGGGCAGCGGGGGTCTGGAGTTCTGATCTGAAGCTCCAGGAACACCCTGCTGGGGTGTTTCAGGTGTTTGAAAAATTCTCTAAGTTATTTGTTTTCTGTTATTTCTTCATGGTTGGGATACCAGGTTCTAGGGCCGCTTTGGTTTGGCTCTGTATTTCATTGTGTGGCTAATCAATTTCGGTCTGACACACTTTCTCTTTTGAAGAAATTATTCATCAGGGTTTGGCGTGAGGAGCACTATTGCAGGATCCTCAGGCATCTCCAAACATTGAGGCAACACTGCGGAAGTGGCTCCCAGTGCCCAGGGCTGGGGGTGAAATTCCCCTAGTCCAGCCCTCACTGCAGCTTCCTGCTGGGCTGCACGCCTCTCCAGGCCAGGGCCTGCCTCGGAGTCATCTCTGACCCAGGGTCCAGCTTGAGGCCAGCATGGAGGAGGCAGCAGCACATGCTTGTTGAATGAATAAATGACCTGGAGTGAGGTGCTGGGGAGACAGGAGTGAGGGCCCAGGCGCGGCCCTCATCGGGCTCTGAGGGTGTGATTCTCCCACACCCTTGCAAGAAGGACTCTATTTTAAACTTTATTTATTTAAAATCGCACAGTAATTCTTGAACGCTCTCATAAAAATTAAAGCATTACCAATAAAATTCAAGTCTATCTTGATCAAGACCCTTTGGTCTTGCCCCTCCTGGTTTGTTTGCCGTCTGCATATTTGCCAGAGTTTTCCTTGTGTGGTGCTGACATATATGAATTCATAATTTTCTGAGGCCCGTGGAAGGCTTGAGCCCAGGAGTTCAAGACCAGCCTGAGCAACATGGCAGAACCCCGTTTCTACAAAAATTGGCGGGTGCCTGTGGTCTCAGCTTCTTGGGAAGCTGAGACAGGAGGATCGCTTGAGCCCAGGAGGCTGAGGCTGCAGTGAACCATGATCACACCACTGCACTCCAGCCTGGGTGACAGAGTGAGAGCCTGTCTCAAAACCCACCAAAATTTGTAGGTTTTTTTTTTTTTTTTTTTTTTTTTTAGCAAGGTAGTCTTGCTCTTGTTTGAGAGGTAGTCTTGCACTCCAGGCTGGAGTGCGATGGCACGATATTGGCTCACTGAAACCTCTGCCTCCCAGGTTCAAGCGATTCTCCTGCCTCAGCCGGAGTAGCTAGGATTACAGGCATGTGCTACCACACCCGGCTAATTTCGTATTTTTAGTAGAGACAGGGGTTTCTCCATGTTGGTCAAGCTAGTCTTGAACTCCCGACCTCAGGTGATCCGCCTGCCTTGGCCTCCCAAAGTGCTGGGATTACAGGCACTGCACCCAGCCTTTTTTTTTTTTTTTTTTTTGTCAGATGAAGTCTCACTGTTGCCCAGGTTGGAGTGCAGTGGCACCATCTTGGCTGACTGCAACCTTCAACAGCTCCCGAGTTCAAGGAGTTCTCCTGTTTCAGCTTTCTGAGTAGCTGGGATTACAGGTGTGCGCTGCCACACCTGGCCAATTTTTTTTTTTTTTTTTTTGGTGTTTTAGTAGAGATGGGGTTTCTCCATGGTGGCCAGGCTGGTCTCGAACACCTGACCTCAGGTGATCCACCTGCCTCGGCCTCCTAAAGTGCTGAGATTACAGGCGTGAGCCACCACACTCGGCCAGAATCTGTAGTTTTATTTGTGTGTGAGTGTGTGTGTCTGTGTGCATGTGCCTGCGTGTGCGTGTTGTAAATCAAGTGCGTTGTGCAGGCATGTGCACATATGTTGTAAAATAAGTGGCATTGCTCTGTCTGTCATCACGTAAGCTGGCTTTCCCATTGGCTACTGGCCCCTGGAGCCCTTGCTGTGTCAGTATGTAGAGATCTACTCTATGACCCATGATAGCTGCAGAGGGTCCCCAGACCACAGTGGATGTCCACCACAGGAACAAGCCTGTTTTGTGGATGAGGAAGTCGAGGCTTAGAAGTTGGGTGACTTGTCAAAGGTCGCCACCCACGGTGAGGGCCAGGTTCTGGGAGGGCTGAGGGGCAGGCATGGTGAGCCAGTTCCGGGCATGAGGCAAGGCGTGGCAGGCCTGGGGGCAAAAGCCACAGCCCGTGTGGAGGGGGTGGGGGGATCGAGGCCTTTGGGAAGCCTGTGGATTCTGGCTGCAGTGTGGGTGTGACACTGAGTGCTCCGGGGACTCCGAGTTATCACCCAGGCACTGGCCAGCCCCACGCTCCCTCCTCCAGGTACTTGGCTCCCTGCCTCCTTGGCCGGCCCGGGCTGGGTAGGTGTGCAGGGCTGGAGGTGACCAGGTCAGCGCTGCTCTCGAGGACAGGCGGAAGCCCCTTCATGCCCAGCGGGCCCGGGGGTGGGGCCAGGCACCACTCCCCACATCTCCCACGGGAGATCATCAGTCCTCACCGCCATACCAGTGTGGGGGCTGGGTGTCCACCCTCTAGGACTTAGGTCAGGACCAGGCACACGTGGGGAAGGCCAGGTCACTGGGCGGGCCGAGGATGCAAGCTGCCGCGCTTCCCATGAAGGCCCTCTGGCCAAGGTGCTAATTAGGGCAGCTTCCCGAGGAGAGGGAAGAGCACCCTGAAGTGACCTCTGGCCTTCCCAAACGCGGTTTCCTTCTGACTCAGTACTGGCCTGCCTGTCAGCCAGAAATCACCCAAGGGCCCCACATGGAGGGCACCTGCCAGGTCATGGGCCTTGCCCCATTCTCCCTAATTGCGCCTGCCTCAGCTGACCCACCTCCAGTCCGAGGCATGTGTCTCACGGATGCCAGGGTGCCCCCAGGGTGGGGGTGGAGAGGCACTCAGGGTGAGCTGAGGGTGTGTCTCTGGTGCCAAGCCTGGCACAGCGTCCTTGGCCTGGTTTCCCCAGGGCTGGCTCCACCTGGCCACCTTATACCCGTCCCACTCAGAGGCCACCAGTGCTCGGTGGCTTAATGGCACCACGGCAGACAGGCTCTGTCTCTGTGTCACTCAGGATGTTTGCATAAAGGGTCCATACCAGGGAAGAGGGATCTTACTCCACAGAGCCATGGTCGTGATCGGAAGGCTGCGCACCCCAGGCCCCCTGCTCTGGCTGTGTGGCTTGGACAGGCTACCTGTGGTCCTGTGGGTTTCTTTTTTTTCCTTTTTTTTTTTTTTTTTGAGATAGAGTCTCGCTCTGTCACCCATGCTTGAGTGCAGTGGTGCGATCTTGGCTCACTGCAACCTCCGCCTCTTGGGTTCAAGCGATTCTCCTGCCCCAGCCTCCTGAGTAGCTGGGATTACAGGTGTGTGCCACCACACTGGGCTAATTTTTGTACTTTTAGTAAAGACAGAGTTTTACCATGTTGGCCAGGCTGGTCTTGAATTCCTGACCTCAGGTGATCTGCCCACCTCAGCCTCCCAAAGTGCTGGGATTACAAGTGTGAGCCACTGCACCCAGCCGTCCTGTGGGTTCCTTAAGCGAAAAAATGGACAGTCTAAGACCAGCCTCACGCGGCTGTTACCTGGACCAGGCAGAACCCTGTGCTCACAGGGAACGAGGTCCACTGCAGGCTCCTGCACTGGAGTGCCGTGGCGCCCTCCCTCTTCTGTCTGAGCCAGCATTGCCTCCCACATGACCCCAGTCCCATCACATCCCGTGGGGTTCACACTCCTGGCCTTCCCAACCTGACTACATAGCTGGATTCTCCCTCCCCTCCCCTCCCCTCCCCCTTTCTTTTCTTTTCTTTTCTTTTTGAGACAGAGTCTTGCCTTGTAGCCCAGGCTGGAGTGCAATGGCGTGATCTCGGCTCACTACAACCTCCGCCTCCCAGGTTGAAGCGATTCTCCTGCCTCAGCCTCTGGAGTAGCTGGGATTACAGGTGCCAGCCACCACGCCCAGCTAATTTTTGTATCTTTAGTAGAGACCAAGTTTCGTCGTATTGGCCAGGCTGGTCTCGAACTCCTGACCTCATGATCTGCCCACCTTGGCCTCTCAAAGTGTTGGGATTACAGGCGTGAGTCAGCCACCGCACCCGGCCCAGGGAGCATTTTATTTTTAAGTGACAGGGTCTCACTCTGTCACTCAGGCTGGATTGCAGTTGTGTGATCATGGCTCACTGCAGCCTTGACCCCCTGGGCTCAAGTGCTCCTCCCACCTCAGCCTCCTGAGTACCTGGGATTACTGGCACGCACCACCCTAGGAATTTAATTTAATCATCCAGCACTGGTCAGCCCCAGGCTCCTTCCTCCAGGCACTTGGCTCCCCATCTCCTCCTCGGCTGGTCTGGGCTGGGTAGGTTTGCAGGGCTGGACTCAGAAAGTTGTATTTTAGCAAAGCTCTCTCCCAGACTTGAAGGTGCAGCCCAGAGTAAGTGCTTGGAGAGCTGTAGCACCCCTTCCAGGAGGATCCGTGAGACGTGGTGAGACCCCAGAGGAGACGGGGGTACCTGTACTGCCATGGCCCCACACTGAGGGATGAGCACTGCCTTTGTGCCAGACGAGGAGAGAAACCACAGGGTGTAGCTTGGCAATGTGGAGACGGATCCCGCCTTCCTTCCAGCCACATGGAGATGGATCTCTCCTTCCTTCCTGTCACGTGGAAATAGATCCCACCTTCCTTCCCCATCATGTGTGGAGACGTATCCCGCCTTTCTTCCCTGTCATGTGGAAATGGATCCTGCCTTCCTTCCCCATCATGTGGAGATGGATCCTGCCTTCCTTCCCCGTCATGTGGAGATGGATCCCGCCTTCCTTCCCCGCCATGTGGGCCTGTGGGGGGAGTGGGAGGGACAGGTAGATTCCTTTTGGTTTCCTGCCAGCCCACTCAATCCCTCACTCTGGGGAGAGCAAGGATAAACTGTGTAGGATAAACTCACCCCCAAAGTGGCTAACTGGTAGCTGCAAGGCTGCATATTCCCCAGGCCTGGGCCAGACAGTTCCCATCAAAGGAGAGCCTGGTGCTGGTAGGGTCTCCCCCAAAGGATGCTTTGTTCACCCATGGAAATAAACACTTCCCCTGGATAGTTACTCCTGGGACTCGAGTGTAATATGGGGTGTACGTTACTCTTTAACAGGTGACTCCATCCAGGTCATAAAGCTCTTCTGAACTAAGTTCCTGGAAGATAGGCGTTACCACCTCCAGCCCGGGTGTTTATTAACCACTCCCACGGTGGCCACGGAGCAGCCAGGGGTAGTTGTTGCCAGGACGCTGGGCTCACCTTCTGAACTTTGTCCTGAGAACCAGAGCATGGCGGGCCACCCTCATCAGCTTTCCCCAAACCAGCAGGGAGTTGGCACAAGACCAGGGGCTTGGCAAGGGTTGCTTTCCTCTGCTGCAGTGAGGAGCCTCCGTTTAATCCCCACCTCCCCCCTCTGCAGCCACTTTGAAAGAACTGGAGTGAACACAGGCTCCTGGCAGGGAGGAGGTGTCTAAATCACCAGGCTGGCCTCTGGCACCGAGGCCCAAAGCACTCTCACCGCCATTGCCACCCAAACCTGGACTTCCAGACCAGGGCCGCTGGGCTGACAACCATGTGTCAACCTTTAAAGATGAAATAAAACTGCATGAAACCGGGAGGTTTAAAAACCAAAATATAAGGGACCCAGATGGGCGTCTCAATGGTGGAGAGAGACAATGAGCAGAGCTGTGGGGAAGGAAACCCCTGAAACCCTGGCCTGTCACGCGGCATGGATCACCGGCGGACACCAGGCCCGAGGGCAGCTCGCGCATAGGCTGGCGGGAGACCTATAGGCTGGTGCCGAAGATGAGCCGGGCCAGTCAGATGTCCCATTCAGGTTTGGACCATAAACAGAAGAGGGAGGCTCCTTGGAGAAGGGAAATATGGCCAAAAGGTCGTGTGGGTGCCATGGGGCCCCACACAGCATCGTGACCCTAGTCAGGAGGAGCGGAGCAGCGTAGCAGGGAGCAGGCACGGGGAGGAGAGAGGACAGCTTGGAAATGGGTCAAGGAGGCCCCAGTGAGACACAGAGCCAAGATCTTCTAGGCCGCTCTGTGTCCAGGGCCAGCCACAGTTCTGGGATCCAGGAGTCCTGGGGCCCACAGTGTCTTCTTGGATCCCCAAAAGATACTGTGTCCCGACAGGGCCAACATGGGTAGATCTCAGCTTCTTTTGATCCCCCGTGAGAACATCTTAGAATGGGCGTCTGTGGATACTGGAGTCTGTTCTCCTTCCAGGCTCCATGGCTGCCTCGGTTCACAGGCTGGGAGATGAGGAGTGGAGTTGGGGCTGTCACTTGCATGAGACGAGGGTGGGCCTGTGTGGCGAGTATAGAATCAGTCAAACACTCACCTTCTGATGAACTTAGATCAACTTGTGTTGGCTCAACTGCTGGGCATGTTGGGACCTGAGAGTTGGGTAGGCATGTGGGGAGAGGTGGGTATAAGCCTGGCTCCTAAAGACAGTGGCAATCTGCCCAAGGGGGCTGGTGAGTGCAGGCACAGCTCAGGTGGGAAGGCACACCGGAAGGGTGTTCTGGTCAGCAGTGACAGCAGCTACATCTTTGTTTTGGTATATATATATGTATATGTACCATATATTGGAGATTGGAGGAGAGTCCCTCCCCTCCTGGAGAGAGGGGAGCATGGGGAGAAAGGAAGGATCTCTGAGGCCCAGCTTGATGCTCAGCTCAGGGCAGGAAAATAGCGGGGAAGCCCAGCCTCTTTGCCTGACACACATGGTGGAGAGGTGGAGGGAGACTGAGGCTGAGCCCAGCCTCCAGGTCTACCAGAAATTGAGTTTAAGACAAGACCAACTGCGCCCCAGGCACAGGTAGGGGTGGCTCCTTGAATGCTCCCAGCCATCATCAGGCCTGGAGCAGTGAGCACACAGCCGGGCCTCGCCTCCTGCAGCAGGGCAGGCAGGGCGGCAGGGGAGGGGAAGGGAGCCCAGCCCCAGGTATGCAGCCTCGGTCTGCGGCTGCTCTCCTCACGACACCTGGAAGCTGGGCCGGGGGGCTTTTCTTCTGAAGGTGGGTGCACCCTGTGCTGTATTTGGAGGAAAATTCAGCTGTGCTGACTGGGCAGAACTGCGGGTGGTTCAAGTCTTTGCAGAAGGCCTTGCTCCAGGCTTCCTTCAAAGGCAGGCTCTTTTAGGTCAGTGGGCTGCACTTGAGTATGCATCAGAATCTCCTGGAGGGCTCCTGAAACACAGGCCTGGGCCCTATCACGGAGGGCCCAAAGCAGGTCTTGGGTGGGGCCCAAGAACCTGCATTTATGACAGGTTCCCAGATGCTGCTGCTGTGGCCCCAGGAAACCCTTTGAGAACTGCCACTGCAGGCCATTTCGGTTGGAATTTGATTTGCAAACGTTCACATCTGCAGTTCCTCTTAGAAGGGAAGGCGCCTTCTCAAGCACAAGTGAAACAACTCTCTCCACCTGCTGGTGTGCTGGTGCTTGGGCTGCGGGGAAGGGATGTGTGTGTGAGGCAGAGGCCCTCAATTCCTCCGGGTGGGGTGGGGAGATGGCCTGGCAGTACCCATGGCTGGGGGCAGAGCTATCCTGTGGGCCTGGGGAGCCCGCCTGGGTGATGAGACGTGCTGGCACAGGCTCCGCAGCCGGCAGCGCCTCGTCACAGGGGTGGGCTTCAGAACTGCTTGGGCTGGCATGAGAGGCCGCGGGTGCTGGCTTCCCTGGAAAAGCCACTCAGCTTTGAGACCAGAGAGGAGATGCAGACACAAGCCTTCGTCTTCACCCCTTTTCGAAAGAGAGAAAGCCCGAATCTCAACAACAGAGTGTCTCTATCAGTCCCATGGTTGTCCTCAGCCTGGGGAGAGCCTGAGCCGGCCAGGACAGGCAGCTCTTCCATGTGGCTCCTTGCGGTCCCCACAGTAGTCGCTTTGTGGGGCAGGGAGAGGCGACGGGCATCCCGCCAGTCTCCTGGATACTTCAGGACATGGGTAGGCCCACGGTGGTGTTCCCACGCAGTTTTGGGATGTGCAGTCACCTGAAGGCAGCTGATGTGAAGAAGAGCACGGTGGGTGGTGTGGGCAGGGTGGCCACCCCGGGATTACCTGTGTGCTGCCCACATCCGCCCAGGTGGGGATTCGTGCTCAGGTGGCTTACTGGGGGGTGCGGAGGAGAGCAGGCTTCTCAATGCTTATGGAAACAGGAGAAGACAAGCAGGAGGTGGGTTTCAGGAGGCGAGTTTCGGCCCAGGTCCTGTTGGTGCTTGCAGCAGCTTGATCCTAGAGTGTGCCTGGCAGTCAGTGGTCACACGCTGCAACGGGGGAACATGAGCCTCCAGCACTTTTTTTATTTTGAGACAGGGTCTCACTCTGATGCCCAGGCTGGAGTACTTGGTGCCACCATAGCTCACTGCAGCCTCTAGCTCTTGGTTGGGCTCAAGCAATCCTCCCGCCTTGGCCACCTGAGTAACTGGAATTACAGGCATGTGCCACTGCGCGATTAAAAAAATTTTTTTTTGGCCAGGCACGGTGGCTCACGCCTGTAATGCCAGCACTTTGGGAGGCTGAGATGGGGGGATCACTTGAGGTCAGGAGTTCGAGAGCAGTCTGGCCAACGAGGTGAAACTCTGTCTCTACTAAAAAATACAAAAATTAGCCAGGCGTGGTAGCGCACGCCTGTAATCCCAGCTACTCGGGAGGCTGAGGTGGGAGAATTGCTTCGACTCAGGAGGCGGAAGTTGTAGGGAGCCAAGATCACCATTGCACTCCAGCCTAGGCAACAGAGCGAGACTTCATCTCAAAAACAAAACAAAACAAAACAAAACAAACAATTTTTTTTTTTTTTTTTTTTTTTTTAGAGATAGGGCCTCACTTTGTTGCCCAGGCTGGTCTCGAACTCGTGGACTTAGATGATCCTCCCACCTCGAGCTCCCAAAGTGCTGGGATTACAGGCGTGAGCCACCGCTCCTGGCTGAAATTCTTCTTTCAACCAAGGAAGATGTGTAATGAGCTTTGTGACCCCAGAAAGGCATGTGCAGAGCGTGGCTGAGAGTGGCAGGTGTGGGTCCCAGGCGAAAGAGGTCGACTAAAGAGGAGCTGTTCATCATGGGGTGGGCACTCAGGAAGAGCCAGAGATTCCTGGGCTTGGAGCACCAGCATCTCAGCATGTTCCGACAGAAGGGGCCTCAAGGTGACTCCCTTTGGGAAGCTTTGGCTTGAACCCACTTTTCCTCCAGCAGCGCAGAGCTTCTCGCTCGCTGGTGTGCACCGGCGCGCTGTCCAGCAGGGGGCGCCACTCCCAGGGCCGCTTCCCCGCGGGAGCCCTCCCTTCCTGGCATATCGTGGGAGCAGCGTTCCCTCCCACACACCTGACTTAGAACCCCCAGAGTTCTCACATGCGAGTCGCACTTGTCTGCTGTATTCTGAGTATATTGTGCTTGCAAATCAATCCTAAGTGAATTCTATTTTGAATTCAACCAATGAATGTAACGAAACCTCAATCACTGAACAGAGAAAGCAAGTTTGAGTTATGTAAAACTAAATGATGAGTTATTTTACTTTATTTTTAATTTTATTATTTTTTTTTTAGATGGAGTCTCCCTCTGTCGCCCAGGCTGGAGTGCAGTGGCGCGATCTCGGCTCATTGCAACCTCTGCCTCCCGGGTTCAAGTGATTCTCCTGCCTCAGCCTCCCGAGTAGCTGGGATTACAGGTGCCCACAACCATGCTCAGCTAATTTTTGTGTTTAGAGATGGGGTTTCTCCATGTTGGTCTGGCTGGTCTCGAAGTCCTGACCTCAGGTGATCCACCCACCTCGGCCTCACAAATTGCTGGGATTACAGGCGTGAGCCGCCATGCCTGGCATGATGAATTATTTTAAAATAAGGCTTATTGATATCTCATTTAATTCTTAACTTTATGAAGAATGCCTTTTTATCTTCTTTTGCTGCTTACAAGTTCACACAGCATCTCAAGCCTGGATTACTGGCCAAGAATGATGTATAATGACCACCTCACTTACTTATCTGTAGGTGGGTATTTCTAAATGCTTATGGGTACTTACATTTTAGGACTCCTCAAATATTTTATTATTATTATTATTATTGGAGGTGGAGTCTCACTCTTGGCTGGAGAGCAAGTGGCGTGATCTCCACTAACTACAACCTCCGCCTCCTGGGTTCAAGTGATTCTCCTGCCTCAGCCTCCCGAGTAGCTGCGACTACAGGCATGTGCCATCACATCCGGCTAATTTTTGTAATTTTAGTAGAGACAAGGTTTCGCCATTTTGGCCAGGCTGGCTTCGAACTCCTGACCTCGAGTGATCTGCCCACCTTTGCCTCCCAGAGTGCTGGGATTACAGGCATGAGCCACCGCACCCACCCAGGACTCCTCAAATATTTTAATATTACTCTGGCACATTTGATTAAATAGCACTAAATTTCCCTATCTATGAAGAAACTATTTGCTCAAATAAAGGGGTAAATTTCAGCCCAGGCACTCTGAGAATTATCAATGGTTTTGAGACAGGATTTAATGTATCATATTGGATACTTTTCATTCATTGAAAAACTAGGTCTTTATTTTCTGAGGGTTAGCCTAGAATTTTTTTTTTTTTTTTGATATGGAGTTTTGTTCTTCTTGCCTAGACTGGAGTGCAATGGCATGATCTCGGCTCACTGCAACCTCCACCTCCCGGGTTCAAGCGATTCTCCTGTCTCAGCCTCCCGAGTAGCTGGGATTACAGAAGCCCGCCACCACACCCGGCTAATTTTTGTATTTTTAGTAGAGACGGGGTTTCATTGTGTTGGTCAGGCCGGTCTTGAACTCCTGACCTTAGGTGATCTGCCCACCTTGGCCCCCCAAAGTGCTGGGATTACAGGTGTGAGCCACCACGCCCAGGTTTTTTTTTTTTTTTTTTTTGAGACAGGGTCTCACTGTCCCGCACACTGGAGTGCAGTGGTTCGATCATGGCTCACTGCAGCCTCAACCTTCTGGGCTCAAGAAATCCCCCTGCCTTAGCCTCCCAAAGTACTGGGATTACAGGCATGAGCCACCACGCTTGGCCAGCATAGAATTTTTAGAAACCTTTTTTTTTTTTTTTTTTTTTTTTGAGATGGAGTCTCACTCTGTCACCCAGGCTGGAGTGCAGTGGCGTGATCTCGGCTCACTGCAAGCTCCGCCTCACCAGTTCACGCCATTCTCCTGTCTCAGCCTCCTGAGTAGCTGGGACTACAGGCGCCCGCCACCATCCCCAGCTAATTTTTGTATTTTTTTGGTAGAGACAGGGTTTCACCGTGTTAGCTAGGATGGTCTCGATCTCCTGACCTCGTGATCCACCCGCCTCGGCCTCCCAAAGTGCTGGGATTACAGGCGTGAGCCACCGCACCCGGCCAGAAACTTTTCTTATAGCTTTATTGAAGTATAAAGTCTCCACATAACATTATGTCTACATAATTTGGAGGTTATTGGTAAGTTTCACATTAATTGCACAATTTGATGAGTTTTTTTTTTTTTTTTGAGATGGAGTCTCACCTTATCACCAGGCTGGAGCGCAGTGATGCGATCTCAGCTCATTGCAACCTCCGCCTCCTGGTTCAAGTGATTCTTCTGCCTCGGCCTCCCAAAGTGTTGGGATTACAGGCATGAGCCACCGAGCCTCGCCAATGAGTTTTAACATATATATACACAGTCAAACCATCCCCACAATCAAGAAAATGAACAGATCCATCACCCCCCAAAGTTTCCTCCTGACTTTTTGTAATCAATCCCTCCTCCTCCATCTCTGCTGTGTTTCCCTTAGATGAGCCCAGGAGTTCAAGACCAGATGGCATCTCTCTCATTCCTGATATTGATTTTATCTTCTTCCTTTATTTTTTTCTTGATCAGTCTGGCTAGCGGTTTATCCATTTTATTGACGTTCTCAAAGAACCAGCTTTTGGTTTCATTGATCTTTCTCCATTGTTTTTCTCTTTTTCGTTTCTTTTTTTTTTTTTTTTAAGGAGGGGTCCTGCGGCCGGGTGCGGTGGCTCACACCTGTAATCCCAGCACTTTGAAAGCCCGAGGCGGGAGGATCACGAGGTCAGGAGATTGAGACCATCCTGGCTACACGGTGAAACCCCGTCTCTACTAAAAATACAAAAAATTGCCGGGCGTGGTGTCACGCACCTGTAGTCCCAGCTAGTCAGGAGGCTGAGGCAGAAGAATCGCTTGAACCGGGGAGGTGGAGGTTGCAGTGAGCTGAGATTGCGCCACTGCACTCTGGCCTGGGTGACAGAGCGAGACTCCATCTTGAAAAAAAAAAAAAAGATGGGGTCTTGCTATGTTACTGAGGGAGATCTTGAACTCCTGAGCTCAAGCAATCTTTCTATCTCAGCTTCCTGAGCCTGGGATTATAGGCACATGCCAGAGTGCCCAGCTCTCTGTTTTCTCTTCCATTGAAACGTCTAATTTCTTGTCTTTCCCATCTTTGGCTTGGGAAAAATTTGCTCTTTTCTTTGTAGTTTCTTACGTCTCATGTCTGGTCCACCTAACAGGCTTATTTCTATTAATTAACCCAGTGGAGTCTATGGTAAGCATCAGTATCTTGGAGTTCAGTTATGGGAGACTCATTGCCTCCAGACTGATTAGCTCTGGAGGACAGGCTAAATCAAATTTCTACTCTGGCAATAGAAAGAGCTACCAGGTTCCTGGACCACAATAGCTGCACTGAGCATGGTCCTTCCCTCTGGCCTGGCCAGGAAGTCAGAAACCATTCTGTCATTTCCTTGTCATTAGTAATAGAGTAATTGGTAATATATAGTCACTAAAGATATCCCTTACTCTATTTTAGCAAGAGCTAGGAAATTATTTTTTAATTAGCATCCTTATTTAATTAAATTCATTAAAAGATATGAGTACCTACCATAAATGCCTGGTCCTTTGTTAGATATCAGGCTTACAAGAGATGAATTCATGTCCTTTACATACATCTGCAATTTATCATCTATCCTACAATTGCTTCACAGTTTACTTTATTTTTGGATGATGCAATTTAGGTTCATTACAAATCCATTAGCTATAGAATTACAGAGCTGAGAGAGATTCTGGAAGTCTTAATTTAGAGATGAGAAAGCCGAGGCCCAGAGAAGTTACGGAGTTTGCCAGAGGCCACACAGGCAATGAGCAGTAGCTCCAGCCGGAACCCGAATCCAACCTATGTGAATGATCTCAGGTACAGGGGCACAAATAAGAGGCACAGGCTGTGCACAGGCATTTGCAGAAATACATATATATATATATTTTCTTGAGACAGTCTCACTCTGTCATCCAGGCTGGAGTAGAGTGGCATGATCACGGCTCACTGCAGCCTCGACCTCCTGGGATCAGGTAATCCTCTCGCCTCAGTCTCCTGAGTAGCTGAGTAGCTGGGACTACAGCCCGGCCTGGAAACACTTTTTACATGGCACAATAAAACCAGAATAGGCCGGGGGCGGTGGCTCACGCCTGTAATCCCAGCACTTTGGGAAGCCGAGGCAGGCGGATCACGAGGTCAGGAGATCGAGACTATCCTGGCTAACACGGTGAAACCCCGTCTCTACTAAAAATACAAAAAATACAAAAAATTTGCCGGTCACTGTGGCGGGTGCCTGTAGTCCCAGCTACTTGGGAGGCTGAGGCAGGAGAATGGCGTGAACCTGGGAGGCAGAGTTTGCAGTGAGCGGAGATCGCACCACTGCACTCCAGCCTGGGCAACAGAGTGAAACTCTGTCTCGAAAAAAAAAGAAAAAAAAAAAAAACTAGAATGATACTCTGTGTGCTTTTTATGTGAGGCTTATTACGATTTTTAAAATTTTAGTATTCCTCTTTTACCACTCCTAATTTTCATCTGTTCTACAAACACTTATAATATTCCAACTCCAACACGACCTAGTTTACAGTTTTTACTGAGGTGGGAGCAGCATCGTTTACTTCCTCTCCATGGCCACTGTCCCGAGTATGGCGTGCGCGCCACAAAGTTCAGGAAGCGTGGCTGACCTCTGAGACCCCGACCCTCTTCCTCACGCCTTGCATTTGGTGCCAGCAGCAGTGGTAGAAGCAGGGCTAGGGAGGCCAGCGCCAGCTGCCGCTTTCTCCTGCAGGGGGAGGGCGAGCTCTGTGGGAGCCTGCAGCCTCCTCACCGCGTTGTTAGGCGGGTCTTGGCGGGGTTGGGTGAACTGTCTTGGTTGCACGACCTGCTCGGGGTTATTGAAATGGCTAGTGGTGAATAACTCCCTCTCTGAAATACACTTTTTCCCACTCTGTGAAACCCACCTCCTCTGGATGCTGGAGCAAGGATGCCACATCAAACTCTGCCTGCTGCCTGCTCTAATTCGGTCCTGGAGTCCCAAGGAGCTACCAGTGCAGTGAGTGTAGCTCAGGATGACATGTTACTCAGCAATGGGCCCAGTGTCTGACACGCATAGAAGCCAACACTATGGCACCAGCTTTCCAAGAAAGAAAAAAGCTTTATTGCGAGCGGACTGCAAGGAGATGGGAGACAACGCTTAATTCTGCCTCCCTGAGCTGGGGGTGGGTCCAGCTTTTATGGCATTCCTAGCTGGTCCCAGGTGATGCCAATGTAGCTGGCTGGCCAGGCTGCTGGTAAGGATGAGGAGGTTAAAGTGTTTCCCATTGCCCACGCCTGGGCAATTCTGGCTCTGCGTCAGCTAATTAACTTAAGCACTGGTTAATTGGCTTGAGCTGGTCCCTTGGTTACAATAATGCCAGGGCTGAGGTTTGCTCCCTGCAGCTCTGAGCTGCCTAAACCTTTGGCTCTTCTTTTGATGGCTTCTAAGACACCCAAATACCAAATGCTCAAATTTGTTTTTTTAATTATCCAACTTTTTGTTTTCGACAGAGACGGGGTCTCTGTCGCCCAGGCTGGAAGTGCAGTGGCGCAATCTCAGCTCACTGCAACCTCCACCTCCTGGGTTCAAGCAGTTCTCCTGCCTCAGCCTCCTGAGTAGCAGGCATTACAGGCATGTGCCACCACGCCCGGCTAATTTTGTATTTTTAATAGAGACAGGGTTTCACCATGTTGGCCAGGCTGGTCTCGAATTCTTGACCTCAGGTGATCCGCCCACCTTGGTCTCCCAAAGTGCTGGGATTACAGGCATGAGCCACTGCGCCTGGCCAACTTTTTTTCTTTAAAGTGACGTGTCAATTCAAATTTTTCTCAGCCAAACAGTATTCATTTGATGTTGTATATTGGAAGTTTTTCAAATTGCAATACTCAGCCTTTTTATTGTGAAGTGGAGTATATTTTTTCAAACGTAAAGACGGATCTTGGGCCGGGTGCGGTGGCTCACCCCTGTAATCCCAGCACTTTGTGAGGCCTAGGTGGGCGGATCACGAGGTCCAGAGATGGAGACCATCCTGGCTAACATGGTGAAATCCTGTCTCTACTAAAAATACAAAAAATTAGCCAGGCGTGGTGGCACATGCCTGTAGTCCCAGCTACTCAGGAGGCTGAGTCAGGAGAATGATGTGAACCTGGGAGGCGGAGGTTGCAATGAGCGGAGATCACGCCATTGCACTCCAGTTTGGGTGACAGAGCGAAACTCCGTCTCAAAAACAAAAACAAAAACAAACAAACAAAAAAGACCAGGCGCGGTGGTTCATGCCTGTAATCCCAGCACTTTGGGAGGCCAAGGCGGGCAGATCACCTGAGGTCGGGAGTTCGAGACCAGCCTGGCCAAGATGGTGAAACCCCATCTCTACTAAAAATACAAAATTAGCTGGGCGTGGTGGCGCATGCCTGTAATCCCAGCTACTCGGGAGGCTGAAAGGAGAATCGCTTGAACCCGGGAGGTGGAGGTTGTGGTGAGCTGAGATCGCACTATTGCACTCCAGCCTGGGCAACAAGAGCCATAAAGATGGCAGAAAAGACTGAATGTATTACCATATTTGAAAAGAAAAAAAGGCTGGGCGAGGTGGCTCACGCCTGTAATTCCAACACTTTGGGAGGCCGAGGCGGGCGGATCACGAGGTCAGGAGATCGAGACCATCCTGGCTAACACAGTGAAACCCTGTCTCTAATAAAAATACAAAAAATTAGCCACGCGTGGTGGCGGGCGCCTGTAGTTCCAGCTATTCGGGAGGCTGAGGCAGGAGAATGGTGTGAAACCGGGAGGCAGAGCTTGCAGTGAGCCGAGACTGCGCCACTGCACTCCAGCCTGGGCAAGAGAGCAAGACTCCATCTCAAAAAAAAAAAAAAAGAAAAAAAAGAAAAAAAAGCAGATCAGGAAGACAGCATGGAAACATTTATAACCATGAACATTTCAGTCCTGAGTTGTAGTTTTAAAAATGTTTTTATAACCATAAAAAATTCAGTCTGGAGTTGTAAATTTAGTTTAAAAAGTAAGGTTTTTTTGGGGGGGAGGGGCAAGGTCTCACTCTGCCACCTGGAATGCACAACCCTAGCTCACTGCAGCCTTGGTTACCCAGGCTCAAACGATCCTCCCACCTCAGCCTCCTGAGTAGCTTGGATTACAGGCGTGAGCTGTCACAGCCAGCTAATTTTAAAATTTACTTGTAGAGACAGGGTTCTGCCATGTTGCCCAGGCTGGTCTCAAACTCCTGGCCTCAAGCAATCCTCCGGCCTAGGCCTCCCAAAGTGCTGGAATTACAGGCATAAGCCACTGTGCCTGGTTTAAAAAATAAGTTTTTATTCCTAACTAAATGAGAGTTTTCTGACATTTTCCCTCTAGACTTAGGTGTTCATTAACTCTGGCCTATATTACATCATTCTTTAAGAGGGAAAACAAGTGAAAAAGCTGAGACTTCCTTTGTAGTAAGAGACATCAGGGGAGCGGTTGTTGTGAAGAGTGGTGATGAGACAGTCACTGTCTGACAGAGCCGCCCGCAGAGTCGTTACCTTCATTTCCTGGGGCTGCACAGTGCCAGCTTCTCAAACAGGTATTATAATACTAACACAGGCTTCCATCACATGGCTTTTTTTTTAAAGTATTTTTAAAAACTTTTTATTGGGAAAAGTTAAAATGTATGCAGAGTGAATTCTGTAATGCACTTCTAGACGTCCACCCCCTACCCTCTACACAATTACCGATCTCATCCCATCTAGAGACTCCGTCCCCCCAATCTGTTTTGACTGGCTAGTATTTGCTGGTGTATCTTAAAGTACATCCTAGGTATCATTTCACACCTACATAATTGCGCCTGCATTTCTTTCTTTTTTCTTTTTGAGACAGAGTCTCTGTCGCCCAGGCTGGAGTGCAATGGCACGATCTCGGCTCACTGCAACCTCCGCCTCCTGGGTTCAAGCAATTCTTATGCCTCAGCCTCCCAAGTAGCTGTGATTACAGGTGCGTGCCACCACGCCTGGCTAGTTTTTGTATTTTTAGTAGAGACACGGTTTCACCATGTTGGCCAGGCTGGTCTTGAACCCCTGACCTCAGATGATCCACTGTGCCCGGCCTGCACCTCCATTTCTAAAACCAAAGAAATTTTCTTTAATAACTACAATACCACTATTGTGGTGGTGATCACCTAATAAGATTAACACTTCAACATCACTTAACACCCAGTCCACGTTCACATTTCTCTGTACGTACCAGAAATGCCTCTTGGTGGCTGGTTTGTCTGAAGGGTGGAAGCAGGGTCCGTGCTCAGAGCTGGCTGTTGAGCAGGTGCTGTGCTTGCTCCAAGGCCCGTGTGCAGCGAGGCCTGATGCTGGCGCCCGTCAGACGGTTCCTAACAGCACAGACGTCCAGGATTGTGTCTGCCAAGCACTGGCACTGTGTGTCTGCAGGTCTGTTCTCTAGCCTCTGTGTTCAGGGAGTGAAGAGAACGTGTGCTAACCACCGCCGCATCCCCGACGGCAACGCACGCCCAGCACAGGTGAAGGAGCTCTCTGAAGCCACGCTGTGGTCCGAGTCCCGATTCTGAAGCGGGTCAGATTTTGAATCCTGGCCAACCAGTTAACTAGTTGGTTTGTTAGCCAGGTAGTTATCCTCTAGTACAAACTACTTATCCTGTCTGGGCATCCATTTCTTCAGCTGTGAAATGGGGTGATGGTATGGGCTCACGGGTTATTGTGCAGATAAAAATGAAGCAGACTACGGCCTGGCACCCCGGAACTCGGGATCCGTTAGCTTGACAGAGACAACTCCCTTGAGGGTGGCAGGAAGCACACCCTCCAAAGCCTCTGGTTGGGGTGCGTGTACCCCTGGGATACAGTGACAATCAAGAAGAAACACCATGCCTTCTCCTAGAGTCTCATCTGAGGCTAACTTAGAGCACGTTGTTTAAAATGACACCTTCAGCTGCCTGTGAGCCACTTCCTCTCCTCCCAGCCTTTGTCGTTACTCTGCAGCACAGCTGAGCACTGCATTAAGTCAGAGCAGCACGAATGCGTAGGCTTTGGGACAAAAAGCCTCTGGGATTCCTTCCTGAACTGGCCCTGCCCACTCCCGTGGCTCTCTGTGCATACCTCTTGCCCATTGGCACCGCCCTCCAAATGCTCCTTTCAACAGATCCTCCTGGCCCCGTGCTCCTCGCCCACGGGGAAGCCCAGGTGACATTCTCTAGCTCCACCTACAGGCTGCCTTCGGGACAAGACCTGGTTGTTTCCAAAACCCCGAGGGATTCAGTGTGTGAGTGAGTTCTGGGATAGCAAATGCAATTATTTTTTGTTTTCTTTTTGAGACAGGGTCTCGTTCTGTCGCCCATGCTGGAATGCAGTGGTGTGATCTTGGCTCACTGCAGTCTCGACCTAAGCTCAAACAATCCTCAAGCATCAGCCTCCCCAGTAGCTGGGATTACAGGCGCACACCGCTACGCCTGGATAATTTTTGTTATTTTTTGTAGAGATGGGGTTTCGCCATGTTGCCCAGGCTGATCTCAAACTCCTGGGTTCAAGCGATCTGCCCGCCTCAGCCTCCCAAAGTGCAGGCGTGAGCCACTGGGCCCAACCTACCCTGGTAATTTGCCAAAGGAAGCCTTAAGTAGTAAAGGGAGAAGAGGAATGGCCCAGCCTTTGTGGGGAAGCCCTCCTGGGTCAGACACATCAATCTCTGCTTCCGGGGGTGAGGTGGGGGGTGGGGGTGGGGAGGGCAGCTCCCATCCGTCCTCACCTCCCTTTGGAGGAGAGTTCAGGTTCTGGGGGTTCAAGTCCTAGCCCCAGTGCTTGCTAACTGCGACATCTGTAGCGTGTTACTGCCTCTCAGCCTGTTTCCTGTTCTGAAAGTCAGGGCCTGTACTGATGCCTCACTAGGTTCTAAGGTGGACTAAATGCACTAAGATGCGTGACACAGGGCTGGAGCCTGGTGCCAGTGCAGTGGATGTGAAGGCTGTGATAGGGCAGGCCTGGGTTCTTTGTATCATTAGAAATTTTCCAGCTGGGGTCCTGGCATCCGCATGTCCTGGATGCTTGTTAGACATACAAGTTCTTGGGCTCCTTCCTACAGCAGTGCAATCAGAACACTGGGGCCCAGCTGGCTGTTAGGGCCTTCCAGGTGATTCTAATGCACTCTCAAGCCTGAGCAGCTGGGCAGATGGATAATTTTAAAGGTAGGGCCTTTCTGTACCACAGCAGATTCATCTTCTGGAGGCAGAAGAGAACAAAATACGTTCGCAGGAAAAATGTGATTCCTGTGTCAGAACCAAACCCTCTGAATCTCACACGACCTGACGCTGACTTCCACTGATGCTGTGTAATGCTTTCCTGCAAACTTCTCACACAGCCCAACAACCCTGAGGCTGTTGGAGGAAGCCATGACAGGTTTTGGTTGTCTTACAAAAGAAACTGAGGCTCAGAGAGATCTCCGTCATCTGTTGGACATCTACCATGGGCCAGACCTAATGAGGCTAAATGCCAGAGACACAGATGATAAACAGGATGGTCTCAAGAGGACAGGACACCCAGGGTGCAGCCACCACCCCCATTCCACAGCTGCTCTCCTACCCACCTGCAGAGTGCCAGATTTCAAACTGGACTCACTTTTACCCCCATGCTTGCTGCTTTAGAATCTTTTTAGCGCACAATTTAGGGATCTTGGTAATTGTCTTAGATGGAGACAAATATTATGCAGTATGCATTTGATACTAGCCTAACTAGAATCAATTGGCTTTTTTTTTCAATTGGCTTATTATGTACTTTGCCTTGTGATTATTTCCTGATGCAATATTCTCCTACAGCTTATAATTTCAACTACTATGTCATTGAATGCTACCTTATTTCTAAAGGACTTCATAGTTTAAATCTTTCTCTTATTTATCCTCATAATAACTGTAAGTTAGAGCTTACATAATTAACATCTCCATTTTCCAAATAAGAAAACAAGAGGCTCAGAGAGGCCACAAGATAAGTAGCAGGATCAAGTTTAATAAACGTTTATTGAGCAGTAGAATACAAGTGAGTGCCTGGATCCTGATCACCAAGTCCTGTACAACTGAGGTAATTATTTCACAATGATGGGTGGCTCAGTGAGATTCTGATTGCATGCGCTGCATGACAAATTATCTACTCAGAGTATGCCTGACACGCCGGAGGGGCTGAGGGGGAACACACTGAAAGCAGTACCAGGTAGCAGTGCATCTCACAGATCCATTTATTCATGCCATGAAGTAAACGGTACTTATACAAGTGTACAGTGACGTTCCACGCTCCCCATCTAACACGGCTTGCTGAAATTTACAGGCAGACTGACGTTTTCTTTCACATGTACTCCAAGTAAATCTGGTTAGTGATGACCAGGAGCAGGCGCTGAAGCTTTTGAAAGAGATGCATATATAAATATGATTTAAGAAGGAAGGAACAAGTTGGATGTAATTTATTAAACAAGTATCAAAAGAAGTTGATCAACAGTCCAAAAAGATAAATGACACCTTTCAATACTATTGAAAAGTAGGATTATTTCTATATGAAACACCCAGAGTGCTTAAGGGTTCATGTAATGACAGCAGACAGGCAGTGGTCACCCACAGCGCAAAGAGAGAGGCAGGGAAACACCTCCTCCTCAAACTCATGTAGCCAGTCCTGGGTTTGTGTAACATTCAAATGGCTACAGTTTCATTGTCACTCTGGCATAAATTTATAAGGCGCTTTCTTTCAAAATACATTAAAGGCCAGGCGCAGTGGCTCACGCCTGTAATCCCAACACTTTGGGAGGCCAAGGCAGGTGGATCACCTGAGGTAGGAGTTTGAAACCAGCCGGCCAACCCCATCTCTACTAAAAATACAAAAAATTAGCCGGGTATGGTGGCGGGCACCTGTAATCCCAGCTACTTGGGAGGCTAAGGCAGGAGAATTGCTTGAACCTGGAAGGCGGAGGTTGCAGTGAGCCAAGATTGTGCCACTGCACTCCAGCCTGGGCAACACAGCGAGACTCTGTCTCAAAAAAAAAAAAACCCAAAAAACAAAACCAAACCATTAAAAACACATCATTACGGGTAGGCTGAGGCGGGTGGATCACAAGGTCAGGAGATCCAGACCATCCTGGCTATGTGAAACCCTATCTCTACTAAAAATACAAAACATTAGCCAGGCGTGGCGGCAGGTGCCTGTAGTCCCAGCTACTCAGAAGGCTGAGGCAGGAGAACGGCATGAACCTGGGAGGCGGAGCTTGCAGTGAGCTGAGATCGCAGCACTGCAGTCCAGCCTGGGCGACAGAGCGAGGCTCCGTCTCAAAAAACAATAAACAAAATAAAACGACATCATTAGGGAACTTCTAGGACAGCATGCTTGCACAGCTCACTTGTGCTTCCCTATTGGTGATGATATCGACTACCTCTAATTAATCCATTCCTCTATTACTCCTGGAAGTTTTACTTGATCCACTTGACTATAAAAAGCAGAAATTCAGAATTCTCTTTCCCAGCAGGCATAGCAAACTTCAAGCTGTGAAGCATTTCAACTGCACCTTACATATATACTGAACTGTGTTTCGATTTCAATTGAGAACAACGATATACCTTGTCCTGAAAAGACATGATGCTGTTTTCCATTCCCAACCATTTTCAGAAGCAAAAATCTTACCTTTCAAAGCCTTACTTCTTTTATCTAAAATAAAAGGAAGGAAAAAAAAGCAGTCATATCAATGCTTTACAAAAATGCCTTTGTCAAAATTAACATTTAGCTGAAGGCATTGTAGCTTAGGTAAAGCAATTCAGGAAGCTTTCAGAAAATGTCTTATAGCCAAGAAATGGTAAAATTCCTACCAAAGATGTTCTATGAACAGCTAACAGCCCTTTCAAATTTGCAGGGCTCCTTACCTTCTACAATGTCCTAAACTTTAGTCTTGCAGCATAAAGTTTTCTCTTTTCTCTTTGTAATCAATGGCTTAGTAACATGTGATTGGGCCACACTGCTCTGCTCTACTGAGAACCAAGTGGTTATTCCTCCCCTCCAAATTTTTTTACAAACAAATTTCAAATATTCAGAACAGTTGAAAAGGTGCAATGAAATACCACATACCATGAACCCATACCTTAAATATTTTAGCCTTCATCTCTTAAAACGAATGTAATACCACTTTCACACCTAAGAAAACTCACAATTCTGATATTAAAGTCTTGTTCAAAGTTCCCCAATTGGGCCAGGTGTTGTGGCTCACGCTTGTTAATTCCAGCACTTTGGGAAGCCAAGATTGGAGGACTGCTTGAGCCCAGGAGTTCAAGACCAGCCTGGGTAACATGGCAAAACCCCATCTCTACAAAAAAAAAAAGTACAAAAAAAAAATTAGCTAGGTGTGGTGGTGTTGGGCATAGTGACGGGCACCTGTGGTCCTAGCTACTTGGCAGGCTGAGGTGGGAGAATCACCTGAAATCACCTGAGCCTAGGAGGTGGAGGCTGCAGTGAACCATGATCGTGCCATTGCACTCCAGCCTGGGCGTCAGAGTGAGAGACTGTCTCCAAAAAAAAAAAAAAAAAAAAGAAAAGAAAAGAAAAAAAAAATTCCCCACTGTCCCCAAATGTCTTTTATAGCTGACATGTGCTCCCTGTATTTTTTACGAAGGACTGTAGGTAGCTCTAATGTTCATACCTAGTTAGAACCCATAGTTCCTTTACAATGTGAATTGTGATTCTTTTTGAAAATAATTTTCTTCCTGACCTCAGAAAAATCAAACATAAGGAAACGTACCAGCAGCCCGGATTTTATAAACGATGAAGCCCATCAGCCCCATTCCTATCCAAATCTCCTGGTAAACTTTGGTGTAGTAGGGCTTCATGGGGATCCATATGTTTTTAATAATACTTTGAAGCATCTGAAAATGAACACAGTGATTAAAAATTAGAATGATGATTGCTTTAAACCTAACTGGTAAAAGATTTTAATTTGTTAAGTTCAACCCCATTTCCCATGACTGCTAGGGAGCCTCGCCTGTGTCAGATGTCAGACCCGTTCTGCACTCACAGGGGACTCACACCTCTTTTTTTTTTAAGGTGGAGTCTCACTCTGTCACCCAGGCTGGAGTGCAGTGGCACAATCTTGGCTCACTGCAACCTCTGACTCCCAGGTTCAAGTGATTCTCCTGCCTCAGCCTCCCGAGTAGCTGGGACTACAGATGCGTGCCACCACGCCTGGCTAATTTTTGTATTTTTAGTAGAGAGAGGGTTTTGCCATGTTGGCCAGGCTGGTCTCGAACTCCTGAGTGCAGGCGATCTGCCTTGCTTTGGCCTCCCAAAGTGCTGAGATTATAGGTGTGAGCCACTGTGCCTGGCCATTTTTTTTTTTTTTTTTTAAAGCAGAGATGGGGTTTTACCACATTGGTCAGGCTGGTCTCAAACTCCTGACCTCAAGTGATCTGCCCACCTTGGCCTCCCAAAGTGCTAGGATTACGGTGTGAGCCACAGGGCCCGGCCTGGGACTCATGCTTTCCACAGCTCTTCCAACTCAACCCATCCCCAGGGCCCCCTCCTCCCACCTTTGGCCATCCTAGCCACTTCTCCTTCCTTACATCACAGAGCTCATCCAGCACCTCTCCCACCCTGATGCCATGCCCTGAACTGCACATGACTCTAATGTCTAAATCGAAAAATTAGTATCTTCTCATCGTCATGTAATGAATGTCGCATTCGAAGCTGAAAAAGAATATGGCCAGGGCATGGTGATTTCCTTGTGAAACTAATGCCAGGCTCAGCACACTCTGATCAGCTGTATCTCCATCTTGAAGTCTATTGCTAAATACAAAACAGATGACATAAGACAACGAGGTCACTTCATAATAACTGCCAATTAAGATAGAACTTATTTAATCAATAAAGGTAGTTACTTAATGAATTACTGAATTTGATTGGGAAAAGCCATTAAATTCCAAACTTACAGTTTGCTTGTATGTGCAGGTCTCAAAATAATGCTTTTTGTTACTTTTACAATTTACTCTCTACTATAGACCGCAAATTAGATGCCCTCATTTTCATTTTAATATGCTTTTTAACATCTGAAGTGGTCCATTAAACTACAGTCAAATAGCTGTCAGGAGTGACTAGATCTAAGCACTTCTCATTTCACTTGGAAACTGCTTTGGTTGGGTGTGGTGGCTCATGCCTGTAATCCCAGCGCTTTGGGAGGCTGATGTGGGAGGGTCACTTGAGTCCAGGAGCTCGAGACTAATTTGGGTAACATAGGGAGACCCCGTCTCTACAAAACATAAAAAATTAACCAGGTGTGGTGGTGCTTGCCTGGCTAATTTTTTATGTTAGTCACAGCTATTGGAAGACTGAGGTGGGAAGACTGCTTGAGCTTGGGTGGTTGAAGATGCAGTAAGCCATGATCACACCACTGCACTGCAGCCTGGGTGACAAAGTGAGACTCTGTCTCAAAAAAGAAAGAAAGAACTGCGCGTTGGCTGCGGCTGTAATGCTGCCTCCACCCCTCCCTCCCTCCACCCACTCACTGCTCCTTTCACATCACTGCTCAGGATCCAAAGAATCCGAATGCTCGGCAGTGTGCTCCCTTTCCCACACTGCGCAGCTGTGTGTGTCAGCTTTACCGCACTGAATCCTTCACAAGCCCAACCTAGTCAAAGGTCAAATGGCGGCCCTCAAATCACTGAAACCCGGATCGTGTGGTCATTTATTCACTTGGCAAATGTGCACTGAGCATGTACTAGGTGCCAGACATTGTTTTAGGAGCTGAGAAACAATAAAGGGTCAGGATATCTGGGAGAGGAATCCTCGGCATTGGCAGAGACTCCGAGGTCAGAATGAACTCGGAGAGCTGGAAGGAATAGGGAGGCCACAGTGCCAGATTCAAATCCTGGCTGTCACTTACTAGCTAACTTAAACCGCTTAAGTTTTCTCATCTGTAAAACAGGGATAAAAACAGGATCCACCTCAAGGGGTTGTTATGGAGAATAACATAGAATAACTCTATGTCAAATGTTGAGTGTCTGGTACTGTATATTAAATGCTTGTTACATAAAATACCATGGCTGGACTATGGGAAGGAAGATGGGCCATGTCATTTAAGGGCCTTGGAGGCTAGCATAGAATTTAGCTTTTATTCTAAAACTGTTCTCTAAATTTAACAACTTTTTTTTTTTTTGCTTTAGGGTTTTTTTGTTTCCCGTTTTGACAATATGAAGAAAATTCAGTTTAGAATCTGGAACTGGCCTGGATGGGATTCGAGGGCAGCTGGTGGGGGCTGCAGAGCCCCTTCGATTCCTCCCCCACCGTGGGAGCTAAGCTACTGGACAGAGGAGCACCAACAGGGCACCGAACCAGGAACTAAGTTAGTGTCTTGAGTCAGGCAAGAATGGGGAGGCCAGGCCGGAGCTACAGCAGGGACTGCCCTGATTGTGGTTAGTTCTGTCTCTAGCCCTTTAACAGCATTTTAAAAGTGCTTTTCGTACTTACTTCCTACACTGCTTCCCACTCCTATAAAGTGGGTACTTGGAGAAAGCTCCTATAAAGCGGGTACTCGGATCCCGCAGCAGGTTAGCAGGACTGCACTCACACCAAATCTGTACGTCATGCTCCTGATGACGAGAACCTACCTCCAACACCTGCTTTCCTGCTCTTCCCTATGAGAGGACTTATTTAGGCAAGGATGGTCGTGAGGGTGGCCTGAGGTCTGACCTTGCAGGATGCGACTGTGTCCTTCTCCTGGAACACCTTGCAGATAGTCCGCCCTCAAATTTCCTGTCCTCAAGCTACTCGAATGCTCTGACAGTGTGAGGTTCCAAGAAACGAACAGCCCTGCTTTGGGAATATGTCACAGATGATCCAAACAAGACCCAGAGGAGGTTTCTGGAAGCCCCAGACTAGGAGTTCAGAGGCATGGAGTGAATCCCTTGTCTCTCAGCAACGACTGGGAAGGAAGCATTCTACAGGACCGATGGGTTTGGAAGCCTGGGAATCCTGGGCTCCAACACCAGCTCTGCCTGGTCAGCTCTCAACTGTGGGCAAGTCCCTTTAGCTGTTGTTTCAGAGGTTTTTTTTTTTCTCTTTTTTGAGACGGAGTCTCGCTCTGTCACCCAGGCTGGAGTGCAGTGGCGGATCTCGGCTCATTGCAAGCTCCGCCTCCCGGGTTCACACCATTCTCCTGCCTCAGCCTCCCGAGTAGCTGGGACTACAGGTGCCCGCCACCACGCCTGGCTAATTTTTTGTATTTTTAGTAGAGACTTGGTTTCACTGTGTTAGTCAGGATGGTCTCGATCTCCTGACCTTGTGTTCTGCCCGCCTCGGCCTCCCAAAGTGCAGGGATTACAGGCGTGGGCCACCAGGCTCAACCCAGAGGTTTCTTTTTCTGTGAAACAGGGATACCTCCACCTGCCCCCAGAGGGCTGTCAATGCAATTCAAAGAGGAAACCAAGGCCGGGAGCGGTAGCTCACGCCTGTAATTCCAGCACTTTGGGGGTCCAAGGCAGGGAGATCAAGAGGTCAGGAGATCAAGACCATCCTGGCTAACACGGTGAAACCCCGTCTCTACTAAAAATACAAAAAATTAGCCGGGCGTGGTGGCGGGCGCCTGTAGTCCCAGCTACTCGGAAGGCCGAGGCAGGAGAATGGCGTGAACCCGGGAGGCGGAGCTTGCAGTGAGCCAAGATTGCACCACTGCACTCCAGCCTGGGTGACAGAGCGAGACTCCATCTCAAAAACAAAAACAAAGGAGAAACCTAAAGGACCCAGCCTAGTGCCTAGTGCCTGGTACGGAATAAAAATCCAGAGAATGGACTGGGCACGGTGGCTTACGCCTATAATCCCAGCATCTCGGGAGGCCAAGGTGGGCGGATCACTTAAGGTCAGTAGTTTGAGACCAGCCTGGCTAACATGGCGAAACCATCTCTACTAAAAATACAAAAACTAGCTGGGCATGGTGGTGGGCGCCTGTAATCCCAGCTACTCGGGAGGCTGAGGCAGGAGAATCGCTTGAACCCGGGAGGCGGAGCTTGCAGTGAGCCAAGATCGTGCCACTGCACTCCAGCCTGGGCAACAAGACACTCCCCCTTTATCTTAAAAAAAAAAAAAAAAAAAGAATTCAGTGACTGATCACAGCAGTAACAGAATTGATACAAATATCCAGTTCATGGCTATAATTAATACTAAGCCACTGGGACTCTAACAAGAAGGAAGGCTTAAAAAGACGCCCTCATTTAGGCCAGGTAGGGGCTTTGGACAGAACAAGGTAAGATGAGGGTCTATAAGGAAAAGGGCAAAGTAAACTGGGAGGGTACAATGACTACGGTAAGAAGGGACTAAAGAAACTGAGTCATGCTGACATTGTGCTCCGGGCCCAGGCACCCTGGTATGGTCTCCTTACAAAATTACCCTTAGTCCCCAGTGCAACAGGGGCCTGCTATTCAGTAGCTTGCAAATACCTTTCCCTTCCTTTCCCCTTGACTTCAGTTGCCATATTTGCCTGGACAAGTGACATGTTCCCAATACATAATAAAACGAGGGCCCCCCCTTTTTTTTTTTAGACAGAGTTTCAGTTGGTCATCAGGCTGGAGTGCAATGGTGCGATCGCGGCTCACTGCAACCTCCGCCTCCCGGGTGCAAGCGATTCTCCTGCCTCAGCCTCCCGAGTAGCTGGGACTACAAGAGGCCGCCACCACACCCAGCTAATTTTTGTATTTTTAGTAGAAACGGGGTTTCACCATGTTGGCCAGGATGGTCTCGGTCTCTTAACCTCGTGATCCGCCCGCCTCAGCCTCCCAAAGGGCTGGGATTACAGGCGTGAACCACCGCGTCCGGCCCCTACTTTTTTTTTTTTTTTGAGACAGTCTCGCTTTGTCACCCAGGCTGGAATGCAGTGACGCGATCTCGGCTCACTGCAACCTCCGCCTCCAGGGTTCAAGCGATTGTCCTGCCTCAGCCTCCTGAGTAGCTGGGAAGCTGGGACTACAGGCGCGTGCCACCACACTGGGCTAATTTTTTGTATTTTTGGTAAAGACGGGGTTTCACCGTGTTAGTCAGGATGGTCTCGATCTCTTGACCTCGTGATCCGCCCGCCTCGGCCTCCCAAAGTGCTGGGATTACAGGCGTGAGCCACCGCGCCCAGCTACATATTCCCAACACATAATAAAACGACAGCCCCTACTTTTTTTTTTTTTTTTTTTTTTAAGACGGAGTTTCACTCGGTCATCAGGCTGGAATGCAATGGCGCGATCTCGGCTCACTGCAACCTCCGCCTACCGAGTGCAAGCGATTCTCCTGCCTCAGCCTCCCGAGTAGCTGGGACTACAGGTGCCTGCCACCACACCCAGCTAATTTTTGTATTTTTAGTAGAGACGGCGTTTCACCATGTTGGTAAGGATGGTCTCGATCTCTTGACCTCGTGATCCGCCCGCCTCAGCCTCCCAAAGGGCTGGGATTACAGGCGTGAACCACCGCGCCCGGCCGGCCCCTTTCTTGAGTCCATTCTGCCCAGGCACATTTCCTAGCTGTGTGTGTCAGTTTTACAGCACCAGACCTTTTAAAAATCCATCTTATTCATAGGCCAAACGTGTGTCTACTGTATCCACTTAAGTCTGCAAAGTTTTGGCACATTACATTAAGGGCGAACTATTACCTGACACTGGAAATGGGAAATGTCTGACCCGCGAGTTCCATACAATTTCATTCAGCACCGTATGATCTCTTTTCAGCTTCCCTGTTGCCTCACCCAAGTTGTCATGTACAGCATAACGTGGAGGGCAGTGTGGCGCAAGGAAACTTGAGTTATAAAGGAGAGAAGGGACTGGATGTGGAGTCAGAGTTCTTGGCTTGGACTCTGGCTTCTCTAACTCTGCGTAGCCTCTGGGTTAGGCAGCTGAACCTCTCAAGGCCAAGGTACGCTCCCTGTCAAAACCGTGGGAGAATTCAGGTGCACTGAGCGCGTTAAGGCCAAGGAGGGAAACGCGGCGCAGGCCTAGGCGATGCTTCCCTCTGGCAACCGACCCTGGCCTACCTCCCTTCAGAGAAGGGAAAGCCGGGCAGAAAAGCAGGCGCGTGCCGGCGGAGGGGTGGAACCCCAAGATCAGCTGGGGCCAAGGCGGCTTCTCGCCCTCCCGCCCCCGCCGTCTCGCACCTCGGGAGCCAGGTCCAGGTCCCCGTACTCACCTTGGCGCAGGACAGACGGCTCAGAACGCACCACAAATCTGCAGCCAACTCGGAAAGGTCACCGAGCGCGCAGGCGCGCGCAGGGGATGCCGGGAAGGCGGAAGCAGCAGAGACGCCGCAAGGCCAGAGTGCCTCCCCAGCGGCGCCTCCGCACCACAGCGCCCCCGGCGGCCGCCTGGTGTCGCAGGCAAGAAGGGGCGGGGAGAGGGTGCGTTAGGGGTGTGCCCGCGTGTGTCACTGTGGGCTGGCTAATCCTCCACATCTTCCCACGACTGATGGGTTTCCTGGGACGCGGGACCTTCAACGCTGAAACTAGGAAAGTTCTAGACATACCGGGAGGGTTGGTTAACCTAAGAAAAGGGACCCTCTTTACTGTGACGTTAAAGACTAAGTCAAGTCTCCCATTTCAGTGGTGTGTCTTGTCCCTTTCTATTGTTAATTATTTAGCTCTGCATGTATAAAATATATATATTTGGAGACGGAGTCTCACTCTGTCGCCCACGCTGCAGTGCAGTGGCGCGATCTCGGCTCACTGCAACCTCCGCCTCCCGGGTTCAAGCGGTTCTCGTGCCTCAGCTTCCTGAATAGCTGGGATTACAGGCGCTGGTCACCAAGCCCAGCTAGTTTTTGTATTTTTAGCAAAGACGGGGTTTCACCATGTTGGCCAGGCTGGTCTTGAACTCCTGACCTCAGGTGATCCACCTGCCTCAGCCTCCCAAAGTGCTGGGATTACAGGCTTGAGCCACCGCGCCCGGCCTGCTCTGCATATTTTTATGTCTGTATTCTGTGCATATTCTTCTCAGCAGATAATATAAAACTTCCACAGGGGCTCCAGACACTGGGCTTAATAGTCTTAAAAATATATATATATATATATATTTTTTTTTTCAGAAATATTTTCCAGTAGAGAACTAGAAATCATAAAAGAAAAAAATTTAGCGAGCGGATCACCTGAGGTCAGGAGTTCAAGACCAGCCTGGCCGACATGGCGAAACCCCATCTCTACTAAAAATACAAAAATTAGCCGGGCTTGGTGGTGGGCGCCTGTAATCCCAACTGCTCAGGAAGCTGGGGCAGGAGAATCACTTGAACCCGGAGGGCAGGGGTTGCAGTGAGCCGAGATCTTTGCACTCCAGCCTGGGCGACAAGAGTGAAACGCCATCTCAAAAAAAAAAAAAAAAAAAAAAAAGCCAAATAAAAATTGGATGGAGGCTGGGCGCAGTGGCTCAGCACTTTGGGAGGCCTGTAATCTGTAATCTTAGCACTTTGGGAGGCCAAAGCAGGCAAACTGCTTGAGTTCAGGAGTTTGAGACCAGCCTGGCTAACATGGTGAAACCCCTTCTCTACTAAAAATACAAAAATTAGCTGGGTGTGGTGGTGGTGCGCACCTGTAATTCCAGGTACTTGGGAGGCTGAGGCAGGAGAATCGCTTGAACCCTGGAGGTGGAGGCTGCAGTGAGCTGAGATGGCGCCACTGTATTCCAGCTTGGGCGACAGAGCGAGACTCTGTCTCAAACAAACAAAACAAAAAATTGGATGGATTTGGCAGATTAGACAGTTAAAGAATAAACTGCAAGATCGAAGAAGCCATTCAGAAAATAAGAGGGATACAGCAGGAAAGATACCAATCATATGGGTAATTGGTATCTTAGAAGGAAATTAAAGAGGTGAGGCAGAAATATCTGAAGAGCTAATGGCTGAGAATTTTCCAAAAGTGATGAGAAAAAAATCATGCCAAAGATTCAAAAAGCCTTACAGAGGCCAGGCGCGGTGGCTTACGCCTGTAATCCCAGCACTTTAGGAGGCCAAGGCGGGCGGATCACCACACCATCCTGGCTAACACGGTGAAACCCCGTCTCTACCAAAAATACAAAAAAATTAGCTGGGTGTGGTGGTGGGTGCCTGTAGTCCCAGCTACTCCGGAGGCTGAGTGAGAGAATGGCGTGAGCCCGGGAGGCGGAGCTTGCAGTGAGCAGAGATGGCGCCACTGCACTCCAGCCAGGGAAACAGAGCAAGACTCCGTCTCAAAAACAAAAACAAAAAACAAAAAACAAACAAAAAGCCTTACAGAAACCAAGCAGGCAGATAAATAAAAATAAATCAATACCTTGAAATCTCACAATAAAGCCATAGAAAAGATAAAGATAAAATCTCAAAGAAAGTAACCACCAATCAAGAATTCTATACACAGGGAATTCTATACACAGGGAAATTGGCATTCAGAAAAGAAGGTAAAATAAAGACAGTTAAGGACAAACTAAGAGGAAATCGTGCTAGGCATGGTGGCTCATGCTTGTAATCCCAGCACTTTGGGAGGACTGCTTGAGCCCAGAATTTTGAGACCAGCCTGGCCAATGTATTAAGATCCCATCTTTAAAGGAAAAAAAAAAAGAGGAAATTATTAGGTTTTGAAGGGAAGGCAAGGGTTAAAGACAGACAAGACAGACACACACACACAGAGGGAGGGGGGGAGGGGAGAGGGGAGAGAGATGGTGGCTTCAACAGCAACACAGGTTTATTGCCAGCAAAAACCCGTGGAGCGGATAACCAGTTTAGTGCCCGAGCTCACTGCCGCTTCCAGGCTGGGGTAATTATAGGTCTGGGCTGGATGGGTCTGGGCAGTATGGCTTGCTGCCTGGCAGGATGTGATAAGGATGTTCCCGCAGTCAGGCAGTTGGGCAGGATGTTTCTTATGGTCAGAGCCCCCATGGAATGTTTCACTCCGACCAGGGTCTGTGAAATGGTGGGGGGTTTATAAAATGGTGCAGCTAGGACTGAAATAATCACAAGCAGATCCACAGTAAAATAAATGTTCATTATTCAGGCACAAGGAAAACGAGCTCAGATGTGTCAAGATAAAATAATAAAAGGCTCAAGATCCAGTTAAAATCATTTTTTTTCTTTTTTGAGATGGAGTCTTGCTGTGTCGCCCAGGCTGGAGTGCAGTGGTGCGATCTTTGAAAATGTAAAAGTGTTATTCCTCTCACACACACACACACACACACACACACACACAATGTTTTTTGGAAAACATAGTGACGTTTTAGAAAAATACACTGTTTAACATCAAACGGGTTTATCATTTTAAAATAAATAAGTAAAAACATTTCTCAGTTGTAATCCCTGATAGACATAACCCACATAAACAAAATCTCTTTAGGGTCCTCAGCAACTTTTAAGAGTGTAAAGGGGTTCTGAGACAGAACCAGGTTTGAGAACCACTGTCCTATAGTAAAAATGTTTTAGAGTTTTAGATTTATAATGACTTATAACACTGCTGAGGACGAGAACAAGCATTTAGGAAAAACTTAAGGAAGAACATCATGGAGAGCTGCTTCAAGACAGAGCTTCTGAACTTCCAACTAGACTTGAGATCAATAGACTTTGCTATGTTGCCCAGGCTGGTCTTGAACTGCTGGCCTCAAGTGATCCTCCCACCTTGACCTCTCAAAGTGTCAGAATTACAGGCGTGAGCCACTGTGCTCAGACCAAGAGAGTTTTAATGTCTTTAGTTTCAAATCCAAAACACCCTAAGAAACGCACATCTTAAAAAAAAAAAACAACCAAATGTTTCTTTTTTTTTTTTTTTTTTTTTTGAGATAGAGTCTTGCTCTGTCGCCCAGGCTGGAGCACAGTGGCGTGATCTTGGCTCACTGCAAGCTCTGCCTCCCGGGTTCACGCCATTCTCCTGCCTCAGCCTCCCAAGTAGCTGGGACTACAGGCGCCCGCCACCACGCCAGGCTAATTTTTTGTATTTTTAGTAGAGATGGTTTTTCACCGAGTTAGCCAGGATGGTGTCGATCTCCTGACCTCGTGATCCGCCCGCCTTAGCCCCCCAAAGTGCTGGGATTACCGGTGTGAGCCACTGCGCCCGGCCAAAAAAACCTAAATGTTTAAGGAAAGGGCCACTCCAGCAGATTTATTCAAAGTGCAGAATGTTGCATCTTGTGGTAGGAAGGCTGGAGAAGACAGCAAGCTACTTCGAGCACAGCTTCCTCTGCTTTGAGGAGAGTGCTGCTGAATGGCACCAACACCATTTGTAACTGCTCTCAGCTGTTAGTTTCCCCTTTTTGGTGGACGCTCAAATGCTCAGTGAATGCAAATATGCAAAACCTTCCCAAAATACCATGGCTCACTAGGGGTTCAGTGGCCTTCCCATGTGTTCTGGCCTAGATGTGACAAGTCCATGAAGATCTATCTGATGTCAAGCTGTTTCTTGTTTCTTTTTTCTTTTTTGAGACAGAGTCTTGCTCTGCCGCCCAGGCTGGAGTGCAGTGGTGCGATCTTGGCTCACTGCAACCTGCACCTCCTGGGTTCGAGCGATTCTCCTGCCTCAGCCTCCCGAGTAGCTGGGATTACAGGTGCGCGCCACTACACCCAGCTAATTTTTGTATTTTTAGTAGAGATGGGGTTTCATCATGTTGGTCAGGCTGGTCTTGAACTCCTGACCTCACGATCTGCCCACCTCAGCCTCCCAAAGTGCTGGGATTACAGTCGTGAGCCACCGCGCCCAGCCCAAGCTGTTTCTTTTAACTCTGAACTTTGGACAGCAATGCAAGGTGAACTTGACCAAGTGAGTTGGGAGCACCGAGAACTACTGAATCAAATGAAAGGTGCTCAAAGCCATTCAGTCTGTGATGATTCAGAATGTTAACTAGTGTTTGGTCAGGAAACACTATGGCAACTTTCCAAATTGGCAAATTTCCAAAGAAGCATCAAGAGAGTATCTTTGGATTGCAATTAAAAAAAAAATCAAAACTCAGAAGGATTAGCTAGTAGCCCAAAAGATCAAAGAATATAGAAAATGCCCCCCAGAAAATGTTTTTGAAAAGCATCTTCCACTTAAAATCGTATTCATTGTGACATCAACAAAGGATGACAGCACACGGTAACAGCAACATCCTAGAAAAACAGGCCAGGCGCGGTGGCTCACGCCTATGATCCCAGCATTTTGGGAGGCCGAGGCGGGCGGATCATGAGGTCAGGAGATTGAGACCTTCCTAGCCAACATGGTGAAACCCCGTCTCTACTAAAATACAAAAAATTAGCCAGCCATGGTGGTGCATGCTTGTAGTCCCAGCTACTCCGGAGGATGAGGCAGGAGAATTGCTTGAACCTGGGAGGCAGAGGTTGCAGTGAGCTATCGCGCCACTGCACTCCAGCCTGGTGACAGAGCAAGACTCCGTCTCAAAACAACAACAAAAAACAAAACAAAACAAGTGTGAGTTCTGGAGTTGCTTCAAGTGGTTTCAATATATTTTGTAAAATTTTGAATTATGTCCTAGCCTCCACATACAGTGTGAAGTTACAATATTTTCCAATCAATGCTGAATGACATACCATGAGTCTCAATTACTTTATGATTACCTTTTTTCTTATTTTTTGAAAAACATGACTGGGCATGGTGGTTCATGCTTGTAGTCTCAACACTTTGGGAGGCCAAGGGCTCCCAAACAGATTGCTTGAGCCCAGGAGCTTGAGACTGGCCTGGGCAACACAGCGAAACCCCTGTCTGTACTAAAAATATAAAAAATTAGCCGGTGTGGTGGTGGCGTGAGCCTGTAGTTCCAGCTATGCAGGAGGTTGTGGTGGGAGCATCACCTGAGCCCCCGAAGTTGAGGCTGCAGTGAGCCCTGATTGCAGCACGGCACTCCAGCCTCAGCGACAGGAGTGAGACCCTGCCTCAAAAGAAAAAAGAAAAGCAAGTTATTTCTTCCTGGCAAAGTGTGTTGAGGCACTTTTGGGAACCTGTCGTATTTGGCAGAGTCCTAATATGAGGTCTAGAGCTCATTATGCCAGGATTTGGAGCCAGAACTCCTGGCTTAGTATGATTATGGGTTCAATTTTTGAGACACCAATAGCTCAACCTACCTGCCTGATTTCTGTCTACAGTGTTTTCAAACCGCCCTCTTATTTGCCACTGCTTGGGCTTTACACTGCTGATTAGAGCCATGCTCTCGATACCGTCTCTGTATTTGTTCACATGGCTCTTTCCTGAGAGCCCACATGGGCCAGATAGATCCTGCCCTGGCCAGTGAGGGGGACACACCCCAGGCAGGTGGCCATGTCTCTCTTCTGACCCTCCCTTCCCTTGCACACGTGGCTGCCTTCCCGTGCATCCTTTGTTGATTTCTTCCCGCGGCTCCTTCTTTTGGGGAGTTTGCTAGGGCTCTGTTCTCCACCCTCACTCTTCTAGAGCTCGGCCGGGACCACCTCAGCCTGTATCTTTGGTCCATGTGATCGCCTGGACCTCCTGTCCGCACCTGTTTGTGTCCAGCTGTGAGTCTGACACCGCCGCCTGAGACACCGGTTTAGGAAGGAAGATGAATTCAGTTATGATCCGGCTGCAAAGAACTTCTCCCAGATCCTCACCTCAGCCATCAGGGCCGCCTGCCCTCCCCTATAACCCTGGGTGGTCCTCCGTCTGGCGCATTCCCCCGTATCCTGCAGGGGTCTGCCTGGCGTTACTTTCTCCGAGACCTTCCTGACCTTCTTCTTGCCCCTCTCCCCCCATATTAGGTGCAAGGATGTCCTGGTACGTCTGACCCACGAACGCAAATCCCTTCTCTGGTTTGCCTTCCATCTCCTCACCCTGAGGTGCTCAAGAAACGTATGTAGGGTCCCGGTCCGCTCAAAGCGCACAAACCTCCGAGGCAGCAGCCTCTAAATAGAGAGGCCAGGGAGTGACCGGAGGGCATTTTCTTGTACACACAGGGGTTGCCACGGAACTCCCGTGAAACAGACTCCCGGGCCAGCCGCGGCGCTCAAGCTTCCCCTGAGGTCCTAGAAAGGCTCACCCTGGGCTCGCTCGGGGCGGCGGCTCCCGGCAGGCCTAGCGCGGCGGGGCGGGGCCGGCGGCACGAGGACCAGGCAGCGCGGGCAGCACGCGCCCGGGCCGGAGCCCGCCCACAAGGGCGCGCGGCGCGTTCTGATTGGAAGGCCTCGAGCGGGGGCGGGGCTTCCAGGGTGCGCTTCCGCCGTCGCCTGTTCCCGCCGCGGAGACCCGGCAGTTGGGGGATGCCGACGCCTGGGCCTTGAGGATGCTGCGGAAGCTCACCATCGAGCAGATCAACGACTGGTTCACCATCGGCAAGACGGTGACCAATGTGGAGCTGCTGGGCGCGCCGCCCGCCTTCCCGGCAGGGGCGGCCAGGGAGGAGGTGCAGCGCCAGGACGTGGCCCCCGGCGCTGGTCCCGCGGCCCAGGCTCCGGCTCTGGCCCAAGCTCCGGCCCGGCCGGCCGCTGCGTTCGAAAGGTAGGACGCGGGCGGGGCGGAGGCGGCTGGAGGGCGGCCGGGCGAGGCCTGGCGACGAGGGCACGGGCCATCCAGATCCTTCTCGCGAGCCCGTGCCCTCTCGCGGGGCTCCAGGGACCCCTGACCGTCCAGGGCGAGTGGTCACTACACAACCCGACGCGCGGCCCAGAGCGGTGCCTGTAAGGAAGCTGAGCTAGAGGTTTTTTTTTTTTTTTTTTTTTCAGTTCTTAATGTTTAACAGACTAGTTTTTGAGGCACTCAGGTTTTCAGGATAACGGAGCGGAGGGCAGAGGTCCCATAGGCCCCTTCCCTCCCAGAGTTTCCCCTGTGAGCATCTGCGTAAGGTGTGGGTATTTGTGACAGTCGGCGAACCTGCATCGCTGCGTCTTCGTCACCCGGAGGCCATCGTTACAGGAGGGTTCACGCCTCGTACTGGACGTTCTGTGGGTTTGGACAAACGCCTAACGTCACGCATTACAGAGTTCACTGACCTACAGATCTTCTCGGCCCCACTGTTCCTGCCTCCCTTTCCCTACACCACGTGGAAACCACTGATTTTTTTACTGTCTCCATAATTTTGCTTTTCCATACTGTCATCTAGTTGGAATCACACAGTATGTGTAGCCTTTTTGATGGGTTTCTGTCACTTAGTATTAGTATGCATTTGGGGGTTCCTCCATGCCTTTCCATGGTTTGATAGCTTCTTTCCTTTTAGCACTGATTAATATTCCACTGTCTGGATGTACCACAGTTTATCTCCATTCACCTACTGAAGGAGAGCTTGGTTGCTTCCAAGTTCTCCCCCCACCCCCCGAGATGGAGTCTCACTTTGTTACCCAGGCTGGAGTGGAGTGGCGCCATCTCGCCTCACTGCAATCTCCCCCTCCTAGGTTCAAGCGATTCTCCTGCCTCAGCCTCCCGAGTAGCTGAGGCTACAGGCATATGCCACCACGCCTGGCTAATTTTTGTATTTTTAATAGAGACAGGGTTTCACCATGTTGGCCAGGCTAGTCTAGAACTCCTGACCTCAGGTGATCTGCCCACCTCAGCCTCCCAAAGTGCTGGGATTACAGGCGTGAGCCACTGCGCCCGGCCTGCTTCCAAGTTTTGGCAAGGTTTTTGTGTGGACATAAGTTTTCAACTCATTGGGTAAATACCAAGGAGTGCAAATGCTGAATCTTTGTTAAGTTTCACAGACTCCCTCCTCATCTCACTATTCTTTAAGTAGCTACCATCAGTTACTCTGTTCACTTGATTTGGGTGGAAATAAAAAGCAAGAGTATATCCTCTGTTTTTAGAGGAAAGACGTAGATTTGGTGAGTAGAAACACCTGCTCCCTCTTCTCGCTCTTTAAAAAGGCCCTGGGAGAAGTACTTCCAGCTTGGAGTATCTCCGTCACTCTTGCTCAGTCCCCAAGTCCAGCACGCTTTACAGTTGAGAAGGTGGTTTTGTTTTTCTTTTTCTTGGTTTTTTTTTTTTGAGACATAGTTTCGCTCTTGTTGCCCAGGCTGGAGTGCAGTGGCGCAATGTTGGCTCACCACAAACCTCCGCCTCCTGGGTTCAAGCGATTCTCCTGCCTTGGCCTCCCGAGTAGCTGGGATTACTGGCGTGTGCCACCACGCCCAGCTTATTTTGTATTTTTAGTAGAGACAGCATTTCACCTTGTTGGCCAGGTCGGTCTGACCTTGTGGTCCACCCATGTCGGCCTCCCAAAGTGCTGGGATTCCAGGTGTGAGTCACCGTGCCTGGCTTTATTTTTCTTTTTTAAAGTTACTCTTGTTTGTTAGTCTTGTCTGATTTGATGGATAGGCCCAGACTCTGGGTCAAGCTTTCGTGGGTTGCTTCAAGCCTTTGTAGAGTTCTTTCAAGTACACCTTTGGGATCTTTGGTAAATTTGGTTCTTAGAGGCATAGGGGGGACCGAGAGACCCCTTGTGCAACTTTGGAGTTGCTGTTTGTATGTTTGCACACTTTACTTCCTTGAGCTACTCTGGTAAATGATCCTGTGGGCCGCCTCCCCTACTTAATGGTCCATCACTTACTCCTTAGTTTTAACGGTGTGAACAGCATTGCTATTAAATAACCCATTGTAATATTGGAAGTAAATTATTATTGACCTTGTCAGAAAGTATAGATTTAAGTGCCATTTTAAGCACTAAGGACAAGTTTTTAAGATTTCTAGTCCTTCATGGACTGAGACTTTTATAAAATCAATAAAAATGAATTTTCAGAGCAATGAAATGAAAAAAGACAACATACTAATCGCAGTTAAAAAATTATTAGATTCAATCTGGGTGTGGTGGCTCCCACCTGTAATCCCAGCACTTTGGGAGTCCAAGGTGGGCAGATCATTTGAGGTCAGGAGTTCCAAGACCAGCCTGGCCAACATGGTGAAACCCTGTCTCTACCAAAAAAAAAAACAAAAATTTGCCCAGCATGGTGGTTTGTGCCTGCCGCCCCAGCTACTCAGGAGGCTGAGGTGGGAGAATTGCTTGAGTCCCTGAGGCAGAGGTTGCAGTAAGCTGAGATTGTGCCACTGCACTCCAGCCTGGGTGACAGAATGAGACCCTGTCTCAAAAAAAAAAAAAAAATTCAACATATGTAAAATTACTTTGTGAAATTGATGTAAACATTTTAACTTCTGTATTTAACCAGTGACAGGCAATGTTGGTCTATGAGTAGTGCTAGTTTTGATGAAATTCTTCTGGAAGTAGCTTCCTGGGCTCTAGGTGCATATGTATTCAATGCCAGAGTTTCCAGCACGTAGCAGGCACTCAGCTAAATATAGCTATATTATTGAATCCGCACAACAACACTTTGAGGTTGATGGCTTTATCATCAACTGATTCTTTCATGATTTTGTAGATGAAGCAATAGGTTTTGGTGGTAAAGTGACTTGCCCAACTTCCTGTAGCAAATGGTGGTGATGGGAAGAATGACTCCCCCAAAGATGTTCACTGGAACCTGTGACTATGTAATGTTACATGGTGAAAGAGATTTCGCAGCTGTAATTAAGGTTACAGATCATAGGACAGGAAGATTAGCTAGATTGTCTGAGTGGGCCCAGTCTGATCACATGAGCCCTTAAAAGCAGAGAACTTTCTCAGGCTGGAGTCAGATAAATTTGAAATGAGAGATTTGAAATATCATTGCTCGGAGGGGCCACATGGAAAGCATGAGAATGGAATATGGGCAGCTAGGAGCAAAGACTGGATCCCACTTGACAGCAGGTAAGGAAATGGGTACCTCAGTCCTACAATTGCAAGGGACTGAGTTTGCAAGGGACTGATCCTACAATTGCAAGGGCCTGGTTTTGGCCAACAACCTGAATGCACTGCCAGTAGGGAACGCAACTCTGCTAACACCTTGATTTAGCTTTAGGAAACCCTAAGCAGGGGATCCAGTTGAGTTCACCTGGACTTGTAATTAATTTGCCTTGTTTGAAACTGCTATGTTTTTGCGATTTGTTGAGGCAGCACTGCATTAGGGTACAAATCTGGTGGCAGAGCTGGGTTCGGATTGGGGTGAGCCGACCTGTGAACCCCGCACGGTGCCTGGCACATAGTGGATACTTGGATACTTGTTGAATGTTATTTTTCCCAGTGAAGGAGAGTGTTGAGTGAGGCATTGACATTAGTGAGAGAACATTTGACATAGGGGAGGGATGGCTTTTTTTCTTTTTGAGACGGAGTCTCGCTCTGTCGCCCAGGCTGGAGTGTAGTGGCGCCATCTCGGCTCACTGCAAGCTCTGCCTCCCGGGTTCACACCATTCTGCTGCCTCAGCCTCCTGAGTAGCTGGGACTACAGGCGCCCGCCACCACAGCCGGCTAATTTTTTGTATTTTTAGTAGAGACGGGGTTTCACCGTGTTAGCCAGGATGGTCTCGATCTCCTGGCCTCGTGATCTGCCTGCCTCGGCCTTCCAAAGTGCTGGGATTACAGGCGTGAGGTACTGCGCCCGGCCGGGAGGGATGGCTTTTATAAGCATAGGGTATTGCACAGTTAAAATGTATTTGTTAGAGATAGTCACTCAATGGTAAAATTAGTGTACACCAAGTCACTGCAGTCCGGTCTGAGAGAGTGTTGTTAAATCAGCTTAATGATTAAATCAGCTTAAATCAGCAGAAGAACATGGGCAATTTTTTTTTTAATCAGCTTAATGAGTAGTGACCACCAGCATTAAAAAATAAATAGAAAATGCCAGACTACATCATAGGTAGTTCAGACAAGAATTGCCGGAGATGGTGTGGGCGCCTGTGGGTCCCAGCATGAATCTTGCTCATGCTGAAGGTGAGTAACACCTTACTCACGATGAAGGTGTTGCCGGAGTGCCTGTGGGGAACAATTTATAAATTTTGTTTCCAGTGATTTTTACGGATTTCCCCATGTCTCCTCTTCCACATGGTACTGTATTTTACTCTTTGATGGTGATTATTCTTTCTGTTATCCTTACATTCTCGTGTCTTCACCTTGGCATATGAAGAAGAAAACCTCAGTGGCTGTGATATACCATTTTGAGCATTCTCCAGTGTGTAGCACCAGCTTTCCTGTGGATTGCAGCCCATGGCTGGGAGCCTTGCGTCACTCCCAGCTTCCTTCTGCCTTGTGTTTCTTTGTGCTTTCTGCCGTGTACTTTCCTGTCTTCACAGCTCACGTTAACTCCTGGCTCATGAAGATCTTACTTAATTCTCGCTTTTGTGTCTTTGACTGTTCAACACCTTATTAAAATGTTCTTTGTCTTTGGGAAGCCTTCATCATAGGAAGCTTTCAGATTTCCACTATCTGGTGATTACTTTCTTCTAGTTCCCTAATTTATTTTATTTTATTTCATTTTACTATTATTATTTTAAAAAATATTATTTAAAAAAACAGACAGGGTTTTGCCATGTTGCCCAGGCTTGTCTCAAACTCCTGAGCTCAAGCAATCTGCCTGCCTCGGCCTCCCAAAGTGCTGGGATTACAGGTGTGAGCCACCGCATCTGGCCCAGGTCCCTAAGTCTTGGTTTTTGCACTTGTCTCTTACTGAAGTTGAATGCCTGCTGTATTGGGCATTGTGTCAGGTGACACAGGAAATGAGCCGTCTCGGCCCTTCTGACAGATGGGGGAAGTTAAGATCAGAGAAGTTGAAGTTTACTTTGTCCTAAGTCCACATACCTATTATATTGTAGAATGGGTGTGTTGGACTCCAAGGCATGTTGCTTTTTTCTTTTTGTCTTGTTGCCTTTTGGTATTCAGGCCTCACATAGATGTTAGTGTATGACTCTGTAACTCTCCAAGAATTCCTATTTTCTGTTCACCCACAAAATCCACTTTTTTTTTTTCTTGCTCTGTCACCCAGGCTGGAGTGCAGTGCTGCTGTGCATAGCTCGCTGCAGCCTTGAACTCCTGTGCTCAAGCAATTTTCCTTCCTCAGTCTCCCAAGTAGCTGGGACTACAGGCACGTGCCAGCATGCCTGGCTAATTTATTTTTTGTAAAGATGGTGTCTCACTATGTTGCCTATGCTGGTGTCAAACTCCTGGGCTCAAGCAGTCCTCTCCTCTGGGCCTCCCAAAATGCTGGGATTATAGGAATGAGCCACTGCCCTGGCCAAAGTCCACATTTTTAAGACCTTTTGGTCGTTTAACAGATTTCATTTATTCAGTAATTTTCCCATTGATTAAAAAAGTGCTGGTGCATGTTCTCTGTATGTACTATGTGCAGCTGGAGTAGAGTGTTTGAAAGGGAGAGAATAGGTGTGGTCACGGAGCTAACAGGAGATCAAGAGGTATGTCCTAGCCGAGCACGGTGGCTCATGCCTGTAATCCCAGCACTTTGGGAGGCCGAGGCGGGTGGATCATGAAGTCAGGAGATGGAGACCATCCTGGCTAATACAGTGAAACCCCGTCTCTACTAAAAATACAAAAAATTAGCCGGGCGTGGTGGTGGGCGGGCGCCTGTAGTCCCCGCTACTCGGGAGGCTGAGGCAGGAGAATGGTGTGAACCCGGCAGGCGGAGCTTGCAGTGAGCTGAGATGGCGCCACTGCACTCCAGCCTGGGCGACAGAGGTGAGTGGATTGAAGTGGGGCAAGGACAGGAGCAGGGTGGTCAGGGAAGAATCTCTTGATGTCCTCTGTGATGGTTAACTTTGTGTGTCAACTTGGCTGGGTGACAGTGCCCAGATATTTGGTCAGACACTACTGTGGATGTTTTTTGAAGGTGTTTTTTAGATGAGACTAACATTGCAAATCTGTGGACTTTGGGTAAAGCAGTTGATGCTCCTTGAGGTAGGAGGGCCTCGTCCAGTCAGTTGAAGACCTGAATGCAGCGAAGACTGATTTTCCCTGACCAAGAAGAAACTGTGTCAGCCGACTGACTTTGGACTCGGACTGCAACCCTTTCCTGGGTCTCCAGCTAGCTGGCCTATCCTGCAGATTTTGGACTTGTACCTCTATAGCTATGGGAGCTAATTCCTTAAAATAAATTTCTTTCTCCACATCTTGTTGATTCTGTTTCTTTAGAGAACTATGACTGACACATCATTCAAGCAAGAGATAGGATGGTGGCTTAGACCAGGCAGGTAGCTGAGAGTGGAGGATGTGGGGTGTGGTAAGCAATGGTGGCATTTGGGACATGTTCTTAAGCTAGAGGCAAGGACTCTGTAGCTGGAGCAAGTGTAGGATGTGAGTGGGGGAGCAATCACAGGTGACACCAAGGTTTCTGGCCTAGCAAGTGACAGGTGTTGCCTTCAGGTAAGGAAGGCGAGACTGCACGAGGAATTAGTTTGTGGGGGGATACCAGGATTGATTTTGAACATGTTCACTTTAAAATGCCTGTTAGACAGCAGTACATGTAGGTGGTCTGGAGTTGAGGAAGGAAGTCTGGCAGAGCTAGACACTGGGAAGTTTAACTTCGAGAATGATGAGATCCCTTAACTAGGATGTATCCTAGTGAGTGGGTGTAGAGAGAAGGGCCCACCTGGGGTGCTTCAGTGTTTATAGGTGGATGAGTTGCAGTGAGAAAAGGAGACTGAGAACAAGTGGTCAGAGGGACACCAGGTGAGTGAGGCCCACTTTAATCAACAGCTTGCTTAGTGCCCTGCACACGCATATCTTAACACTTTCATGGGAATGATTTTGTATATTATTTTTCCCACATAAGAACTTATTAAGGGTACAGATTATCAGGGAATCTCCACCTCTTGGTGCAGTACCTGACATAGTAGGAACTCAGATATTTGTTTGAATGAATGACCTAGGAGGTCACAATAATAATAATAATTTTTTTTTACAAGAGGGAGGGCAGGGCATTTGGTGAGTAGATAAGTGTGGCAGAGTGATGTTACCTATTTACCATGTGAAAATGGAAGCAAGGTAATTACTGGTGATAATTATTATTTTCAGATGGGGTCTCCCTCTGTTGCCCCACATGGAATGCAGTGGCACAATAACGTTTCACTGCAGCCTTGACGTGGGCTCAAGTGATCCTCCCTTGATCCTCCCAACTCAGTCTCCTGAGTAGCTGGGACCACAGGTGCATGCTGCCATGCCTGACAAATTAAAAAAATGTTTTTGGAGACATGGGATTTCACTATGTTACCCAGGCTGGTCTCAAATTCCTGGGCTCAAGTGATCTTCCCACCTTGGCCTCCCAAAGTGCTAGGATTATGGGCATGAGCCACCATGCTCAACCTAGGAGACCCCAGTTATTGAATGCTTACAATATGTCATGTCCTTATTCTAGACATGGTGAGAGTTGCTTCCTCATGCAGTCCTGTCTTGATTGAATCATAAATCTCTGTCTTACTCCTCAAGCCATGGTGGATTTTCCTAAGGAGTGTATCAGAGTGTGTATATGGGTATACAATCAAACAATAAAAATCACAATATCCTGGCAAGTGTACGATAAAATATTTCCAGAATATGGGTGCTTCTCACAGTTTACATAGTCACCACTCTAGACCAAACCACTGCTGTCATCTCTTGCCTGGATTATTGCATAAACCTTCTATGTTTGGTCTCCTGACTTTTCAACCTTACTCCCCAGTAATCTAGCACCTAGAAGAATGCCTGGCATGATGTAGATGCTTAGTTAATATTTGTTGAATGATGGCCTGGCATAGTGGCTCATGCCTGTAATCCCAGTGCTTTGGGAAGCTGAGGTGGGAGGATCACTTGAGGCCGGGAATTCGAGACTAGCCTGGGCAACATAGGGAGACCCTGTCTCTACAAAATATTAAAAAATTAGCCGGGTGTTGTGGTGCCTGCCTGTAGTCCCAGCTACTTGGCAGGCTGACTCAGAAGGATCATTTGAAGCCAGGAGTTCAAGGCTGCAGTGAGCTATGATTGCACCACTGCACGCCTGGGCAACAGAGCAAGAGCCTGTCTCTTTAAAAACAATTGTTGAATGAACAAATTCTTGAGTAAACCTTCACACCTGAGGTTCTTTGAGCACATGTGTGATCTCCTGTGGCATCGACTGCTGTTAGGATAAAATTTCATCTGACTCTGCATCTAGGCTTGGCGAGCGTTCCTCCATTGGGCATCTCCTTGTCTGCTGCTCTCGCTGTGCTCTGGTCACATTGGCATTTTTTCTGTGTCTTGAAGATAGCAAGCTAATTCCCACCTTGCAGCTTCCACACTGACTCTTCTGTATTCAGTGCTTCCCGTCGCTCCCTTCCCATTGCAGGCTCCTTTCTTCATTTGGGACCCTGTTCAGATACCTCCTTAGAGGAGTTTCCTGTGACCTCCGTAGCTAAAGCAGCCCTCCCCTCCCTTCTTTCCCAGTCTCTCTAGTCTTTTAAACAACTTTTTAACCTTCTCCAAGTACTGAACTCCTGCCTCCATCCAGTCTTGTTTGTGATAGCCAAAACCCAGCCCTTCCAGTTACCTTTGGATTGTGATTGTGTTTTTGGCCCCTCCCCCATCCCAAGGGGGGACCAGAATGATTCTGAGATTTCTGGCTTGTAGAGTTGAGTACATGGGTGGTGCTGTCATTTACTGAGATAGAAAATACTAGTTGATGAAATGTTTGAAGAATTATGCTTTTAGAGGGTGTGTGTGTGTATTGGTACTAGCTGGTTCCTTTCTTGAATTCTGTTTGTTCCTTTAGAACACAAAAAATTCTCTATGACTTTGGTTTTGAACATGTTGATTTTCTTTTTTTTTTAATTTTCTTTTTTGAATGGAGTATACTGAAGGATGAACATGTTGATTTTAAGTTGCCTGTGAGCATCCAAGAGGAGGTGTCACAGGCAATTGGTTCTGTGCATTTGGAGCTCAGAGCTCAGTTGGGGAAGGGACACGGCAGCCTGGATGTGAATCTCCTCTCTGCCAATGAGCAAGCCATTGGACGTATCTGAGGCAGTTTGCTCATCTGTCATATGGGGATAGTATCACCTACTTTATAAGGTTACGATGAAATGAGAATGCACTCGTAGTGCTTAGTATGTGCCTGGTGTGTAAGAGAATTACTTTAATATTATTAAATGGATTGGGCTGGCTAGTAATGCTACCTCGAGAGCCTATTATATGTCGGGGATTGTGCAGAATGCTTTTATGTGGATTCATTTATTCTTTCTATTCCCTAGCTAAATATTGTAGCTCCTGAACGAATGCTGCTTTTTCTTGATAAAACACACCTGAAACATTCCAGTCGTCCCCTTCCCACCTGTGCCCCATATATGTGTGTGTGTGTGTGTGTGTGTGTGTGTGTGTATATATATATATATATATATATATATTTTTTTTTTTTTTTTGAGATGGTGTCTCGCTCTGTTGCGCAGGCTGGAGTGCAATGGCGTGATCTTGGCTCACTGCAACCTCTGCCTCCCGGGTTCATGCCATTCTCCTGCCTCAGCCTCCCAAGTAGCTGGGACTACAGGCGCCAGCTACCATGCCCAGCTAATTTTTATATTTTTAGTAGAGATGGGGTTTCTCTATGTTGGCCAGGATGGTCTCAATCTCTTGACCTTGTGATTCGCCCGCCTCGGCCTCCCAAAGTGCTGGGATTACAGGCGTGAGCCACCGTGCCCGGCCCCCCTTTATATTTTCAATCCTGATTCCTTTGCCAGCTTTAGGTATTATAAATAGCCTAGTGTATAAAAACATGGATCTGTCACTATTCAGGAAGTTATTTGTATTAAAATTTCTATTTGATTTATAGGTTTTCCAGAAATAACTACAGTTTTAAATGACGTATACCAATACCCTCACAGGATATGAGTATTAGGTTTGCCAACAACAAAGTGAGAGATGGAAACTCAAAACTTAATATATTTTTCCTTTCTTTTTTCAAGCTTGGGTGGAAAATTAATTAATTGCATGTGGGTGACTTAGAGTGGCTAGGATTCGTTTTCATCCTGAACTGTCCATAGCTGCTTCAGTCACCAGAAGCTTTTTGCCGGGAGTTATTTCTCCCTGTCTGAATACAGAGGATGACCCTCTCTTGGAAGTGGTATGGTGTTGTCCAGTGGCTGCTTGAGGAGCCTTGGAGAGTGAAGGAAATGATTTGCATCTCTTCATGGCATATATTTCCTGGTATGTATGGTGGGATGACCAATTCTAGTACCGGGCTTCATATACAAACTTCACGTTCTCCTTGTTTCTTTAAATGAAAATTTTGTTCTCACCATTAAGGCACTGATATTTTCTTAAAACTCACGTTTGCTACTTACTGTATTCACTGCACAATAAGCAGTTGTGTACTTTTCGGGGCATTTATCTCTCCCACACACAGTTTCCACTCTAGGAAATCTTACAGTGACTGAAGAAGCCAAAGGTAGTATGTAGGAAAACTGAAAATCTCAGAGCAGGAATGAGAGGTGTCTTTATTTTAAATCTGCTTGGGACTGTGTTTGTCCTGTTAAACCCTGATCAGGTGGGTTGCATTACGTGATTGGGATTTAAGACCAAATAGAGGTCAGTTGAAAATGGTACACAAGTTGGCCAAGAACGCAGGGAGAATAAAGTTAGGAGGGTTTTTTTTTTTTTTTTTTTTTTTTTTTGTGGTGTATATTTAGTTCTAGTCTTTTTGAAAAAAAGTGTTTTTTTTTTTTTTTTTTTTTGAGACAAGGTCTTTCTCTGTTGCCCAGATTGGAGTGCAGTGGTGTGATCATAGCTCACTGCAGCCTTTAACTCCTGGGCTCCAGTGAGCTTCCTGCTTCAACCTCCTGAGTAGCTGGGACTACAGGTATGTGCCACCACACCCAGCTAGTTCCAATTTTGATACGTATATTTTTTTCTTTTTAGATGAAAGAAAACCAGTAAATCTTCAAATATAAAGTTATAATTAGGTTCCTTGGACTTAACTTTAAGAATGAATTGTATCACTTTATAAAAAAAATCTGACTAATGTATAATTTCCTACTTTTAATAAAGTTATGAAAAGCCAGATTTTGTATATTAAATATTTTGCTATTTCACCAGAGTATAAGTTTAAATTATTCACCAACAGTGAATGTTTTTCTTTGAGAGTAGCAGCTACTCATGTTGCTAAATCAGTCTATTTATCTTTACTGATAGAGCTGAGTTTTATTACACGTTCCCTTAATGTTGAGCTTAAAAGTACTGTGATTAAAACCAAAGCTGAGCGTTGGGTTAAAGCCCTGCTTCATTTTTAAACTGCATGATATTTTTTCCCTCACCGCCCTTCTCCCCATCCCCTGCTGAGAATGATCGTATAATGGGATGTTGACTTCTCATTTCTGTTATGTTGTAAAGATAGGATTCGTATTAATAATTTATTTAATTCTATATGTAGCTTCATTGTAGAATAAAAGTCAAGGTTAATATCTAAGTTTTGTACAGAATTTGTCAGACTTCATACTAAAGTTGCTTTAGTTCCTGTGAGGTGGGTTTGAGGTATAAGAAAATACTGCAAACATTTTTTCAAAATACTTAGGAAACATTTTAGTTAAAAGCATACTATTCAATGAAAACATAGCATGTTTAGAGTGGTTAAAAAAAGAACACTATTTAAAACATAGGCTACATCCACAGGATACTGACCTTGTAACAAAGAAAAACTTGAAGTCACATCACTTTTTCTTATTCTTAATATTAGGAGTTCTAAGGTGTTCATAAAAACCCCTCTAGTTGTAAGTAACTTAACTAGATGGGTGATAATATGGTAGGTTCCATATTCTGTGTGAGAACACTGGGAACCTGTCCTTTGTGTTTTTGTCTACGTAACTGGAAATGGTGGGTATTTCATCTTTGTCTGCCCTCTTGGAGCTGTCACCTTGGATCACAGAAGGAGCAGAGCAGTCCATGCTCCCTGAGTCCTCCAGGTCCTCTTGCTCACTCCCTCTGTCAGAGCTGCTTAGGAAGTCTTTCAGAACTTGCTTGAAGATGTAGACTATTTCCCATGGCAGTACATCATTTTCTGCCAAAACTTCTCGAAATCTAGAGGGGAAATGGTAATGAATATTCAGTTTAGAACATTTTTTGTTATATCTCTTTATCTCCAAAATACAGCTTGAATAATGTATACAAGTTACCCACCTTTTGAGTATTTTGCATGTTGTTTTAAAATTATGCTTCTAGTAAAGAAATTTTAAATGTAATTTAAAACAATTGCTCACCAGACATCTACACAGTTAAAGAATTTACATGATAGAATACAGTTTCTAGTCAAAATATATGAGGAACTTGGACTTAGCAGTAGCAGGAATCATAAGAGAACATAGTATTTTTACCTGCTGAGAATAGTTCCAGTTTGGCAAGGTTGAACTTGTGAGCAAAGAACTTCAAGTTGTCTTTGTTCAGTCACTGGGATAGTTGTGTGGGGATTCTGGTAGTTTCTGAGCCAGTTGTAATCCACACCTGTTTTTTTCACTTTTTGTTCATTTTCGATTTCTTGTATTAATCTCTCTCGCTCCTTTAGGTGCCATTTTAATTCCCGAAGCAGAGTCTTTGTCACTATGTCTGAGCCAGGATAGTGTGTGGGTTTGTAGGAATCGTTTTTGGGCCATTTCATCCAGCCAAAAAGTGGCATTTTTAGCCTATGGAAATATTTTCACTTGTTTATTTGCTCAAAATGTTATGTTCTTCTGAGCAAATATTTGTTTCTTTACAATAAATTTGCCCGAAAAGTGCACGATTTTTTTTCACATTTAGCTATGCAGGTCAAAATAAGATTAGAACATGGATTAACGTCTTAATTTTTAACTAGGTCAGTGGCAGAAACCAAGCTTTGAAAATGCTTTTATGTAGCTTAGCAGAAATTAGATATACAAAGTCAGAGATAACATATAGACTGAATGATATCCGAAAATAACACTAACACTTGCTGTGAAAAGTTCTTAAGAGACTTAAAATATTAATGTCGGGGCAAGTGCTGCCTACAGATACTTTTGATTTATGTTTTGGACAGAAAAGGTTTAAAGCTTACCTGTTAAGTTGATGGGCTGATGTGATGTTGCCAAAGAGTTGACTGAAGTTGGTGACGAAGCTGTGTTTCACTGGGACGTATCTTGCTCTCCTAGGTGTGTCCTCTGTAGAAGGAATGCGCCACCTTATTTACCCACCGAAACTGTATTTGAAATAAATAACTTTCTGTGTTAGGAATGAGGCTGTGATGTCTTCATTTGGAGAGAATGCTCATTAATTCACCTTGTAAGTAAGCTAGAAGAAATGACAAAAATAACTGACTATTTAATCTTCACAAGTTATATAATGGTCTGCCTTTTCAATGTAGCTCAGTCTATTTGAAAAAAATGCCAGCAGCTATAGATGCTGGTCCTAAATGCATTCCGACATGTCTTTGGTAGTGAAACGAAGAATGGTCGTCTAAAGCACCATAGATGCGCTCCGAGCTAGAGTGAAGACTGTCGCGTGATGTGATGCTTTGCTGTGCATAGCTGTAGGTCACAGTTTAGTGCTGTATTTTTATGCCTGTAGAGCTCTAAAAATAGCCACGTTGCTTTTATTCTTCAGCTTAACTTTCAGGCCATTTGGAAGCCGGGTCACTGTCCCCTCTAGTGAAAACAGGAAAAATAGATTAGACTTGACTATTTGCAAAACATACATTCTGAGAAAACTCATTGTAATTGAGTGAAATAGGTAAAGAATGCTGATGTGAATTATAATTGTGAAATATTTAGCAAATGTTACATTTTGTATTCATTTTGGTTTTTTCAAAATAGTTAAATTTGTATATTTAAGCAAGTTGAAATGCTAGGGGACATAATAAACAGCTAGATAACTTTAAAATATACTTTATAATCTCTGAAAATATGGTAATAAGGCAGTAATTGGTTGTCAGGGAAAAATAGAGGCATAAGAACATACAAAATTCTAAACAAAATCTTATAATTCATCGTAGAAAAATCATTTTCGTGTTTTTTTTTTGGAGCTGAGGATGAAAAACTTATATTTACTATTTAGGTGCATATTGGTTTGTAATGGTCATTATTGTGCTATTTCTTTTTTCTTTCTTTCTTTTTTTTGAGACAGAGTCACGTTGTGTCACCCAGGCTGTAGTGCAGTGGCATGATCACGGCTCACTGTAGCCTCGACCTCCTGGGCTCAAGTGATCCTCCCACCTCAGCCCCCTGAATAGCCAGGACCATAGGTGCATGCCACCACAGGTGCATGCTACGGCATGCCTGGCTAGTTTAAAAAAATATATACACACGCACATATGTACATACATATATGTTTTATATATGTACATATGTGTATGTATTTTATATATGTACATATATGTATATATACACATAAGTATATATACGCATATGTATATGTATTATATATGTATATATAAATATACACACATATATAATACACACATATATACACACACACATACATTTCTTTTTTTTTTTTTTTTGTAGAAATAAGGTCTCCCTGTGTTGCCCAGGCTGGTCCGTAAACTGGGCTCAAGTAATCCACCTGCCTCAGCCTCCCAAAGTGCTGGGATTACAGGCATGAGCCACTGCGCTGGCCTGTGCTAATTTCCTATGCAAGTGTTTGTCTTTTGCTAAAGAGTAGATAGTATAAAAGGTCTTTTACTCCCCAGTTCTCTGTGAAACGACTGCATAGTGGTTTTCCCTTTTATAGTATTTGTTTCTTCTGTTGCTTTTCCTTTCAAGTGAGCCATGAAGAGTAGACGTTGTTTACATCAGACTTGCATGTCATGCATGACCCAGAGTGACGTGTGTGGCCACCCTACAGCTCCTGTTGCTTAGATGTTAGAAAAAGCCAGATGTCAGGACTGATTATTGTCAACTGGAAGGTTTTCACATGACATTGCATATACTGTTAGGAGAAGGAAAGGAGTAAAGTTTATGATGACAGAAGTGTCCTACCAAATTTTATACTAAAATTACAGCGAATCTTGCCGCATACTCCTTTGAATAACCTCCTTGTTACTGCATAAATTTTTTTCCTCTGAAATGGTAACAAAAATATCAGAACATATTGGATATGGAACTTAAGCCAAATTTCTGTTCAAGGCCCTCTGCAGTCTCACATTATCCCTCCTTCAAGGCCCTCTACAGTCTTACGTTATCCCTCCTTACCTGGCTTGCTTTCTTGCTCGACCCTAGAGCACACCTTTTGTTTCAGCCAGGCCACGTTGCCCCCTGACGCTTGCCATGCTTACTTCTGATCCTTCAGCTTTGGTTCAACTGTTTTTTCTCTTCTGAAAAGCTGCTTCTTTGTGTTTTTCATGTATCCACATAGTAATTCTCTTTTTCATGGACCAGCTCAAATACCAACTGATTTTTTCCTTCAACCTGAGGGTCAATGTGAACATCTTCCTTGGCCCTTCTTTTCCTTTGAACTCTGATTTTATTTATCTTCACTGTTAAACTTATAGAAAGACTGGTTTGGTCTGTGTTTCTGTTCTCTCTCCACCCCGCCCCCCACCCTTTTTTTTTTGAGATGGAGTCTTGCTCTGTCGCCCAGGCTGGAGTGCAGTGGCGTGATCTTGGCTCACTGCAACCTCTGCCTCCTGAGTTCAAGTGATTCTTGTGCCTCAGCCTCCCTCGTAGCTGGGATTACAGGCGTGCACCACCACACTCAGCTAATTTTTGTATTTTTAGTAGAGATGGGGTTTTGCCATGTTGGCCAGCTGGTCTTGAACTCCTGACTTCAAGTGATCTGTTCGTCTTGGCCTCCCAAAGTGCTGGGATTACAGGCGTGAGCCACCGTGCCCGGCTTCTTTTCCCTTTTTCCTAATGCTTTCCAATTAGATCCTGCTGTGTCCTCTACTGTAATTGCTGGCTTTCAGTCACTTAACAGATATCTATTGACTGTCTGCCAGGGCCTGAATAGTTAGGGGCTGGGGTGTAGCAGTGAACAAGAAAGACCTAGTTCCTACTCCCAAGGAGCCAGCCTCCAAATGTGAAGACAAATATAAGTACACAAATCAGTAAGGTAATTATAGATGGTCATAATCTATTAATATACTTGGAACACTTCTCCCACTTAGAACTGGAGGTCAGAGAAGACCTTTTTGGGTAGGAGGTATCCTTTTAACAGAGATTTAGAGATCAATGAGCTAGCCACTGGAAGAGCTTCTTGAAGGCAATCTTCCTTCTCCACTTACTTGTTTGACACCTTTCTTGCCATTGAAACCATTACCAAAGACCTTTTCAGAACTTTTCTTACCACCTTAACTCACATTGAGTATACCTTCCTTTGAAGTTAATTGTGTAAACCAATTTTTCTAGTACTTAGTGTGTGCTACTTGCCTTACAGATTTTATTTTGTCCTGTCTCCTGAGATTATCAGATTGAAGTAGAGACCCAAATAATTCTCTGATTACAGTATTTCTTCTACTGCTGTGTAGATAGAGAACATAAATATTTGTAAGCAAAGGTAAGGAAGTATCTTGGATTGTATTTATCTTACATTATAATGAGTTGAAAAAATGAATTGTTTCTGATGAATTGCAAACTTCCTAGGATATTTTGTGTGGACGACATAAAGCTTAAGCTGTTAGGTCCTTTGCTTTTTGGTCATTGTCATAGTTTTCTAGTTTACACCTTGTTAGCTAAGTATTAAATTTTATAAGACTTAAAATGAAATAGGACCGTATCATGCATAATATATGTGTGTCTATGTAAAATTTTAAGATCTGTAAGGAAGTACATAAAAAGAAAAGTTTAGAAAGACAAAATTTTGGAACCTTGAAAAGCAAGCTAAGGAGCCAGACATAACTTTTTATATATTACAATCAGGGCTGCTTTATATAGTATTCAACAGCACTTGATTGCAATCAAAGAAGGATTTTTCATTGTGGGAAGACTCATATCTTTCTGTTTTTTTTTTTCTTTTTTTGAGACAAGGTATTGCTCACCTAGGCTAGAGTACAGTGGCATGGTCATAGCTCACTGCAGCCTCAGCCTCCTGGGCTCAAGAGATTCTCCCACCTCAGCCTCTCAAGTAGCTGGGACTATAGGCACGTGCCACCATGCCTGACTAATTTTTAAATGTTTGGTGGAGACTGGGTCTCACTCACCATGTTGCCCAGGCTGGTCCTGAACTCCTGGGTACAAGCAATCCTCCCACCTCAGCCTCCCAGTGTGCTGGGATTATAGGCATGAGCCACTGTGCCCAACCTGTTTTTAATTCATTTTGCTACTGAATTAAAAGTTCTGGGTTATTGATTCATTTTTCTTAAGGTAAAAAGTACATTTCTGTGGAGTTGTTCATATTAAAAACTCTCAACAAACTAGAAATAGAAGGAAACTACTAGCATAATAAAAGCCATATGTGAAAAGCCCACAGCTAACATCATACTCAATGGAAGATTGAAAGCTTTTCCTCTAAGATCAGGAACAAGGTGAGGTTGCCGCCTTTCACCACTTTTACTTAACTTAGTACTAGAATTTCTAGCCAGAGCAATCAAGGAAGATTAAGAAATAAAATGCATCCAAATTACAAAGGAAGAAGTAACATTATCTCTGTTTGCAGATGATATAATTTTATATGTAGAAACCCCTAAAGATTCCACAAAAACCTGTCAGAACTAATAATTGAATTCAGCAAAGTAGCAGTCTACAAAGTTAACACACAAAATTCAGTCTCATTTCTATACCCTAACAATGAACAATCTAAAAAGGAAATTACAAAACTATTCTATTGGTAATAGCATCAAAAAGAATAAAATACTCAGGGATTAACCAAAGAAGTGAAAGTCTGGACAATGAGAAGTGCAAAACATTGCTGAAAGAAATTAAAAACATAAGTAAATGGAAATACATCCTCTATTCATGGATTGGAAGACAATATTGTTAAAATGTCAGTACTACACGATGTGATCTACAGATTCAATGCAATCTCTGCCAAAATCCTAATGACTTTTTTTTCATAAATGGAAAAATCCATCCTGAAATTCATATGGAATGTCAAGGAACCCTGAATAGTCAAAACAATCTTGAAAAAGAAGTACAAAGCTGGAAGACTCACATTTCCTGATTTTTAAATTACTACAAAGCTACAATCATCAAAACAGTATGGTATTGGCATAAAGACGCATAGACCAATGGAGTAGAGAGCCCAGAAATAAACCCTCACATACATGGTCAATAATTTTCAGTAAGGGTGCCAACACCAATTAAGGGGAAAAGGACAGTTTGTTTTTTTTGTTTGTTTGTTTGTTTTGTTTTTTTTGTTTTTTTGTTTTTTTTTGTTTTTTTAGATGGAGTCTCTCTCTGTCGCCCAGGCTGAAGTGCAGTGGCGATTTCTACTCACTGCAAGCTCTGTCCCCCAGGTTCATGCCATTCTCCTGCCTTAGCCTCCCGAGTAGCTGGGACTACAGGCGCCCGCCACCACGCCCGGCTAATTTTTTTGTATTTTTAGTAGAGATGGGGTTTCACCGTGTTTGCCAGATGGTCTGGATCTCCTGACCTCGTGATCCACCCGCCTTGGCCTCCCAAAGTGCTGGGATTACAGGCATGAGCCACCGTGCCTGGCCAGGACAGTCTTTTCAGCAAATGATGCTGAGAATAGTGGAAATCCACAGGCAAAAAAATGAAATTGGATTACTACTTTACACCATATACAAAAATTAAGTTGAAATGGATTAAAGCTCAAAAGTAAGACCTAAAACTGCAAAACCCTTAGGGGAAAACTGAGGGCACAAACTTCACATCGTATGTGGCAATAATTTCTTGGATATGACACCAAAGGCACAGGCAACAAAAGAAGAAAGACAAATTGGACTTGAAAGATTTGTATATCAAAAAACTGAACAGTAAAAAGGCAGCTCACAAGATGGAGAAATATTTGCAAATCATGTATCTGAAAAGGGATTAATACATAGAATGTATAGAGATTTCCCAAAATGCAACAAGAAAAAAACAGATTTTTATTTTTTTAAGAGGGAGGGTCTCACTCTGTTGCCTAGGCTGGAGTGCAGTGGTGCAATCATAGCTCACTGCAGTCTCGACCTCCTAGGCTTAAGGGATCCTTCTGCCTCAGCCTTCCAAGTAGTTGGGACTATAGGTGTGCAGCAGCGTGCCTGCTATTTTTTTTTTTTATTTTTTGTAGAGACAGGGTCTTACTATGTTGCTCAGGCTGGTCTTGAACTCCTGGTTTCAAGTGATCCTCCCACCTTCACCTCCCAAAGTGCTGGGAGTATAGGCATGAGTCATTGCACCCGGCAAAAAAGTTGATTCAAAATTGGCAAAACAGGAGTTGGTGAGGATGTGGAGAAATTGGAACCCCTGTGTACTGTTGGTGAGAATGTAAAATGGTGGGGCTGCTGTGGAAAACAGTATGGTGGATCTTCAAAAAATTAAAAATAGAATTACTATATGATCCAGCAATTTCACTTTTGGGTATATACCCAGAAAAGTTTAAAGGAAGACCTTGAAGAGATGTTTGTACACCTGTGTTCATAACATCATTATTCACAATAGCTAAAACGTGGAAGCAACCTGAGTGTCCATATCCATAGAAAGGAGTATTACTCAGCCTTGAAAAGGAAGAAAATTCTGACATACGCTCTGACATAGATGAACCTTGAGGACATTATGCTAAATAAGCCAGTCACAAAAGGACAGATACTTTAGCCAGGCACTATGGAGTGTGCCTGTAGTTCCTTCTACTTAGGAGGCTGAGATGGGAGGATTGCATGAGCCCAGAAGTTTAAGGCTGCAGTGAGCTATAATTGCACCACTGCACTCCAGCTTGGGCAACAGAGCAAGACCCTGTGACAGAGTGAGACTCCATCTCAAAAAAAAAAAAAAAAAAATCCTTGAAAGGACAAATACTCTGTGATTCCACTTATATGAGATTCCCTAAAGGAGTCAATATCATAGGGCCAGAAAGTAGAATGGTATTTGTTGGTGGCTAGGAATAGAGGGAAATGGGGAGTTATTGTTTAATGGGTACAGAGATTGTTTTACAAGATGAAGATTTCTGGAGATGGATGGTGGTGAAGGTTGCATAACATGAATGTATTTAATACCACTGAACTGTACACTTAAAAATAGTTAAGATGGAGGATACCTTTGTTGAAAGAATTGTGAATAGCATGATTCATTTCTAGCAGAGGCTAAGTTTAGGACAGCAGCTTCCATTGAGAAGTCTTTCTGTGTCATGAATAGCATTTTAATGACCTCTTGGCTCACATAAGCAAACAACAGGGATGTATCTGCTATGAAAATCCATGAAGCAGGGGTCTAGATGAGATTATATGATGATGTCTTGCAATGTGTAATTCATTTTGCTAGTAGAAGAATTCTTTGTAGAAGTTGGCAGATTGAAGTGTTTTTCAGGGGAGTAAATCCTCCAAACAAAAACAATCCAAAATATAGTCAGTTCAAGTCCTGATTTTAGTTCTACTTTGACCTCTGATTATAAACAATTTCATGTATGTTCTTACTGCTTCTGGTTATGCCACCCAGGGAGTCGTGCAATATGCATAACACAATGGTCAACCTCATATATTTGTGATTGCAACAATAACTTTGAAGGTTATGACTCATGAAGACACAGAAGCTCTAAACGCTGGCTTTGCCAATTTATTTTATTTTATTTTTGAAACAGGGTCTCACTCAGTCGCCCATGCTGGAGTGCCATGGCAGGATCTCGGCTCACTGCAACATCCGCCTCCCAGGTTCAAGTGATTCTCCTGCCTCAGCCTCCCGAGTAGCTGGGATTACAGGCGCCCGCCCCACCACTGCACCTGGCTAATTTTTGTATTTTTAGTAGAGACGGGGTTTCAACATTTTGGTCTCGAACTCCCGACCTCAGGTGATCCGCCCGCCTCGTCCTCCCAAAGTGCTGGGATTACAGGCATGAGCCACCATGCCCGGCCAGCTTTGCCAATTTAAACAAATCAGGCCCTGCCCTGCCCTGCCCTGCCCTCTTCTGTTTCCTTCCTTCCCTTTTTTTTTTTCTTTTGATGGGCCCTGCCCTCTTTCCTTCCTTCCTTTTTTTTTTTTTTTTTTGATGGAGTTTCGCTCTTGTTGCCCAGGCTGGAGTGCCGTGGCGCAATCTCAGCTCACCGCAACCTCCGCCTCCCAGGTTCAAGCGATTCTCCTGCCTCAGCCTCCCTAGTAGCTGGGATTATAGGCACGTGCCACCATGCCTGGCTAATTTTGTTATTTTTAGTAGAGACAGGGTTTCTCCATGTTGGTTAGGCTGGGCTTGAACTCCCGACCTCAGGTGATCCAACTGCCTCAGCCTCCCAAAGTGCTGGGATTACAGGCATGAGCCACCGCATACGGCCGGTTTCTATTTCATAATCAAATAAATGTCCCTTCTTCCACCACAATGATTAAACTATGTATTTGGTTCCAGGAGGTATTTTCTTTGTCAGTTATTGTGCTGAGCAATTTAATCTTGAATTTAGAAACTAATCTTCTTATGAAGAACACAGGAAGATGACGCCAGGTCTAGGACTTGGAAGTCTGCATTATGGAAGGATATGGAAATGTGACATTTGATCACGGGAGGTTAGAGAGAATGTTAGAGGTTCAGTCTAGTAAATAATGGACCAGATACACTATGTGAATGAAATATTGTGTACCTCATCTATTTGCTCATCAAACGCTTAGCAAAAACCGCATGTGTGAAATGTGTCAGAGTCAAAATGGAGTCATTAATGTTAAAACCCTGACGAACAGAGCCAGGGAAGGCCATGAAGAGAGGAGTCTCACACTTGTATGTTTTATAACAAAAAAGACTCTACAAAACCCACAACCTTGCACAAAGGCCATCACAACCTTTCTAAAAGAATATTTCTCCAAGGACATCTGCCCAGCCACTGCTTGACCAGCTTCAGACTAGCATCACCCTGTTTGTGATCTTTGTAGCCAAGGATAATTATTTCAGAACAATTGTGTACTACTAATTTTTCCCTTTAAAACCTTTGTCTTTCTTTACTTCCCTGAATACACAAATCATTTACTGTGCTATGTGTAATTCCCATCGCAATGCTTTATTCCCAAATAAAGATCTTTCCTTGTTAAAAAACCAACAAAAAAAATCCATCAATTTTTCAGAGAGTGCCCTAAACACAATTTTATATGCCTCACTGGTTGTTAGGTTATTCCTGCACTTGACTTTATCATTGTTTACTACTAGTAAAAAGCAGCATTGCCAAATAATCCCTGATTTTCCCCTAAAATGATGTTAAGCTTTTTGAAAAGTTCAGGTTAAACTTACTGTTGTTAGATTAATGTATTTGTTGCTTCCCTTTATCTGGAATGTGTCATTAGCTTTTTTATTTTAACCCCCTTTAATTCTTAATTCCATGACTTAAGGTTTGAGAGCTAAACACTGGGACTTCTGGATAACACACTGATAGTTTGCATAATTATAATCGGCATTGTACATAGAAAGGATATGGCTACCTTTTGTTAAATCTGCACTTTCTAAATATCAAAAAAGGGAAATGAAGTATAAATTTTTGTATAATCTGTTTGAAACATTTTATTTGCTTAATATTAGGGCTTTGCCCCTTTCCTGTAAGTCTCTTGGGATCCTGTGTAGAAGCTGTTCTCATTAAACACCAGTTAAGTCCATTCTCTGGTACTAGCTACTAATTCAGTTTTATATTCTACTTCACAATTTAAATAAACTGAAATATTTCTTTTTTTTTCTTTTTTCTTTTCTTTTTTTTGAGACGGAGTCTTGCTGTGTCGCCCAGGCTGGAGTGCAGTGGCGTGATCTCGGCTCACTGCAAGCTCCGCCTCCCGAGTTCACGCCGTTCTCCTGCCTCAGCCTCCGGAGTAGCTGGGACCACAGGCGCCCGCCACCATGCCAGGCTAATTTTTTTTGTATTTTTAGTAGAGACGGGGTTTCACCTTATTAGCCAGGGTGGTCTCGATCTCCTGACCTTGTGATCCGCCCGCCTCGGCCTCCCAAAGTGCTGGGATTACCGGCGTGAGCCACCATGCCCAGCCATAAAAGGAAATATTTTTTAAAAAAAGTAGTTAAGATGGCAAGTTTTATGTTATATATATACACGTATATATATATATGTATATACGTGTATATATGTGTATATATGTGTGTGCGTGTGTGTGTATATATATATATATATATATATATATATATTTTTTTTTTTTTTTTTTTTTTTTTTTTTTTTTTTTTTGAGGCAGAGTCTCGCTCGTTCGCCCAGGCTGGAGTGCAGTGGTGCGATCTCAGCTCACTGCAAGCTCCGCCTCCCGGGTTCACGCCAATCTTCCTGCCTCAGCTTCCCGAGTATCTGGGACTACAGGCGCCCGCCACCACCCCTGGCTAATTTTTTGTATTTTTAGTAGAGACGGGGTTTCACCGTGTTAGCCAGGATGGTCTTGATCTCTTGACCTCGTGATCCGCCCACCTCGGCCTCCCAAAGTGCTGGGATTACAGGCATGAGCCACTGTGCTCGGCCTTATGTTATATATATTTGCCACAATAAAAAGATTGAAAAAAATGCAGTTAATATTTAAGGAGAAACTGATATTGAATTTCTTTTTTTCAGTATTTTAATTAAAATACTACTGCATTTACCTTTTAAAGTTAAAAGTCACATTTCTATGCGTTTCATTCTTATCTTAGTGATTTATAGGAATTCTCTCTCTTTTTTTTTTTTTTTTTTTTTTTTTTAAAGACAGAGTCTCACTCTGTCGCCCAGGCTGGAGTGCAGTGGTGCGATCTTGGTGTACTGCAACCTCTGCCTCTAGGTTTCAGGCAAATTCTCCTGCCTCAGTCTCCCGAGTAGCTGGGATTACAGGTGCTCGCCACCACGTTGGGCTAAATTTTGTATTTTTAGTAGAGATGAGGTTTCACCATGTTGGCCAGGCTGGTCTCAAACTCCTGACCTCAGGTGATCCACCCGCCTCGACCTCCTAAAGTGCTAGGATTACAGGCGTGAGCCACCGTGCCCAGCCAGGAATTAAAGTTTTGCTGCAAATGTTTTCTTTCAGATGATCACCTGCTCCCCTTCACCTGGTCAGAGCCATGCTGTTAAACTAAAAGTCAGATATTGTTATTTCTCTCTCTGCTCAAAACCCATCTTATTCAGAACAAAAGCCAAAATCTTTATAATTACTCCCAGCTCCTCCCTGATACTTCCAGCTCTTCTCCATACCCTTCTGCTCCCTACCCTCCATTTCTCATCATCCTCTTCCCGCCCCCTCCTGTGGGAGCCACCCAGGCATCTTGACTCTCTCAGCTGCACCTGGTACACTGTTATTGTTGAGTGAATTAATGAGTAAATGTCAGGCAAACAGTAACCAGAGGAATGCTGATATTTTGGAACAGGTAAAAGTTGGCTTTGATGCAAACAGCATTTTATTAAAGTGTATTAGACAGGATTCTCCAGAGAAACAGGACTAATAAGATATATATAGATCTGTAAGAGGGGGAGATTGGTGATGACACTTGGTGCACGTGATTATGGAGGCTGAGACGTCTCACTATATACCTTCTGCAAGCTGGAGAAGAAGGAAAGTTGGTGGTGAAATTCAGTCTGAATTTGAAGGCCTGGGAACCAGGGTAACTGATGCTGTAACTCCCAATCCAAGACAAAGCCTGAGAACCTGGGATGGGAGATGGCTGGTGTGAATCTCGGAGCCTGAGGGTCTGAGAATCAGGAACTCTAGTGTCCCAGGGCAGGAGAGACTGGATGTCCCAGTTCAAAAAGAGAGTATTTACCCTTCCTTATCCTTTTTGTTCTGCCCGGGTGGACTCTCAGTGGACTCGGTAATGCCCATCCATGTTACTGAGGCAGGTCTTCTTTACTCAGCCTACTGATTCAAATGCTAACCTCTTCCTGAAACACCCTGACACAGCCAGAAAAAATGTTTTACCAGCTATCTGGGCATCCCTTGGCCCAGTCAAGTTGACATAAAATTAATCATTACATAAAGTTTGTCTCAAATTTCAAGAATCAGTATCATATAGTCTCTTTGACAACAGTGCATTTAAACCAGACACTGATGAGGAAAACATAGTTGATAGCATATAATACATATCACAATTGTCTTTTTTCACTTAATATTCTGGACATGTTTATCTATTGGCATGAATAGAGCCATGACACTTTCAAAATGATACACATTAACTAAGGTATGCCATTGTTTTAGCTTGTCCCCTGTTGGACATGTTTTTCAGGTTTTAATTATTACAAATATTATGAAAATATACCCTTCCTCCCTGGAATCCTTAATAGCGTCACCCGATTTTAATTTTGTCCACATCTCTAATCAGCATCTTACGTATCTATTATGTCTCCTTCACAAGAATGGTAGTTTCATGTGGGCAAGGACTTTGTTTTGTTTCCTGCTATATCTTTAGTGTTGGAGACAGTGCCTTTTGTGCAGTAGGTGTTCAGTAAGTATTTGCTAAACAAATGAATGTTTCCATGCATGTCTTTGCACGTGCTTCGTTTACATGTGCTGATGTTTAACAAAGATTCTGAGGAAAAGTTGGATTGTAGGAGACGTGTGTTTTAAGTTTTGGTTAGTTTTTAGTTTTTATTTGATTTATTTTTTTTGAGATGGAATGTGGCTCTGTTGCCCAGGCTGGAGTGCAGTGGCACCATCTTGGCTCACTGCAACCTCCGCCTCCTGGGTTTAAGTGATTCTGCTACCTTAGCCTCTCGAGTAGCTGGGATTACAGGGACCTGCCACCACACCCAGTTAATTTTTGTATTTTTAGTAGAGACAGGGTTTCACCATGTTGGCCAGGCTGGTCTTGAACTCCTGACCTCAAGTGATCCGCCCGCCTTGGTCTCCCAAAGTGCTGGGATTACAGGCGTGAGCCACTGTGCCTAGGCTGTTTATTTTTTTTTTGAAACAGGGTCTCGCTTTGTTGCCTAGGCTGGAGTGCAGTGGCATAATCTTGGCTCACTGCAACCTCCACTTCCTGACTCAAGGGATCCTCCAGCCCCAGCCTGCTGAGTAGCTGGGACCACAGGCATGAGCCCACACCCGGCTCATTTCTATATTTTTTATAGAGATGGGGTTTCACCATGTTGCCCAGGCTGGTCTCGAACTTCTGAGCACAAAGTGATCCAGCCGCCTTGGCCTCCCAAAGTGCTGGGATTACAGGTGTGAACCACCATGCCTGGCTGTTTTAAGTTTTAATTAGCTGATTTCAGCTACTCAGGAGGTTGAGGTGGGAGGATTGCTTGAACTTAGGAGGTTGAGGTTACAGTGAGCTATGATCACAGCACTGTACTCTAGCCTGGGTGACAGAGAGAGACCTTGCCTCAAAAAAATGATACTGCAAACTACCCTTCAGAATAAGTGGTCATACCCATTTACCATAAATGTATCTCTCCTCATAAATATTCTGAAAATATTTGCTCTTTTTGCCAATTTGATGGGTGAAAAAATGGTTTGTCATTGTTTTAATTTGCATCTGCCTGGTAACTGAGTTTGAGTGTATATTCATTTGTTTATTGACTATTTGCATTTTTTCCTGTGACTTAATGTGAAAAACTTGTCTAGTACACAAGGGTTTCTTGGCTTTTTGGAAATAGTATACTAACTTTTACTATTCTTTTCAGGTCACTCAGCCAAAGGAGCTCAGAAGTAGAGTATATTAACAAATACAGACAGCTCGAAGCACAAGAGCTTGATGTGTGTCGCAGTGTCCAACCAACCAGTGGGCCAGGTAAACAGGTCTCTTTAAATATTTTAGATAGGATGCATGAGTGGTTCACATGCTAAAATATTAGGTTCATAGTGCATGCCTGTAATTCCAGCTACTCAGGAGGCTGAGGTGGGAGGATCACTTAAGGCCAGGAATTTAACACTAGCCTGGGCAACATGGTGACACTCTGTCTCTACAAAAAATAAAAAAACTAGCTGGATGTGGTGGTGTACATCTGTAATCCCAGCTACTCGGGAGGCTGAGGTGAGAGGGTCACTTGAGGCTAGGAGTTCAGGTTCATCCTGGGCAACATACGGAGACCCTCTCTTTAAAAAAAAAAAAAAAAAAAAAAAAAAAAAAAAATATATATATATATATATATATATATATATATATATATAATTATTAGGCCAGGCGCAGTGGCTCATGCCTGTAATCCCAGCACTTTGGGAGGCCGAGGCAGGTGGATCACGAGGTCAGGAGATTGAGACCATCCTGACCAACAGGGTAAAACCCCGTCTCTACTAAAAATACAAAAATTAGCTGGGTGTGGTGGCGTGTGCCTGTAATCTCAGCTACATGGGAGGCTGAGGCAGGAGAATCACTTGAACCTGGGAGGCAGAGATTACAGTGAGCCAAGATCGTGCCACTGCATTCCAGCCTGGCAACAGAGTGAGACTCCGTCTCAAAAAAAAGAAAAAATTATTAGAAGCCTTTAAGAAATATAGTGGCGAATACAAAAATTAGCCGAGCATGGTGGTGCATGCCTGTAGTCCCAGCTACTGGAGAGGCTGAGGCAAGAGAATCGCTTGAACTGGGAGGCAGAGGTTGCAGTGAGCTGAGATCATCCTAAATAGTCTGTTCTTCGGAAGACTAATAATGGTTTCTTACCTTGCTATTAATTAAAACTACTTTTTTTTTTTTACAATAAAGATATTAAAATGACATTTTAAACAATGCAGAAATGTATAAAATAAAAAAGTAAAAGGTCCTTCTTAAATTCCCAGTTCCCAAGAGTACAACTGTTCAGAGTTCACCGTTAGTTACTTTCTGTGAGTATGGAGTTTTTTTCTGAGCAAATTATCTTACTAGCACCAGGCCCTATTCATATGCTAGAAGTTATCTTTTGATTTTTTTTGCTTTATGAGAGGTCATCTGTCATAGATTTCTGCTAGTTCAGTTGAGAAGCTCTGCCTCCTGTCCTGCCATCCTGCGTATTAGTGTGCTCAGAGTCGGGCACAAATGTGGGTTCAAGTAACACTTTCTTTTTTAGCCTTTTAAAAAGTATGAAATACAGTCAATACATAATAGTAGATTAATCCTTATCATTCTTGGGATTGATTTAGGCTTCTTGACTATACCAATTAGTACCTTTTAATTAGTCTAGGAAAATTCTGAGCCATCATCTATGGCCCACTCTTTCATTTAGTTTTGTGTTTTTCATTTTTTTGGTCAGTGTGCTCTGTTCTGGTTAATTTCTGCTAGATCTATCACCTTAAGGTAAAAGCAGCCTTTGGTTGTTTGCCTCCCTTTCTGTGTTCTTGCCTCATCACAGGCTTTGGCCTGATGTCTCCTTGCTATTTCATCAGCCCTTTGGTGCTTTTAAGGAGAGGTTTGTGTATTTCATCTAACATCTTTAGTTGATCTCAGGAAGGAGATTTGTCTGAACAACCCAGTGTATTAACAGAAGTGAGCATTCACAGTGTATGTTATCTCTGGTCCAATTTCTACTTATGCTAAGAAAAGTACAAAGTTGTACGTATAAGAATGTTTATTGAATTGTTACTTAATCTATGGGAAGTCTTAAGAATCTCCTATATGCCAGTGAACAGAGGATTGGTGACTTTGGTCTTTTGTACAAAGGAAGAGTACTGTGCAGCTTTGGAGGTAGGAAGTAGCCGTATGTGTTATTGTGGAAAGAGAGCCATCATCTAATACTTCTGTTTGGAAAGCACATTAGTTAGTTTATAGATGACTCTGTGTGATGTGATCCTTCTTGTCACACTCACGTACTGGCCCAGGGGCACAGGCAGCAGCCCGGCACACCCTGCGTGCTGGGCCTGTAGCGTGCCGGATGGATTACCACTCTTTAGGACTAGCTAGATTACAAATGAATGCCTGAAACTCGAAGTGTCTGTTCTCATACTTTTAAGTTCATATGTGAAACTCTCTTTGCTTTCTTTATGCATGGTATCATAATATATTTGGGGCTTTTCTCTGGGCAGTCGGATCAACTATGGCTTTGGCTATTTATGGAGGTTTGGGCTACTTAGCCACTGACATTTATCAAGGTGTGTTCCAGGGACTGTATGAGACAGCGAGAATATGACAAGTAAAAAAGACTTTAACTCTGATCATCTCTGATCATTGTAGAGATGATCATTTAGTCATCCAGTTACACAAATAAATGCTTTTTGGAAATAAGTTATCTGAAAGCCAGCTCTATGGGGGTGTAAAACAAGGATTTGACTTGGGCTGTGGTGTCAGGAAAGTAACAGTTGAGCTTTGATCTGAAGGGTGAGTGGACCTTACTGAGGCAGTGTGGGGGTGCAGGGAGGGAAATGTGTGCAGAGGCCTTGTGCTGGGAGGAAGCCTGGTATTCCAGCCCTGAAAGAGGGGCCAGTGCTGCTAGGGAGTAGACAGTGGGTGTGGGAGGGCTGGGCAGGGTCAGCTGGAGGCTAATAGCCTCCTAAAGAGGTCCATGTTCTAATCCCCAGGACCTGTGAATATATCACCTTCATGGTAAAGGGGTCTTTGCAGATGCAAATTAAGGATCTTGAGATGGGAAGATTTTCCAGGTGGGCCTAATGTCATCACAGGGTTTTTCCTAGAGGGAAGCAGGAAGATCAGTCAGTAGTAGATGTGACAACAGAAGTCATAGGTTGGAGTGATACAAGGAAGAGGCCATGAGCCAATGCAGGCAGCTTCTCCATGGCTGATAAGGCAAGGGAATAGATTCTTCTTTACAGAGCCTCCGGAAGGATCCAGCAGCCATGCCAACACCTTGTCCTTCTCATCTTTGAACCTCTGCTTCCAGAACTGTAAGAGAATAAATGCATGTTTTAAGCCACTAAGTTTGAGGTAAAATGTGACAGCAGCAGTAAAAAACTAACACACTTGTATTGGATGAGGTTGGATGAGATAGGCAAGACTAGTAATAGGGCCTGTGGGCTGTAACGAAGAGTTTTGGTCTTAATACTCAGAGCAGTGGGAAGGTATGAAAGTTTCCATGCTTTTCTTGGGATGACTGTGAAGGGAGGAAGAGGGTGTCATGTGTTTAGATTTGTGTTTTACAAAAAGTGCTTTGGTCATATTTTTGAGAGTTGATTGGAGGGGGCCAGAGTGGACCTGAGGAGAATTGGAGGCATTGTCCTAGTCCAGGTGAGACTTGATGGTGTCTTTGACAGAGGATGGCAGTGGAGGAGGAGAGCCAGTTGAAGGACAAACCGGACAGGAATTGGTGATGCCTTGGACACAGGGTGAGGGAGGAGGCCACAGGAGGCAGAGAGGTGCTGTCCACTTCTTTTTCCTTGAGATGAGGTCTTGCTATGTTGCCCAGGTAGGCCTTGAACTCCTAGACTCAAGTGATCCTCCAGCCTCAGCTTCCTGAATAGCTGGGACTGTAAACATGTCACCGTCATGTCTGCTAAATGTTTTGAAGTGTTGAAGTGCCTCTGGAGCACTGAAGAAGTAAGGTCAGGTTATCGTGTGTGTGTGTGTGTGTGTGTGTGTATGTATACATACACACACACACACACAGACACAAAGCTATTTCTATGTCTATTTCTATTAAAACCATGAGATTACACTGATGCCTCTAATTCCAGTCCAGTGCCACAGGTTTCAGCATGAACATTTTGTTATATCCAGTTATAAAATAATTTGATTCAAAACACTTTTGATTTTGGCCTGATACAGGTGTTATTTCACTTATAAGTATTAAAAATTATTTCTAAATAGAAATCCAAGGACACCCATTCAGTGAATTTCTATCGATTACAGTAGAATCATTTTACATGGTTAAAGATTAATCATTTTTTAAAAACTGAGATTTATTTGCATTGATAAATGAAATCTTTCCTTACAGTGTGAGCCTAGTTCTAGGTTGTCGACTCCTGAAGGGTTCTGTTGCTTTCACACAACAATTTGAATTTGTCCTGGGATACAGTCTTTAGATTGTAGTTAAATTCCACAGTGCTGCCTCCTTTTAAATGTGGTGATATATTTAGTGGCTGTTTTCATCCTCCTTTTAGCTTTTCTTCTGGTTTTAAGAGAATGGCCTATGTGGAATGTCTAATAACCGAAAGAGAAACATTATTCTTCCTTCAAGTTAATTTTGTATTCAGAATACTAGTCCATATTTGGAGAAAGTCATATATAATTATCTATTTGGAAGATTTAATTTTATGGTTACATCAGTAATCCAGTAATTAAAATTATTTTCTGTAATATATAGTGTGTAGATTTGAAGATAAGTCTTAAGTTCACCATGTGAACTGACATACTTACCAGTTAAAATTCCTTACATGCTGTTTAGAACCTCTAGGTGCTGAACTTTTTGGTTAGATTTCATATTTGGTTGATGGTGATATAGTGATATGTCTTAGTGAAGAGAACTAGCAATTTTTATGGCTTCCAGTTTTCCCCAGTTCATGTAAAACATTGTGTTGTTAATCATGTAGGATAAAGAGACAGCAAGAAAATAAGAATAGTCAATTTTAAGGTTGAGCTGGTCCTCATGCCGTTTTTGGATTTTTGCTTTGTTGTATGTAGTTTGTTGATTTGCCTTAAATTATCCGTGATGGATTTCCTTCTTATTCTGTTGCTGATGCAAAGGTGCGAGAGCCACACAGCTGGGAACATTTCTGCTGTTTGGTTTCCTGTCTGCCCTTTGGCAGTGTACGCGGAGGCAGGACTTGATTTGTGCTGGGTCTGCTTCAGCCAGTGACCTAAAAATGTCAGCTTGTGTTTTGCGTTACATGGAGAAGGGGCTATGGTATAGACAGTACCGTTAGGACTTCTGGCATTTTTTCTTGTAAAATTTCTGTCTTTAAGTAGCAGTCTTCAAAATGCATGTAATCAAGTAATGTAAGCCAATATTGTCTAAGTAACAGGGCTTGTTTAGCGGCATGTGAGCCAGGGCTTGAAGTCTTTTAGCAAAACGAACGTGGCTGCAGCCTTTTTCGTCTTTCTAAAAGAATCTTTGTCACCTTCTTTCCCCTTTGAGTAGCTCTTCCTCAGCTTCTTACTCCCACCCTGTTCCTCACTAGAATACTTGCCTCTCCCTTTGTCTGCATGCTGTGTCTGGGCTCAGGGCCTTCTTTCTCTCAGTCCAGTTCACAAGGGCCATGGGGATTCTCTTCCCCTTCTTTCATTATGTTCAAGAAGGCCTAGGTATATTAACTGGGAAAACAAGAAGGCATCAGTAATTACCATAGCACTGAGAAGAGGAATGGAAGGAAAGTGAGACGTGATAATGGAAAGAAAATCCCTGTTTTAGTAAACTTGGCAATCACTAGTTAGGCTGATTAGAAGATTAAAAAGCCATAGGTCAGGCGTGGTGGCTCATGCCTGTAATCTCAGCAATTTGAGAGGCCGAGATCAGGAGTTCAAGACCAGCCTGACCAACATGGTGAAACCCCATCTCTACTAAAAATACAAAAATTAGCCGGGTGTGGTGGTGGGCACCTGTAATCCCAGCTACTCAGGAGGCTGAGGGAGGAGAATCGCTTGAACCCAGGAGGCAGAGGTTGCAGTGAGCCGAGATCGCGCCACTGCACTCCAGCCTGGGGGACAGAGCAAGACTCTGTCCAGAAAAAGAAAAAAGAAAAAGAAAAAAGGAAAAAAAAAAAAGCCATATCGGCAGGACAGCTTTCCTGAGTTAGGGGTCACTAATATTTTAGGAAGAACATACTCACAAAGAAGCTATTTTTGCTTTGAGAAAGTATGACAGATCTGGTTCCTCTGTTTATATAATTGAGAACAGGGACCACGTAACTTTGATTCAAATGTGGGAAAATAGCCACATTTTAATTACATGTTATTAGACCAGTTAGGAAAATGGGAATATATGTAGGGAAAAGATGTAGGAAAACAAGAGAGAAGCCTGGTTGTGTGTTTTATTAGGAAAGGCCGAGGGTGACACAGCAGGAGATGCTGGTCAGAAACAAGGGGCTGATAGGAAGGGAAGGTGAGTCGTGGGGTAAGGGAATGAGTGCGGTGCTAAATTTGGCTAAGAGTTTATTTTGGAAGTAAAACTTATTTCCCAGCAAAAGTTTGTCTTCCGTGAGTTTTGATGATTTGCCAGTTTGTCAAGTGATGACCAGAGGTTTAGAATTTGTAGTGCAGCCAGAGAGCAGGGCATGTTTTTACAAGAGGGCAGAGAAGTGTGCCTGGTCAGAGCTCTGTGTCATGTATCCTGAGCAGAGGCAAGCTGCCTGCTTTCCTGATACCTGTATTTCATAAATTGTTTGATTTATTTATTGCTATCACTGATGTATTTTAGTAGCAGGGAATGCACACTTAAATTGATGCATTCTGTTGAAATTTCAAGGAAAAGTTTTCTCTTTAACTGTTTTGGTACCACTGAATCAGCAATGAGTGCGTGTTTTACAGGCCTGTTTTAGAAGGCAGTGCTGAGCTTGCAATATTGGTGGCTGTGATGGAGGGATAGAATGTTCTCAGTTTGCTTTTATACAAGATTAATAGTGGGCTGCTAAGGGAAGTTTCTTAAGAAATTAAACTTTTTATTTTAGATTCGGGGGTGCATGTTCAGGTTTGTTACAAGAGTATATTGGGTGATGCTGAGGTTTGGGCTTCCACTGATCCCATCACCTGTATAGTGAACACAGTACCCAGTAGGAAGTTTTTCAGCCCTTGCCCCTCCCTCCCTCTTCTTCTTGGAGTCCCTAGTGTCTGTTATTCCCATCTTTATGTTCGTGTGTACCCAAGGTTTAGCTCCCAGTTGTGAGAACATTTAATATTTGGTTTTCTGTTTCTGTGTTAATTTGCTTAGATGGCCTCCAGCTACATCCATGTTGCTTGCTGCAAAGGACATGATTTCATTCTTTTTTATGGCTGCATATTATTCCATGGTGTATATGTACCATGTTTTCTTTATCCAATCCACCATTGATGGATACCTATGTTCGTTCCATGTCTTTGGTATTGCCCTGATGGCAGTTTTAGCCTGTAGAAAATGTATTTTTGTATTTGAGTGTGTGTGTGTGTGTGTGTGTGTGTGTATGCTGTATCTATAGATTAGAACATTGAGTTATCTTTTTCCAGATAAGAAATGGCATTGTATTTGTTTGTTTTGCCTTAATCCAGGTCCAAGGCCATCTTTGGCTAAATTAAGCAGTGTGACATGCATCCCAGGGACAACTTATAAATATCCTGATTTGCCTATAAGTCGATACAAGGAAGAGGTAAAATTGTTTTGTTATACTGTAATTTTGCTGTTTGAATACATGTCTGAGGCCCAATACTTTTGGTTTCTAATTTGAAAGTTACCAGTTGCCAGGTGAACACTTCTGTGGTGTACAAGGTTCTGTGGTGGATAAGAGGAGGGTGTGCTCAGGCCAACCTGCAGATGATTTTGTGTAGTAACCATATCGATGGCTTTTCTTTTGATCTGTGCTTTAATTTCTTTAGTCTTCGCCTGAGTACATCTTCTAACATTTAGTTTATCTAGTCTTTCCTTCCTCAAAATATCTGCAAGTAAACACTTAGTCTTCCCCAGGAGAGCTTCTTGTTTAAATAAACTCACTGCTAAATGTTTTTATGAAGCAAATGACATACCCTAGCATTTCCACTGGGTTTTCTTTACAGCGTTGGCCCTTTCTCTGCCTGTTGATTAATGTAATCAATCATTGACATACCATTGTATTAACAATGCCAGGCAGATGTAACAGTAGGACGATTAAGTTCCTAATTACTTGCGTGTTATTAAGCATCGTTAAGAGTAAGCGTATCGGAACCTTTATTAACTGGAAGAAGGAGTTACAGATAAAACTAGAAATGTTTCAAATTTAATTTTTACTTTGCTTTAGAGTAAATCATGCAACTAAAAATTAGAGGCCAGTATTCAAATTAATTTGTATTTCCTGACCATATCAATTGTTAGAAGGATAAGAGCTTAAATAAGTTTAGAGTGGAGGTCGGGGAGTTCTGGAGGAGGAATTTGAGTGGAGTTTTAAAAATGCTGCATATAATCTGTAAGTGGAAAAGTGGAAGTTACTTGTTTCCAAATATGTCTGGAGGTGGGAGGATCACTTGAGGCCAGGAGTTCCAGACCAGCCTGGGCAACATAGCAAGACCTCATCTCTACAAAACACACCCCCCAAAATTAGTGGAATATGGTGGCACGTGCCTGTGGTCCTGGCTTGGGATGCTGAGGTGGCAGGATGGCTTGAGCTTAGGAGGTCAAAGCTGCAGTGAGCCATGATTGTGCCACTGCACTCCAGCCTGGGTGACAGAGCTAGAGCCTGTGTCTAAAAATAAATAAACAGATATTTAATAGATAAAAATATGTCTGAAGAATTTAAGATGACATTTTAAAACCACTTGAATGTAGTAACAGCTCTTTTTCTCATGTTCAGTAGAATTATTTGCAGATTCATTACAAAATGTTAATAGAAACTTGGGAAGAGTCATAGAAATCTAATTTTACATTTTCATTTTTACAGAAGCAGTTGAGACCCAGGAAGCTGGAGTTAACCTGGCCTGGTTTTTCCACAGCTATCACTAGTTACTATTTTTTTTGTTGTTGTTTTTGTTTTTTTGTTTGTTTGTTTTGAGATGGAGGCTTGCTCTGTCGCCAGGCTGGAGTGCAGTGGCACGATCTTGGCTCACTGCAACCTCTGTCTCCAGGGTTCAAGCAATTCTCCTGCTTCAACCTCCCAAGTAGCTGGGACTACAGGCGCGCTACCATGCCCAGCTAATTTTTGTATTTTTAGTAGAAGCAGGGTTTCACCATATTGGCCAGAATGGTCTCGATCTCTTGACCTCGTGATCCGCCCGCCTTGGCCTCCCAGAGTGCTGGGATTGCAGATGTGAGCCACCTGTGCCCAGCCACTAATTACTGTTAAATAGGTAGTAGAGTTGCATTTAAGTGTGGCAACCGTTTGTCGCCTCCTTGCTCTCTTGTGTTGTGTTTAGAATGGTTAATTAATAACTTTAAGCAATTTGGGAAATTGCTGGTAATCCCAGCAATTTGGGAGGCTGAGGCAGGCGGATCACTTGATGTCAGGAGTTCAAGACCAGCCTGGCCAACACGGTGAAAGAAACCCTGTCTCTACCAGAAATACAAAAATTAGCTGGGTGTGGTGGTACACGCCTGTAGTCCCAGCTACTTGAGAGGCTGAGGCATGAGAATCGTTTGAACTCAGGAGACAGAGGTTGCAGTGAGCCGAGATTGCGCCCCTGCACTCCAGGCTGGGCAACAGAGCGAGACTCCATCTCAAACAAAACAAAACAAAACTTTAAGATGAAAGAAAAATAAATCCTGAAAGACTTCTTAATATAGGTGATACTTTACATTGCCATTTTGTGCTGATTTTGAAAGAATTTTTTAAATTTCTAGGTTGTGTCTTTGATAGAAAGTAATTCCGTGGTGATTATCCATGGGGCCACGGGAAGCGGTAAAAGCACTCAGCTCCCGCAGTATATCTTGGACCACTACGTTCAGCGCTCCGCCTACTGCAGCATTGTGGTCACCCAGCCCCGGAAGATAGGGGCAAGCAGCATCGCCAGGTGGATCAGTAAAGAGCGTGCCTGGACCCTGGGAGGTGTGGTGGGCTACCAGGTGAGACTGGGAGGGAGGGAGGGACTAAGAGAGCCAGCTGTCTCTCTATTCCTTAATTTTATTAAGTTTTTTTCTGTGTAAGTTGATAGTATGTGACCATTTTCTGCTGAAAATTAGTTGTGTCTCATGCCTGTAATCCCAGCACTTTGGGAGACCGAGGCAGGCGGATCACATTAGGTCGGGAGTTTGAGAGCAGCCTGGCCAACATGGTGAAACTCCGTCTCTACTAAAAATACAAAAATTAGCCGGATGTGGTGGTGCATGCCTGTAGTCCCAGCTACTCGGGAGGCTGTGGCAGGAGAATTGCTTGAACCCGGGAGGCAGAGGTTGCAGTGAGCCAAGCTTGCGCCACTGCACTCCAGCATGGGCAACAGAGTGAGACTCTGTCTCAAAACAAAAAACAAACAAACAAACAAAAAAAGAAACCAGCTGCTTATAGAAGAGAACTGTGGCATAATTTTAAAAAGCAGTGAAACAGAATTTCTTGAAAATAAGGCTGGGCATGGCGGCTCACGCCTGTAATCCCAGCACTTTGGGAGGCTGAGGCGGGCAGATCACTTGAGGTCAGAAGTTTGAGACCAGCCTGGCCAACATGGTGAAACCCCCTCTCTACTAAAAATACAAAAATTAGCCAGGCATGATGGCACATGCCTGTGATTCCAGCTACTCAGGAGGCTGGGGTATGAGAATTGCTTGAACCCGGGAGGCAGAGGTTGCAGTGAGCTGAGATCATGCCACTGCACTCCAACTTGGGTGACAAAGTGAGACTCTGTTTCGAAAAGAAAAAAAGAATTTCTTGAAAATAAATTGTAATTTCTTTCCAGTTGAATAGGAAAGCAGTAAGAATTCTCATGCTTATGGCTTTTATAATTTTATCTTTTTAATTATATCTGTAATCTAGAAGATGTCTTGATACACAATTGTTTTAACATAAAAATGTTATAGCAGTGTGATTAGATGAGCCAACCCCTGCCGCCCTCCCCCCAAAAAAGAAGAAAATAATTGACTTGAGAATGTCACTTTTAATTTGGAGCCTGTGTATCTTTCGAAATACCTTAATTTTTCATTCCCTTTCTTACCCCCATTATATTAATAAAATGGACATAACTTTTTTTTTCTCTTTTTTCCTTTCCTTTTTCCTTCTCCAATTTTAGGTAGGGCTAGAGAAAATAGCAACAGAGGACACCAGGCTAATTTATATGACAACTGGAGTCCTGCTTCAGAAAATAGTTAGTGCCAAGAGTTTGATGGAATTCACACATATCATCATTGATGAAGTAAGTGATGTCATCTACTTGTAAAGGTCATATTTATCTCTCTTAAAAAAACTCTCAGAGTATTGTGAACCCTGTCTTTGTGCCTGTCTCAGCTTTCTTTATTTTTTCCTTCCCCTTTACTTTCTGGACTTTTCTCAGTAAGGATGGAATGTTTTTTGATTTTGTTTATATTTTAAACATGAGTTTTTTGGTGGGGAATGTTGTGTTTGAATAACTTTCCCAAGAACTTTGGTACTGGTTCTTAAACTCTTGTGTTTTAAACCTTATCAGTAATTCTGTTTGGGAAGCTTGACTTATTTCTAGAGGAATTAGACACATCAGCAAATAAATAGGATTTGTGAGAGGTTGTGAGACAAGGGTAGGGTGTTTAATAGAGTCTGAAATCAAACCATTTGGGCAACGGGCTCATGCCTGTAATCCCGATACTCTGGGAGGCCAAGGTGGGTGGATCACTTGAGGTCAGGAGTTCGAGACCAACCTGGCCAACATGGTGAAACCCATCTCTACTAAAAATACAAAAAAAAAAAAAAAAAAAAAAAAAAGATTAGCTGGGTGCGGTGGCACACACCTATAGTCCCAGCTACTTGAGAGGCTGAGGTGGGAGAATAACTTGAACCTGGGAGATGGAGGTTGCAGTGAGCTGAGTTTGTGCCACTGCCCTTCAGCCTGGGCAACAGAGTGAGACTGCGTTGGAAAACAACAATAACAACCAAAAGGATAAACCCATTTGGGCAACTGTTTAGGGTAGTGTCTCTGCACTCTATTTTGATGCATGGGATAACGAATAATACAACATATACTCCAGGCAAAGCTGAGTCAGTGCGTTTGTGATCTTATGTACAGGCACTTGGTTTTAAATTATTGTAGGGCATTTGGTGGGAGAGTAGGAGAGGGTGAAAATGATCTACTGTTTCTTACAAAATAGGGTGATATATAATACGGTTCAGAATTTTTCTTTATGACTTATGGTAGTTTTGAATATCTTTATAGTAGGTAGAGACAAATTCAGATTTAATAGATAATATGCCAAAAGATGGCATTATGAAGGTTGTAATAGTTATTCATTGGGCTTTTTAGTATAATTGAGCCCACTTTACATAAAAGGAAACTAAAGTTTAAGGAAGTTCAGTGCTCAGGCCACAAGTAATTAGTGATGTTGCTGGGTTCATCCCTGGGTAGTTTACTCTAGAGGCTGTGGTGCTGGTGCCTACATTTATTTTCTGTGTGTCTGACATATTTCTCTGCCTACGTGGCCTTTGCACACCCATACTTGAGTGACACAGATAAATCCATCAATGCTGTGTTACTGACTATATCCTTTTCTCAAGCTCTGCCTTAATAGCTGAGCAAAAGTTAGCTCCTCTCTTCGAGAGCTTGCCCTACTGGGGAGCGGTAACCAACAGAAGACCATCGCGCCATCACGGCAGCTTCCTGCTCTGCCTCTGTCTGGTGCGGTGTCAGCACCTTGTAGATGCCCCAGGGATTATTTGCTTCATAAATGAATGGACTGGATTCAACTACCTGAAGTTTTAGGTTTACATATAGTATCGTTTGCATTATCTGGGATTATTTGAATTTCAAAACAAATACAAGAACAAAAGTTGAAGATAGCCAGCCAGTTTAAAATGGAATAATGTTTTAAACTTTCCAGCTCTTAAGGATAAAGTAGCTTGGGCCGGGCACGGTGGCTCACACCTGTAATCCCAGCACTTTGGGAGGCCGAGGTGGGCGGATCACGAGGATTTGTGAGATCAGGAGATCGAGACCATCCTGGCTAACATGGTGAAACCCCATCTCTACTAAAAATACAAAAAATTAGCCGGGCGTGGTGGCGGGCGCCTGTAGTCCCAGCTACTCAGGAGGCTGAGGCAGGAGAATGGCGTGAACCCGGGAGGCAGAGGTTGCAGTGAGCTGAGATTGCGCCACTGCACTCCAGCCTGGGCGACAGAGTGAGACTCTGTCTCAAAAAAAAAGAATAAAGTAGCTTGGCCGGGTGCGGTGGCTCACGCCTATAATCTCAGCACTTTGGGAGGCCGAGGTGGGCGGATCACCAGGTCAGGAGATTGAGACCATCTTGGCTAACACGATGAAACCCCGTCTCTACTAAAAATACAAAAAATTAGCCGGGCATGGTGGCGGGCACCTGTAGTCCCAGCTACTCGGGAGGCTGAGGCCGGAGAATGGCGTGAACCCGGGAGGCGGAGCTTGCAGTGAGCGGAGATCGCGTCACTGCACTCCAGCCTGGGCTACAGAATAAGACTCTGTGTAAAAAAAAAAAAGCAAAAAAAAAACCCCCCAAAAAAAACTAGCTTTAAGCAAATCATTCATTCAATAAACTTTTTTTTTTTTTTTGAGTACTGCTATGGAAAAGGTGCCTCCTAAGGGGCTGAGGTTATAAAGATGAGTACTAGGGAGACCCATCTGCTGATGTGTGTATGTTTATGTGTTAGAAAGGCTGGTGTAGGGATCCTGGAGCCAGTGGGTTGCGGGGCAGAGGGAAGATGATGGGTGTGTGAACTCAGAAGAGACTGCCACAAGCTGAGGAGAGCTCACTTTGGGGCTTTTTGCTGATGATAGCCTTGATTTTTCTTCTCAAGTAAAAGAGAGGATGTTTGTGCTGAGGAAATGTTCTGAAGTCAAGTGACAGCATGAGATTTATGATGATGTTAAATACCTTTTAGCTACTGATTTTTGTTTTTCTTTTCTCTATGCTACTTCTCTAGACATCTCCTTCAGTGGGAAGTTCAGAAGATAGTAGGGCCTGGAATAGAATTACTTACAGAATAAATCCTTACACCTCTTACACTGAGGAAAGGAGAACTCCCTCTTTGAAACTTAGTAATTATCTCTCCACTTCGGCTGAGAAATGTCCCAGAATAGAATCTTACCGTCCCCTTGTACATTGATGTTTCCTAAGTTCTAGAGTAACTGGCTTCTTTAGAACAGTAGCAGGCTGCCTAGCCCTTGGGTGCTAGCTGGTTCTGGGGTGGGGCGGGGTGGGGGGGCTGTGGGTCCTGGGGTGGCTCTGACTGTGAGGTCTCTGTCTGAGGAGGGCTGCAAGGTCTGTCTGAGGTGCTGCCTCCCTGACTGCTGTCCCCGAGTGTCAGTGCTACTGACCTCGGGTCCTAACCTTGCTCTGGTTTACCTGTTTGTGACTGACCCAGCTTTTCCAGGACCAGCCCTTGCCCACCCTTGTGAGCTGCAGTTATGCACATCATGGAATGTGTCCTGTAGGGGTCACATGGCTCCCGGTCAGTGTTAGACTGGCACATCTTCTTCCCTGTGCTTGCTTGCTCAGATGACAGTGTACCTGCAGGCCTGGCAGGGGTTGTGGCAAGGAGGGGCCATGGGAGGCTGGCCCAGTGGTTCTCTGTGCTTGAGGTAGGTGGAGAGGTTTCTGGTTGTCACAGTGACCTTGGGCACAGTTGGCAGTAAATGAGCAGGGGCGAGGGTGCAGAACATTACTCTGCCGTCTCTCAGGGGGCCCTAAGGAGAAACACTGGGGGCCGTGACTGAGTGGGTGGTCTGTGGTCTGTTGGCCGATGCTCTTTGCTTCCTCTTAACCAGGAGTGATACTAGCCCCCTGAGGAACTGCATTTAGCAGAGAGAACTGGTTTAGTCCCCAGTCCCCCAGTGGTGCCTTTCTGTCAGCAGTGTCATGTGTGTTGCCTGATGCCATGTGGGGGGTGCCCCCTTTTTTATTTTGTAGGTACACGAACGAACAGAAGAAATGGATTTCCTGCTATTGGTAGTCCGCAAACTCTTAAGAACAAATTCACGTTTTGTGAAGGTAAATTTGATTTCATGAGTAACAGACATATTTAGGATTAAGATTCATTGTTTAGTTTTGTTTCTCTCTATAGTCTGTTGGTGTCTATAGAGCATTCTGGGACCCCGGACAGATACTAAAATCTGAGGATCCTCAAGTGCCTTATATGAAATGGCATAGTAAAGTATTTGCATGTAGCCTATGCACATCTTCCCATATGCTCTAAGTCACCTCTAGGTTATCTACAATACTGAATATAATGTAAATGCCATGTAAATAGTTGCTATACTCTATTTTTTAAATTTGTATTTTTATTTTTTCTGAATATTTTTGATTTTCAGTTGGTTGAATCTGCAAATGCAGAATCTGGATACAGAGGGCTGACTGTATTTTTTTTTTTTGAGACGGAGTCTAGCTCTGTCGCCCAGGCTGGAGTGCAGTGGCGTGATCTCGGCTCACTGCAAGCTCCGCCTCCTGGGTTCATGCCATTCTCCTGCCTCAGCCTCCCAAGTAGCTGGGACTACAGGCACCCACCACCAAGCCCAGCTAATTTTTTGTATTTTTAGTAGAGGCGGGGTTTCATCGTGTTAGCCAGGATGGTCTTGATCTCCTGACCTCGTGATCCGCCCGCCTTGGCCTCCCAAATTGCTGGGATTACAGGTGTGAGCCACCGCGCCTGGCCCAGGGCTGTTTGTTTGTTTGTTTACTTATTTATTTATTTTGAGATGGAGTCTCACTCTGTTGCCCAGGGTGGAGTGCAGTGGTGCGATCTCAGCTCACTGCCACCTCCGCCTCCCAGGTTCAAGCAATTCTCATGCCTCAGCCTCTTGAGTAGCTGGGACTACAGGCACCCACCACCATGCCAGGCTAATTTTTTTTTTGTAGTTTTTGGTATAGATGGGGTTTTGCACCAGGCTGGTCTTGAACTCCTGACCTCAACTGATTTGCTTGCTTTGGTCTTCCAAAGGGCTGTGATTACAGATGTGAGCCACTGCACTTGGCCGGGCTGACTGTATTTTAACAGAAACATTTGAAACTGATGACGCTTAAAATTCATGATCATGTGTAGTACACCAGATCTTGCCAGGAAGCCAACTAAGGGGCATTCTTTTATGAACAGAGTACGGATACTTTTTGGTTATTATGTTGCCTTAAACTCTCATATTTTCTCCAGGCTGCAGAAAATGGTCTAGTTGACTATAATGACATGCTGGGTTTTGAGCTTTGCTTTTGGTTGAATAAGTACCACAGTTTAAAGGTATGTGAATGAAGCTGGGTGGTACAGTGGCTCACGCCTGTAATCCCAGCAGTTTGGGGGGCAAAGGTGGGCAGATTGCTTGAGCCCAAGGAGATCAAGACCAGCCTGGGCAACATGGTGAAACCCCATCTCTACAAAAAATACAAAAACTAGCTGGACATAGTGGTGTGTGTCTGTGGTCCCAGCTACTTGGGAGGCTGACGGAGGATTGCTTGAGCCTGGGAGGTCCAGGCTGCAGTGAACTGTGATTGCGCCACTGCACTCCAGCCTGGGTAACAGATGAGACCCTGTCTCAAGAATTAGCCGGGCGTGGTGGCGGGCGCCTGTAATCCCAGCTACTTGGGAGGCTGAGGCAGGAGAATTGCTTGAAGCCGGGAAGCGGAGGTTGCAGTGAGCCGAGATTGTGCCACTGCACTCCAGCCTGGGCAACAGAGAGAGACTGCATTTAAAAAAAAAAACAAAAACAAAACAAAAAGTAAGTGAATGAATCTGCAGTCCCTGTGTTCGAAATAGCACCAAAGTGCATTGAAATTTGAGAACAGAGTATGTACTAGTATTTGAGAGACGTAAGTAGAGTTAACTGAAAGTTGATGGGAATGATAAATATCATTTACTTCTTATTTGAACAAAAAGGAAGAAGGTGTGAACTAGGCCAAAATGGCGAAGGGTTTAGAATAATTGTGCAGTCTAAATAAGTCTACTCATAGGTCGACCTTAACCCAGCTGTGCTAAGCAGAGGTCTGTGGGAAACAGCTTGATAAAAGGCCGCATGGTTGGGTTATTCAGTTATTCTATGATGGGGCTGCTTTGGAAAGCAGTTGCTTTCTAAACCATAAAGCATTTTGTCTTCAAGTGTTTATTTGTTGAGGAAAACATTTCTCTTTCTCTTTCCCATGTCCCCAGGTGGGGAAGCTTCTGCCTTAGGATGTTCATATTTTCACTGGGTGGGTGCTGAATGAATGGAACTCGACACTTGCAATCAGTTGTCTTATTGCTTGAGGTGACTATGAAATGAATGAGAGAATTTGGCTATTTCAGTCCTTTTTGGAATCTTAACCAAGCTGCCATTGAAGATTATTCACATTGAGACCTTTCTTGAATGTCATTTAAGACTCTTCTTTTTTACTCAAGTCAGAATAATGAGTTGGTTACACATTTTTTAGTTTTCAATGGTAAAAAGAGTTAGACAAGTGTTAGTGGATTAACAAAACCCTACACTGATGGACATGTTGGTAAGGAATTTGGTACTTATAAGTTGTAAGATATGGTTGGTCAGTTTCACTGTGTTCATGATTTATTAACAAATACGTGAAGCAGCATATTTTCTCGATATAGAAACTTATATGGTACATGTAGTTGGGCCAAGAAATTAGACACCATATTCTAGGTGGTTTTGTAAGAGGTTTTTAAAAAACTCTCAAAAAATCTGTATCAGCTTTTAAAGAGAGTGCCGCTGTCAAGAGGACCTGGGTGTGGGGCACGGGCACATGGGCTTTAAGGCCTCCCCTTTCCTCTCCCCCCAACCTTTAGGTCCCTGTGGTTCCCCCGACCTGGCTTCCTCTCACTGCCTCCTCTATACCATCCTCCAGCCACTGACCTTGTTGTCACCTCTTGCTGACTGGACTCAGCTCAGGCCCACTCCAGACAGGCAGTTGTCTTGGGTGTCTGCTGACTTGCCTGTTTGGAGAAGAGGCAGAGGGCTGCCGGGGAGGGTGGATGAGGGAGGCTGGTGGCCAGGCTGAGTCCTGCTTGCTCCCTGCATTCCAGGCTTGGCCTCTTGTTTGCAGGCTGCACTCTGTGTCCTGCAGTTCACTGGCCTCGTCGTTCCTTAAAACCCAGTTTAGAGATCATTTATGGTGACTGGGGTGTGTCCCTTAGGAGCCTCTCTTCCACTCCAAGTGGCTTCTGAGAGCATTCTTTTTAACTTCAGACATCTCAAAATGAGTTTTAGTCTGTACAGTTTTTACCATTTGTATCTCATTCCAAAGGGGAAAATACAGATGTTTTCTTTACTCAATAACTGCAACAACAATGCTTATATGAAATGTTTACTTTTTGGCTGGGTGTGGTGGCTCATGCCTGTAATCCCAGCACTTTGGGAGGCCGAGGTGGGCAGATCGCCTGAGCTCACAAGTGTGAGACTGGCCTGGGCAACATGGCGAAACCCTGCCTCTACAAAAAACAGTCACAAAAATTAGCCAGGTGTGGTGGTGCACACATGTAGTCCTACCTACCTCAGAGGCTGAGGTGAGAGGATCACTGAAGCCCAGGAGGCTGAGGTTGCAGTGAGCTGACATCACACCACTGCACTCCAGCCTGGGTGGTAGAGCCAGAACTTGTCTCAAAAATAAAAAAGTTTACTTTTTGGCTAGGATTTCCTCTTAGATACCTCTACTTGCGATGTACAGTAGGTGGTGAGCAGCCAGCCGGACTGCTGTGCCCACTCCCCACGTAGCATTATGGAGACTGCTGAGCTGGGAGACCCTCCATAATCAGCCACTTTCTCCTGGCACGTCTCGGGCTGTATGCACTGCTCCTGTCATTCATGGCTGAGTTTCTTAAGGATATCATTTCATATTTGCTTTTTGACAAAACTGGAAGCTGCAGTCAGTCATCTTGCCCCAGTCTGGGGTTGTTCCTCTGCTCCTGCACCACTGTCGTCCTGGGACTTCTCCAGTTTCTTGAGTTGGAGCTAGAGTTTTCTAGATCCCGTTTTCTTTGCTGGCTTACTCTGTCATTTCTCTGGAACACATCATAGAGTAACTTATTCTTTTTAATTTATTTTTTATTTTTGTTTTTAGAAACAGGATCTTGCTCTGTTGCCCAGGCTAGAGTGCAGTGGTGTGATCATAGATCACTGCAGCCTCGACCTCCTTGGCTCCAGTGATCCTCCCACCTCAGCCTCTTGAGTAGCTGGGACTACAAGAGGGCACCATCATGCCCAGCTATTTTTAAATTTTTTGTAATGATGGGGTCTTGCTATGTTGCCCAGGCTGGTTTTAAACTCTTGGCCCAAGATTACAGGCATGAGCCACGGCACCTGGCCTTACTCTTTTTTTAAAATTTATTTTTAATTAATTAATTTATTTTTTTGTAGAGACAGTGGTCTCATGTTGTTGCTCAGGCTGGTCTTGTACTCCTGGGCTCAAGTGGTCCTCCTGCCTCAGCCTCCCAAAGTGCTGGGATTATAGGTGTGAGCCACAGTATCTTTGTTTACCTGGGCCTTATTCTTTTTTAAAATTAGTCTCCTGATGCAAAGTTTTCTTTCAGAAAAATGGTTTTAATTTACCCTTATTGGAGATGAAATTTATCATTTGAAAAGGTACTCGAAGAGAAATAGTAAAAGTTGGTATCTCTGAACATTGTTTAAACTACAATAATTACACTAGAGATTAAATCAGGGTGGTCTGTTTAAAGTCTCAAAAGTTGTTAGATAAGGAGTGAAGCAGAAGAAAAGCCTGCAGTTTTAGAAGTATTTAATTTGTGATGATTCTCATTGTTTTATTTGAATGTTTTCTCTTACTCTGTAGGTGGTCCTGATGTCGGCTACCATCAGCTGTAAAGAGTTTGCAGACTACTTTGCTGTTCCTGTTCAAAACAAGATGAATCCTGCATATATTTTTGAAGTGGAAGGCAAGCCCCATTCAGTTGAAGAGTATTATCTTAATGATTTGGAGCACATTCATCATAGCAAGGTATGTTAGAATGTGCTGTTTCTTTTATAGTGAGCGTACTCTTGTATTGGATCAAACCTGCATTCATCACCTATGATTGTAAGGCCCTGCGAGAAAATTATTATTTTAAAATTGATGCATACTAAGTGTACATATTTATGGAGTATAGTGTGGTATTTTGATACATAGGTATAATGTGTCATGATCAAGTCAAGGTAATTAGCAAATCCATCATCTCCAACATTTATCATTGTTAATTATCTTTAACATTTATCTTTGTGGTGGGAACATTTAAAATCCTCTCTTCTAGCTATTTGAAAATAAACGATAAGTTTTTGTCAACTGTAGTCACCCCACGGTGCTCTAGAACACGAAAACTGGGCGTAGTGGTGGGGGTCTGTAGTTCCAGCCATAGTGGGACCCTCATCTCTCTTTAAAAAGGACACTAGAAGTTATTTCTTATCTAGCTATAATTTTCTGTCCATTAACCAACCTCTTCCTATTTCCCCCCCTTCCCAGCCTCTAGTAACTTCTTTTCTACTTTCTCCTTCCGTGAGATCAGCCTTCTTAGCGTCCAAATTTGAATGAGAATGTGTGGTATTTATCTTTCTGTGCCTGACTTATTTCACTAACTTCACTCAGCCATGTTGCCCAGAATGATAGGATTTTATTCTTTTTTCATGGCTGAGTAGTATTTAATTGTGTGTATATACTATATTTTCTTTATCCATTCATCTCTTTTTTTTCTTTTTTTTTTTCGAGACAGAGTCTTGCTCTGTTGCCTAGGCTGGAGTGCAGTGGCGCGATCTCAGCTCACTGCAAGCTCTGCCTTCCAGGTTCACACCATTCTCCTGCCTCAGCCTCCCAAATAGCTAGGACTACAGGCGTCCGCCACCATGCCTGGCTAATTTTTTGTATTTTTAGTAGAGACGGGGTTTCACTGTGGTCTCAATCCCCTGACCTCATGATCCGCCCGCCTCAGCCTCCCAAAGTGCTGGGATTACAGGCATGAGCCACCGCGCCTGGCCTATCCATTCATCTCTTAATGTACACCTAGGTTGATTCCATATCTTGGCTATGGTGAATAATGCTGCAGTAAACGTGAGAGTGGAGCTATCTCTTCAGCATATTGTTTTTCTTTCCTTTGGAAATATACCCAGTAGTAGGATGGCTAGGCCATATGGTAGTTCTGTTTTTAGTTTTTTTGAGGATCCTCCATACTGTTTTCCATAAACGCTATACTAATTGACATTCCTACCAACAGTATACAAGAGTTCCCCTTTCTTTGCATTTTTGCCAGCATTTGTCATATTTTGTCTTTTATTTTTACTTATTTATTTTAGAGATAGGGTTTTGCTCTGTCACCCAGGCTGGAGTGCAGTGGCACTATCATAGTTCACTGAAACCTTGAAGTCCTGGGCTCAAGCGGTCCTCCTGCCTCAGCCTCCCAAAGTGCTGGGATTACATGTGTGAATCACTGCACCCAGCCTTTATTTGTCTTTTGATAATAGCTATTCTGGCACATGTGAGATAATATCTCAATATGGTTTGGATTTGCATTTCCGTGACAATTGGTGATACTGAGCATTTTTTCCTGTATTAGCCAGTAGTATGCCTTCTGTTTAGAAAAGTCTTTTCAGCTCACTTATTTGCCCATTAAAAAAATTGGATTGTTTGGGCCTGGCGCGGTGGCTTATGTCTGTAATCCCAGCACTTTGGGAGGCCGAGGCCGGTGGATCACCAGGTCAGGAGATCGAGACCATCCTGGCTAACACGGTGAAACCCCGTCTCTACTAAAAATAACCAAAAAATTAGCCGGGCGTGGCGGCAGGTGCCTGTAGTCCCAGCTACTCGGGAAGCTGAGGCAGGAGAATGGCATGAACCCGGGAGGCGGAGCTTGCAGTGAGCCAAGATTGCACCACTGCACTCCAGCCTGGGTGACAGAGAGAGACTCCATCTCAAAAAAAAAAAAAAAAAAAAAAAAAAAAAAATTGGATTGTTTTTTGCTGTTGAGCTCCTTGTATATTCTGGGTATTAATCCCTTGTCAGATGAATAGTTTGCAAATGTTTCCCCCCATTCACTCAGTTGATTTCTTTCTTTTTTTTTTTTTTTTTGCTATGCAGAAGCTTGTTAGTTTGATATAATCCTATTTGTCTACTTTTGCTTTTGCTGTCTGTGCTTTTGAGGTCTTAGCCATCAAATCTTTGTACAAATATATGTCCTGAAGCATTTTCCCTATGTTTTCTGCTAATAGCTTCATAGTTTCAGGATTTAGTTTAAGTCTTAAATCCATTTTGAGTTGATTTTTGTGTATATTGAGAGAGAGGGGTTTAGTTTTATTTTTCTGCATCTGGATATCCAGTGTTCCCAGCACCATTTATTGAAGAGACTGTTCTTTCTCCAGTGAATGTTCTTGATGCCTTTCTTAAAAATCAGTTGGCTGTAAATATGTTATTTTATTTCTGGGTTCTTTATTCTGTTCCATTGATCATCTGTGTGTCTGTTTTTATGCCAATATCATGCTGTTTTGGTTACCATTGCTTTGTAGTATATTTTGAAGTTAGGTAATGTGATGCCTCTTGCTTTGTTCACTTTGCCCAGGATTGCTTTGGCTTGTGAGATCTTTTTTGGTTCCATATGAATTTTAGGATTTTTTTTTTGATTTCTGTGAAGAATGTCATTGGTATTTTGATTGAAATTGTATGAATCTGTACATCACTTTGGGTAGTATAGTCATTTTAATAGTATAAATTCTTCCAATTCATGGCAAGGCACAGTGGCTCACACCTGTAATCTCAGCACTTTGGGAGGCCAAGGTGGGCCGATCACTTGAGCCCAGGAGTTTGAGAAAGAAAGCATAGGGAAAATGCTTCAGGACATCTATTTGTAGTTAACATTTACTTAGTAACACTTAAAAAAACCTACTAACTAAACTTCACTTTATTTGGTTTGACTGTATTTTCCATAATGTCCTTTATTCTGGGATCCCGTCCGGGATGCTACATTAGGTTTGGTCGCGATGTTTCCTTAGGCTCCTCTTGGCTGTGGTAGTTTCTCAGACTTTCCTCATTTTTTAAGACTTTGACGATTTGAAGAGTACTGGTCTTTGACTGATGTTTTTCTCATGGTTAAACTGAGGTTATTGGTTTTGGGGAGGAAGACCACAGGCTGAGGTGCCATTTTTGTCACATATCAAGGGTATACACTATCAACATGACCTTTACTGGTTGTCTTAAGTCTGTTTAATGTTTTTTTTAATTAAAAAATTTAAATTCACACATAATAATTCATGGGGTACATAGTGATGTGATACATACAATGCATGGTGATGAGCTCAGTGTAACTAGCATATCTATTGTATCAAACATTTTTTTGTGTGTGTGTTGGGAACATTCAGTAGCCTCCTATAGCTATTTGAAATTACATATTGTTGTTATCTGTAGAACACTGGAGCTTCCTCCTCCTATCTGGCTGTCCTTTTGTATCCTTTAACAAATCTCCCTATTGCCTCCTCCTTTCCCCTACCCTTCCCAGCCTCTAGTATCTTCTGCTCTACTCTTTACTTCTATTAAACTGTTTTTTAGCTTCCACATGAGAACATGTGGTATTTAACTTTCTGTTCCTGGCTTATTTCACTTAACATAATGTCCTCCAGTTTCATCCATGTTGTTGCAAATGACAGGATTTCACAGTTTTTATGGCTGAATAATACTCCATTGTGTATATATTCTCCATTTTCTTTCTCCATCTGTTGTACACCTAGGTTGATTCCATATCTTGGCTATTGTGAATAGCATTTAACACTGTTATGAAGGAATACCTCAGTCTGGGTAATTTATAAAAGAAAGAGGTTTATTTGGCTCACAGTTCTGCAGGCTATACAAGAACCATGGCACTGGCCTCTGCTCAGGGAGCTGGTGTGTGCAGAGATCACATGGTGAGACTGGAAGAAGGTGGGTGTGCCAGGCTTTTTGTAACAGTCACCTCTCAGGGGGAACTCTGGTAGGAACCAATAACAGTGAGAACTCAGTCTCCCCAAGGGAGGGCATTAATCTATTCATGAGGCATCCGCCCCCATGTCCCACACACCTGCTATTAGGCCCCACCTCCAACACTGGAATCAAATGTCAACATGAGATTTGGAGGGGACAAACTATAGCACTGATGACACAGACTTTGATCACTGGAAAGGTTGTGTTTGCCAGGTTTCTCCATTATGCATTACTGCCTCCTTTCCACATTGTACTCTTGAGAAACAAGTTGCCAGGTGAGGCTCTATTCAAGGTAGGGAGGAGGTAGCACTTACATTTACAACATTTAAACAATTTGCATTTTCTGACTCTTTTTTTTTTTTTTCTTTGAGATTGGGTCTTGCTCTGTTACCTAGGCCGGAGTGCATTGGTGCGATCATAGCTCACTGTAACCTTGAACTCCTTGGCTCAAGAGATTCTCCCATCTCAGCCTTCCAAGAAGCTATGACTACAGATGCATACCACCATGCTTGGCTAATTAAAAAAAATTTTTTTGTGGAGATAGGGTCTTGCTATGTTGTCCAGGCTGATCTTGAACTCCTGTCTGTAGGGACCAGCCCCACAGGGTCGGTGGGTTTTTCTCCCCGTGTGCAGAGATGAGAGATTGTAGAAATAAAGACACAAGACAAAGAGATAAAAGAAAAGACAGCTGGGCCTGGGGGACCACTACCACCAAGACGCAGAGACCAGTAGTGGCCCCGAATGCCAGGCTGCGCTGATATTTATTGGATACAAGACAAAGGGGCAGGGTAAGGAGTGTGAGCCATCTCCAATGATAGGTAAGGTCATGTGGGTCACGTGTCGACTGGACAGGGGGCCCTTCCCTGCCTGGCAGCCAAGGCAGAGAGAGAGAGGAGAGAGAGAGGGAGAGACAGCTTATGCTATTATTTCTGCTTATCAGAGACTTTTAGTACTTTCACTAACTTGCCACTGCTATCTAAAAGGCAGAGCCAGGTGTACAGGATGGAACATGAAAGCAGACTAGGAGTGTGACCACTGAAGCACAGCATCACAGGGAGACGGTTAGGCCTCCGGATAACTGCGGGCGGGCCTAACTGATGTCAAGCCCTCCACAAGAGGTGGAGGAGCAGAGTCTTCTCTAAACTACCCCAGGGAAAGGGAGACTCCCTTTCCCGGTCTGCTGAGTAGCGGGTGTTTTTCCTTGACACTGACGCTACCACTAGACCACGGCTAGACCATGGTCCGCTTGGCAACGGGCGTCTTCCCAGATGCTGGCATTACTGCTAGACCAAGGAGCCCTCTGGTGGCCCTGTCCGGGCATAACAGAAGGCTCGCACTCTTGTCTTCTGGTCACTTCTCACTATGTCCCCTCAGCTCCTGTCTCTGTATGGCCTGGTTTTTCCTAGGTTATGATTGTAGAGCGAGAATTATTATAATATTGGAATAAAGAGTAATTACTACAAACTAATGATTAATGATATTCATACATAATCATATCTAAGATCTATATCTAGTATAACTATTCTTATTTTATATATTTTATTATACTGGAACAGCTCGTGCCCTCGGTCTCTTGCCTCGGCACCTGGGTGGCTTGCCGCCCACACCTGTCCTCAAGTGATCCTCTTGCTTTGGTCTCCTAAAGTGCTGGGATTACAGGCATGAGCCATCATGCCTGGCCTCTGACTAGTTTGAAATGTGAGAGTGATGATGGTTTACCAGTCTTCTTTCCAGCTGGCTGAAGTCTAATTAATTCCTATTGATGTTCATTGTGTATTTTCTGTCAGAGCTCACAACACTTAGATGCTTCCTTGTGGACCCGCTGAGGAGCTGGATCAGGCCTTGCCACTTGCTGTCTGAGCCCGTGTGGTCAAGACAACCCAGCTTCTAGGCACCCAGGGCCCCCTTGCCTCATGGGTGGGTTATGTTCAATAGAATAGAGAATGTCCAGCTTTAGCAAGATTTATCCAACGTCTTGTTTTTGGTACCTGATAGGTGCTCAGTAAATATTTCAGTGAATGAATATGCAACACTTAGCTGTATACAGATGTTCCTTGACTTGTAATGGGGTTATGCCCTGATAAAACCATTGTGAGTTGAAATCATTAAGTTGAAAATGCATTTAATACACCTGTCCTCCTAGCCTACCTTGAATGAGTTCAGAACACTTATTTAGCCTATAGTTGGGCAAAATCACCAAATACAAGGCCTATTTTATAATAAAGTGTTGAATATCTTATGTAACTTATTGAATACTGCACTAAAAGTAAAAAGCAGAGTGGTTTCATATCACTGTAAAGTCTAAAAATATAAGTTAAATCATTGTAAATCAGGGACAGTCTGTGTTAATTTTGAGCTTATAAAAATGGTGTTGTTTTGTATAGATCCTATTATACAGCTTCAGAATCAGAGGACCTTGGTTAAAATTTCAGTTGTGTTACTGTCAGTACTCTTGTCATGTTACCTCACCACACTGTCTGCTGTTACAAGGGAGACTTGTCATGTTACCTCACCACACTGTCTGCTGTTACAAGGGAGAAGCCCCCTTTCTTCATGGAGCACCAGCCGCGCCTCCTGGGTTTCATGTCTCATCCTTCTTACCTTCTTAGGGACCTCATCTGATCTACTGTTTCCCCCTCCCCATTGTCACCATTAGTGTCTCCTTCTCTGCTGTCATTTTCTTGTCCACACTGAAACATAACTGAAGCTCTTTCACCTTTGCGAACACCCACCTTAGGTCTCAGGCTGCTCTCCAGCCGTTGCTGGCCTGTGGACTCTCTCATTCTCTACTTTTCTACCTCCCGCAGGCAATTCATTTATTGCAGGGTGGTGTCCCCTGTTGCCACTCAGACTGCACCTGCCAGGGTCCCTAGTGACCTCCTTGTCGTTAGGAGAGCTCTAGGTAAGTCCTAGACTTACCTGGCCTTTCTGCAATATTTGACACTGTTGGCCACTTCGATTCTTGAAACTCACCCTCTCTTTGGGTTCTGTGGTGGCATCCTGGTTTTTCTGTTACCAGATCTGGCTGTTCCCTTTCAGTGTCCTTTGGAGAGTCCTTTTCATCCTTTATATTCAGCTTCTTAAAAAATTGTGAAAGAGGCCAGGCGTGGTGGCTCATGCCTGTAATCCCAGCACTTTGGGAGGCCGAGGCAGGCGGATCACCTGAGGTTGGGTGTTCGAGACCAGCCTAACACGGAGAAACCCCAACTCTACTAAAAATACAAAATTAGCCAGGTGTGGTGGCACACGCCTGTAATCCCAGCTACTCAGGAGGCTGAGGCAGGAGAATTGCTTGAATCCAGGCGGTAGAGGTTGCGGTGAGCCAAGATCACGCCCTTGCACTCCAGCCTGGACAACAAGAGCGAAACTCCGTTTCAAAAAACAAAACAAAACAAAATTATAAAGAACACACTTAGAAAAAGGGTTACATAAAATGTAAATGTGTACTGTAATGAAATTGTGAAATGATCAACAACCCAGGTCCAGTAGTAGAGCATGCCCCCCGCCCCACCTGGACTCGCTGTGGGTCACTTTTTTTTTTTTTTTTTTTTTTTTTGAGACAGAGCCTTGTTCTGTCATCCAGGCTGGAGTGCAGTGGCGCGATCTCAGCTCATTGTAACCTCTGCCTCCCAGGATTGAGTGATTTTCCTGCCTCAGTCTCCCGAGTAGCTGGGATTACAGGTGTGTGCCCCATGCCCGGTTAATTTTTGTATTTTTAGTAGAGATGGGGTTTCACCATGTTGGCCAGGCTGGTCTTGAACTCCTGACCTCAAATGATCCACCCGGCTCGACCTCCCAAAGTGCTAGGATTACAGGCATGAGCCACCGTGCCCAGCCTAAAAGTCAACTTTTATAAATTATTTGGAAACTAGCTGACTTAATTTACTCTAAGTAAAAATTGGAAAAAAAATTTGCCCCTGTGATTGGCTTCTCTGATCACCTGAAGACTTCTTTTGATTTGTCCTCAACAAAATCAGATGCAATATTCTGCACATAGTGTTTAACAAGTAAAATTATTAATTAAAAAAGCTTCTTACTCTGGGTGAAAAAAACCCAGTATCGCTATAAAATAGATTTTTCAGAAATTTAGAGACATCTGTTGTGCTGGATACTGTAGAAAGATGCTTGTGTAGTTGTGGCCTCAGCTTGGGGAAAGCTGGGCAGTCACACCCATAGTAAATTAGTACCAGTAGAGTGGGGCACTGCTGAAAAGATACCCAAAAATGTGGAAGCCACTTTGGAACTGAGTAACAAGGCAGAGGATGGAACAGTTTGGAGGGCCTAGAAGGAGACAGGAAAATGTGGGAAAGTTTGGAACTTCCTAGAGACTTGTTGAATGGCTTTGAACAAAATGCTGATAGTGATATGGAGAATGAAATCCAGGCTGAGGTGGTTTCAGATGGAGATGAGGAACTTGTTGGGGACTGGAGTAAAGGTGACTCTTGTTATGTTTTAGCAAAGAGACTGGTGGCATTTTGCCCTGCCCTAGAGATTTGTGGAAGTTTGAACTTGAACGAGATGATTTAGAGTATCTGGTGGAAGAAATTTCTAAGCAGCAAGGCATTCAAGAGGTGTCTTGGATGCTGTTAAAGGCATTCAGTTTTAAAAGGGAAACAGAGCATAAAAGTTTGGAAAATTTGCAGCCTGACAATGCAATAGAAAAGAAAATCCCATTTTCTGAGGAGAAGTTCAAGTCAGCTGCATAAATTTGCATAAGTAGTGAGGAGCTAAATGTTAATCTCCAAGACAATGGGGAAAATGTCTCCAGGGCATGTCAGAGGTCTTCACGGCAGCCCCTCACATCACAGGCCTGGAGGCCTAGGAGGAAAAAGTGGTTTCGTGGGCCAGGCTTAGGGCCCCCGTGCTGTGTGCAGCCTAGGGACTTGGTGCCCTGTGTCCCAGCCGCTCCAGTTATGGCTGAAAGAGGCCAACAAAGAGCTCATGCCGTGTCTTCAGAGGGTGCAAGCCTCAAGCCTTGGCAGCCCCCACATGTTGTTAAGCCTGTGGGTGCACAGAAGTCAAGAATTGGGGTTTGGGAACCTCTGCCTACTTTTCAGAGAATGTGTAGAAATGCCTGGATGTCAGGGTAGAAGTTTGCTGCAGGGGCGGAGCTCTCATGGAGAACCTCTGCTAGGGCAGAGCAGAAGGAAATGTGGGGTTCAGGCCTCCACACAGACTCCAACTGGGGCACCACCTAATGGAGCTGTGAGAAGAGGGCCATTGTCTTCCAGACCCCAGAATGATAGATCCACCGACAGCTTGTACCACGCACCTGGAAAAGCTACAGACATTCAATGCCAGCCCATGAAAGCAGCTGGGAGGGAGGCTGTACTCTGCAAAGCCACAGGGGTGGAGCTTCCCAAGACCATGGGAACCCAGCTCTTGCATCAGTGTGACTTGGATGTGAGACATAGAGTCAAAGATCATTTTGGAGCTTTAAGATTTGACTGCCCTGCTGGATTTCAGACTTGCTTGGGACCTGTAGCCCCTTTATTTTGGCCAATTTCTCCCATTTGGAAAGGCTATATTTACCCAATACCTGTACCCCCATTGTATCTAGGAAGTAACTAATTTGCTTTGAGACTTGGGACTATGGACTTTTGAGTTAATGCTGAAATGAGTTAAGACTTTGTGGGGACTGTTGGGAAGGCATGATTGTGTTTTTAAATGTGAGGACATGAGATTTGGGAGGGGCCAGAGGCAGAATGATATGGTTTAGCTGTGTCCCCACCGAAATCTCATTTTGAAATCTCACCTGTTATGGGAGGGACCCAGTGGGAGGTAATTGAATCATGGGGGTAGGTCCTTCCTGTGCTGTTCTTATGATAGTGAGTAAGTCTCATGAAATCCGATGGTTCTGTAAGGGAGAGTTTCCATGCACAAGCTCTCTCTGTCTTCCACCATGATTGTGAGGCTTCCCCAGCCATGTGGAACTGTAAGTCCAGTAAACCTCTTTCTTTTGTAAATTGCCCAGTCTTGGGTATGTCTTTATCAGCAGCATGAAGATGGACTAATGCACAGCCTGACTTGGGGAGTTTGCCGCTTGTGGTTGGTGCCTAGTGTTTGGTAGCGGTGCCTGAGGGGCAAGTTTACATTATCTGGTCTTGGTGTCTTTGCTTTAATAGACAATTAAAAGTAGTAGAGGAACCCGTAAACCTTGGTAGACGGATACCTCATCATGAGGTTATGTTATCACCACACATTGGTAGATACGGATGTGACGTTACAGTTTTCTGGTACTTTTGATATACAAGGTTACTTTTCACACGTGAAATCTTAGGGAAGTCTTAGGGCTCTTTGAGGTGGGGGTTTGACAGAGGGGAAGGGCATTGGCTTTGAGATCAGGAACTCCTCCTGGGTTCCATAGACATTTGGTGTGACTTAATCGATGTCTTCAAAGTAGACATCCTGCCAAACACACTGCCTGTGCATGTCTGGGCTCTCTGAGCCATTCTTGCTCTGGTGACTAGGCGAGGAGATTGATGAGTATGGCACTTTATGTGTCCACTGTCCTGAGCAGTACTTGGCACACAGCACGTGTTCAGACATTGCTGTCAATAAAAACCAAGAACTTTTATTTAGAGAGTTTGTTACAGTGTTGTACTAATGGTGAGAGCCAGTCCCATCCAACGCCAGGTTTCTTCTGTAATCCTGTTTTCGTATTGCGACTTTTTTCTTTCACTGTTTTTAGCTCTCTCCTCATCTCCTGGAGGAACCGGTGATAACTAAGGATATATATGAAGTTGCTGTCTCTCTCATTCAGATGTTTGATGACTTGGATATGAAGGAGAGTGGGTAAGAGATACTTCAGTTGGTAATGCACTTTAATGTATATGTGATTTAAAAAATTATTCATTTGGAAACGTTTTAGTGTTTTTATAAGAAGGTATAACTATAGGTACTTTTTTAGTAGTTACTGTATATATTTTAAAATCAGGTTAGTATTTTGGAATTTTTTTAACTGGAAATATCTATTTTAAATAATTAAAGCCATGCTGAGTGCAGTGTTAGGACTGATAGTTTTAAAAGCTAGGATTTATAGCCTGAAAATAGTTTTTCCAGACATATAGGGGTCTTATCACTCTTAATGCTGGGGTAAAACTTTAAATCCTACATTAGTAGAAACTGTTGAAACTTTCTTTGCATTTGTTTTCATTTACTATAAAGACATATTCTTGACCCTAAGCAATCTCCTTCTGTAATCCAGATGTTCATTCATTTAGCTGGTTCTTTGAAAATTGGAACATTTTCCCTGAGGAACAGTTTTAGGTTATAAGTGGTGACTAGAGTTTATAATTTTAAAAATATGGCTGGGCGCGGTGGCTCATGCCTGTAATCCCAGCACTTTGGGAGGCCGAGGTCGGGGGATCACAAGGTCAGGAGATCAAAACCATCCTGGCCAACATGGTGAAACCCTGTCTCTACTAAAATACAAAAAATTAGCTGGGCATGGTGGTGCGCACCTGTAGTCCCAGCTACTCTGGAGGCTGAGGCAGAGGAATCGCTTGAACCTGGGAGGCAGAGGTTGCAGTAAGCTGAGATCGTGCCACTGCACTCCAGCCTGGTGACAGAGCAAGACTCCATCTCAAAAAATATATACACACACACACACACACACACACACACACACACACACACCATATGATTGAGCCTTTACAGCACTAATTTTACTACATCTGTCTCCATAGTTTTGCCTTTTCCAGGATGTCATGTAGTTGGGAATTATACAGTATGTATCCTTTTCATGTTGTCTTCTTCTACTTAGTAATATGTATTTAGTTCCCCTTATGTCTTTTCATGGCTTAGATAGCTCATTTCTTTTTAGCGCTAAATTCCATTGTCTGGATGTACCTTGTTCATTCATCTTCCAAATTTCCTGCTATGTTCTGCTTTAGCTGTGTCCCATTAGTTCTGCTATGTTGTGTCTTCATTTTCATTCATCTCAGAGTATTTTCTGATTTCCATTTTGATTTTTTCTTTGGCTTATTGGTTTTTAGGAGTGTGTTGTTTAATTTGCACATATTTGTGAATTTCCCCCAATTTTTCCTGTTACACATTTTGAATTTCATTCTATTGTGGTTGGAGAACATATTTTATATTTTTTCTGTTCTTTTAAATTTATGGAGGTTTGTTGCATGCCTAGCATGTAGACTGTTCTGGAGAATATTACACGTGCACTTGAGAATAATGTCACTCATTGTTTTTAGATGGAGTGTTCTATAGATGTCTTTTAGGTATGGTTGACTTACCATATTGTTCAGGTCTTCTACTTCTTGATCTTCTGCCTGGTTGCTCTATATATTATCGAAAATGAGATATTGATGTCCTCAGCAGTTGTTATTGAATTGCCTATTTCTTCAATCTTTTCTGTCAGTTTTTGCTTTATGTATTTTGGTTCTCTGTTGCTAGATGCATATATGTTTATACCTGTTACATCTTCCTGATTGATTCACCCATTTATCATTATAAAATGCACCTCTTATCTCTCGTAACACTTAATTTTAAGACCTATTTTGTGTATTAGTATAGCCATTTCACTTTTCTGTAGTTGCTGTTTGCATGACACATATTTTTTCATTCTTTTACTTTCAGTCTACTTAGTGTCTTTGCATTTAAAGTGTATCTCCTGTAGACAACATATTCTGAGTGGGATATTTTTTTTTTTTAAAGATTGAGTCTTGCTCTGTCACCAGGCTGGAGTGCAGTGGTGTGATCTCAGCTCACTGCAACCTCTGCCTCCTGGGTTCAAGCGATTCTCCTGTCTCAGCCTCCCGAATAGCTGGGACTACAGGCATGTGTCGCCATGTCCAGCTAATTTTTGTATTTTTAGTAGAGACAGGGTTTCACCATGTTGGCCAGGATGGTCTTGATCTCTTGACCTCGTGATGCGCCCGCCTCGGCCTCCCAAAGTGCTGGGATTATAGGTGTGACACCGCGCCTGGCCTGTATTTTTAAAATTAGTCTAACAATCTCTGCCTTTTGATTGGGCTGTTTAATCCATTTATGTTGTTTAATCCATTTACATTTAATTTTGTCACTGATATAGTTGAATTTATGTTGGCCATTTTGCTTTTTGCTTTCTGGATGTCTCATATTCTTTTTGTTCCTCTGTTTCTCTTTTACTGCTTTCTTTTGCATTTAACACATATTTTGCAGTGTAGCATTTTACTTTTTTTTTTTTTTTTTGAGACAAGGTCTCACTGTGTTGAGCAGGCTGGGTACAGTGGAGTGATCATGGCTCACAGCAGCCTCGACCTCATTGGCTCAATTGATCCTCCCACCTCAGCCTTGTGAGTAGCTGGGACTTAGAGGTGCGTGCCACCACACCCTGCTGATTTTTGTATCCGGTTACTTTTAAAATCACCTAAGAAGGAAGGAGGCAAAATATGTATTTACAGTATCTTTTGTTATTAACTAATTACCTTTACCAGTTCTCTTTCTTTGTTCATGTGGATTTGAAATACTCTCTGGGGTCGGCTGTTTTCAGCACAAAAAAACTTCCTTTAGTATTTCTAGTAAGGTGGGTCTGCTAGATACTCTCATTTTTTTATCTGGGACAGTCTTTATTTAGTCTTCATTATTGAGAGTTTTACTGAATACAGGAATCTTGATCGACAGTTGTTTTCTCTTTGAGCACTTTGAATATGTCATCCCACTGCTTTCTGGCTTCCATTGTTTCTTCTGAGAATTCAGCTGTTAATCTTACTGGGGTTTTCTTTGCATGTGGCATGTCATTATCCTCTTGCTGCTTGCAAGATTTCACCTTGTCTTTGAATTTCATTATGGCTTTTATGACTTCCTGTAGGACTGGGACAATAATTGAGCCTTTAATAGGCATTTTCATCTTTCTTTTAAGCCACCTGCTTTTGGATGCATGGTAATACCATTGAATTTCATGAGTCCATTGACTACTAAACTGAGCTCCTTGGCAGGAGGCCATGCTGTGCAGGAAATAATGGAAGCGAGAAAGGCATCTTTAGGTCCATGGATGGGGGTATGACAGGAGCTTTAGGTGCAGAGAAGGCAGACCTGAATCCAGAATAGGATCTGTATCTATTTCCATGAGGGCAAATCAGTATCTTTTTCATGATGGAATCAACCTGTCATCAGCTGGCTGGGCTGGTCCCCCAGGGAATGGTGCCATATTTGGGACTTGGCACTGGCCCTTGCTGTTGTGTGGTTGGCATCCAGCAGTGGTAGCAGCCGGATGAGTCTCATCTCAGGAAAGTGCATGGTGTTGAGTTTGTGTGTAAGCCTTCATCCCTGCTACCTGTCCACTCTGTGCGTTTTCCAACCCTGGAGGGACTGGAGAAGGAGGCTGGGTCACGTCCACAGGCAGGGCCTCTTGCCCGTCTGGTGACTGAAAGCCTTCTCCACTGTGGCTGCCTTATGGGCATTTCTTGGTACCTCTCCATCAGATCTCCTTATTATCAGTCTTGCCATTTCCACATCCCTGACCAGCTGACCAAGCTATTAGCCTCTGCCTATTGATTGGGGTGAACCCAACCTCATGGCCATGTCTCCTTCCACCCAAAGCGGTACCACCAGATGGACGGCCTCACCTCTGCTAACTGGGAAGAGCTCCCTTCCCCACTCACTGTGTGTGAGCCTCTCCTCTGGGTGGGGCTGTGATGCAGCAGATGTTCGCCCCTGGTTGTTGCCAGCATCCCATGCAGGCCCATCTACAAACCAAGGCTGTGTTTTTCATGGTAGTGGCTGCCGCCTGAGGTCATAGGTGTGGCTCACCCTCATAGGGAGAGATGGAGGAGCAGCAGGAGCAGTGACCATGGATGCTGAGCTGCCTGTGCTGCAGTGACTGGTTTACCCCTCACACCCCTTTCTCCTTTGTAGTGACTGTTCCCAGGCATTGCCTGGATTGCCACTGCATGGCTTTTCCATGGCTCCCTCCTCACCTCCCATTACTTCCCCAGAGAGGCCCTTCCCAGCCAGCCCTCCTGAGAGCACTCCATACATGCACCTCCCTTAGCACTGCTTACTGTGTTTCCCTGTGTGTCTCTTTAGGTCTTATTGCTAAATTGAAGGTGCCTTGTCTGTTTTCTTGTTTCCTGTCTGTCTCTCCAGTTAGAATGTAAGCTCCAAAGAGCAAGGAGCTTGTCTTCTTGTTACTGCTGTATCTTACACAGAGGAGGGCCTGGCATGTAGGAAGGGCTCACAGGTTCATGGAAGAATGAAAGTTCTAAATTCACACAAAAGTAAATATATTGACAATAGCAAGGAGGCAAGTAGATGATTTGAGATTTTGGTCTGTACAAATCCTTTCTAATAGTTTGGACTCATGAACATTTAAATTTTGCTTGTAGTTATTTTAAATGTTTTTTACTTTGAAGTTCTTGATTACAATAACTAAATTTCAAGGAAAACTTCTGCAGATAGTAAGTTTTGATAGGAGAAAGTATTGGGAGTCAAAAGGCTTAAGTCCCCTGAATGACCATGGGGCCTTGGATGTTTTCTCATCTTTTTGGGCTTCGTGTTTTCTTATGTAAAATAAGGAACATTACATTGGATGACCTGTAAGAGCCTTTCAGGATTAAAAGCCTGTAATATTAGGATTTTAGAGAAGCAATAGCTGTTATTAGCCTTCATTAATATTTGTGCACATCACATTTTTAACAGGAACAAGGCTTGGTCGGGGGCCCAGTTTGTGTTGGAGCGAAGCAGTGTGTTGGTGTTTTTGCCAGGTAAGAACATCATAATTTTGTGACTTGGAATCATAATACTCTGGAGAGAGGCTAAGTTTGTGCCTAACACAGATTATGAAAGATGGTATTCTCCATAGGACTTTATTCTTTTTACACTTTGAGTATGTGAACAAATGTAACTTTCAGTTTGGCTTTTTATTGTAACCCTTGCATTTCTTTTTTTTTTCCTTTTCCTTTTCCTTTTTCTAGATGGAGTCTTGCTCTGTTGCTAGGCTGGAGTGCAGTGGCACGATCTTGGCTCACTGCAACCTCTGCCTCCCCGGTTCCAGTGATTCTCCTGCCTCAGCTTCCCGAGTAGCTGGGACTACAGGTGCACGCCACCACGCCCGGCTTATTTTTGTATTTTTAGTAGAGATGAGCTTTCACCATGTTGGCCAGGATGGTCTCGATCTCTTGACCTTGTGATCTGCCCGCTGTGGCCTCCCAAAGTGCTGGAATTACAGATGTGAGCCACTGTGCCCGGCCAACCCTTGTATTTCTAAAAAAGATTTCTTATTAATAATTAAGAGTTCAATTTTTTTTTTTTTTTGGAGACAGAGTCTCACTCTGTTGCCCAGGCAGGGGTACAGTGGCAAAATCTTAGCTCACTGCAACCTCTGCCTCCTGGGTTCAAGTGATTCTCCTGCCTAAGCCTCCGAAGTAGCTGGGATTACAGACACGCGCCACCATGCTTGTCTAGAGTTCAGCTTTTTGAAGGCAGTTTTGCCACCTTCGAAATTTCCAGTAAAATATTTGGCTTTGTGAAATTTGCATTTTACATATGTCGTTATAAATGTGAGGTAACTGTCATCAGTTTGCATTGAAAGCTTATTTAGTAATAGTAAAACACACTGTTATTATAACACCGTGAGAATCATCAGGGTAATCCTTGAGTTCCCTTCTCAGTGTTTGAGAAAACAGACTTTTAAAATACCTTTCTGAAAAGATGAATTTATGTTAAATTGTACTTTTTCAAAATTACTTGATGTTTAATTCAAGTGGTATAGCTTGATGAAACATTATGACAATAATTCAAATATTTTCTGTTGTAATATATAGAGCATAAACAGATTTGTTCTTAAAATAATGGAGAATGAAAAACATGCAATGAAAGTAGCTTACTTAATTTTGGAATGCAACATATGAGTTTCAAACTTTTGTCATGTTTTGCTTAGCTGATAAGGATTTGTTTACATGCAGGGAACAACCATGAGCTGACAGTGGGGTGGTGTTGCATGTGCCTTGGTGAATATTTATCAGATGACTTCTGTGTGCATCATATTGTATTAAGGGGAAAACATCACCCAAGTAGAGCCATGTTGATACTGGCTTAAGAACACCTAACATGGGCCGGGCACAGTGCTCACGCCTGGAATCCCAGCACTTTGGGAGGCCGAGGCTTAAGAACACCTAACACGGACGGGCGTGGGGGCTCATGCCTGGAATCCCAGCACTTTGGGAGGCTGAGGTGGGTGGATCACGAGGTCAGGAGATCGAGACCATCCTGGCTAACATGGTGAAACCTCATCTTTACTGAAAATACAAAAAAAATTAGCCGGGCATGGTGGCGGGCACCTGTGGTCCCAGCTATTCGGAAGGCTGAGGCAGGAGAATGGCATGAACCTGGGAGGCGGAGCTTGCAGTGAGCCGAGATCACGCCACTGCACTCCAGCCTGGGAGAAAGAGCGAGACTCCATCTCAAAAAAAAAAAAAAAAAAAAAGAATACCTAACATGAGATAAATACTCTATTTTATTTATTTTTTAAGAAAGGGTCTTGCTGTGTTCCCCAGGCTGGAGTACAGTGGTGTGACCCCGATCACTGCAGCCTCTACCTTCTGGGCTGAAGTGATATTTCCACCTCAGCCTCCCAAGTAGCTGGGACTGCAGGCATGCACCCCCATGCCTGGCCAAATTTTTTTTTTTTTGGTATCTTTTTGTGGAGACGGTTTAACTAGCTTGCACAGGCTAGTCTCGAACTGCTAGGCTCAAGTGATCTCCATGAAGTGATCCACCTGCCTCAGCCTCCCAAAGTGTTGGGATTGCAGGTGTGAGCCACTGCTCCTGGCTGGTAAATACTTTTTACCTGCTAAACATTGCCTGAAGAAAATATTTATAAGTGATATTTTACATTTAGGGTTACTGTCCTTTTAATATGTTCATGTGAATTCAAGTTTGATAGATGTTTATGTGTCAATTGATCTTTTGTGAACAGTTCTATAGTAGTTTTCCAGGACTGCTGTAACAAAGTGCCACAAGCTAAATGCCTTAAAAGAACAGTCATTTATTCTCTCCCTGTTTTGGAGGCTAGATGTTCAAAATCGAGTTGTCAGCAGGGCCATGCTCTTTCTGAGCCTCTTCCTCTTTCCAGCTCCTGGTAGTGGCCGTCAGTCCCTAGTGCTCCTTGACCTGTGGCTACATCACTCCTGTCTCTGTTGTCACATGGCATTCTCTGTTTGTGCCTCTTCCCTTCTTGTATGGATACCAGTCATTTTGGATTAAGGGCTCACCCCATTCCAGTATAACTTCATCTTAACTAATTACATCTGCAATGACTCTATTTCCAAATAACACCACCTTCCGCATTCTGGGGTTAGGACTTCAATACGTCTTTTTAGGGGACACAGTTCAACCCATAACAGACTCAGATTTGAGAATCAGGATGAGGCAAAAGCACCTGCTAGCTTAGCTTTCAGCAAACAGGACGGAGGCCTGATGGAAATGGTTTAGCACATCCTCATGACCAAAACTTTACAAATGTTATTTTTTGATTGTAAAGATTTTGCATGCTCATTATAGAAAATTTAGAAAATCTGGGGGTAAAAAAGGAATACAAAAATTACTCATATAGCTAACACCCACAGGGAGTCACTGCTGTGTAAAGGAAAACTGGAATAATAGGGTTTTTCCCTATATTTTTGAGTTACTACTAATCAATGTCACTGTGTACTTTTACTTGTGTTTCTGGCATATTTAGGCAAAGAGGATAAAGAAGTCAAATAAATTGGTAGGGCCTTCTTTGAAAGATATGCCATTTTAATTTAAAGGTTGGTTTCTAGCAGTAAATACAAACATGTTTATTTCCCTCCTCCACTTTTTTCTTCCCTAGGTCTGGGTGAAATAAATTATATGCATGAACTTCTCACAAGCCTGGTTCATAAAAGGTATGTTGAAAATGATACAGCTGTATTCTTCTAAGCCATTGCATTGTTTCTGCCTTAAATTATCTCAGTATTTATTTTTGTATCTCATGTATATCTATTCTTTATGGAGATTTTATTTTAGTAATTTCTTAGGTTGCAGGTCTATCCACTCCATTCAAGTGTGGCTTTAGAAGAACAGAATAATGTCTTTTTAAGTCCAGTCCCTGGGTACAGAAAGGTAGGAAAACTGGGAAGACAAGTTCTAAGCACTTTAGGTAAATTTTCCTTAGAGACTCTACTCATGAAAAATATTTTCTGGGTGTCGTGGCTCATGCGTGTGTTTCCAGCACTGTGAGAGGCTGAGGTGGGTGAATCATTTGAGCTCAGGAATTTGAGACCAGCCTCATGGCGAAACCCCATCTCTACAAAAAATATAAAAATTACCTGAGTGCAGTGGCATGCACCTGTAGTCCCAGCTACTTGGGAGGCTGAGGTGGGAGACTTGTGCCTGGGAGGTGGAGGCTGCAGTGACCCGAGATCACACTGGTGCACTCCAGCCTGGGTGACAGAACAAGACTGTCTCAAAACAAAAAAAAAAAAGAAAAAAAAATCACATTTCAGCAGTGTGTTCTGTAGTTAGTGGTTACTCACTTAAACAAATATTTACCTAATGAGCCAGGTATGTTGTTTAGTTTTGTGTTTTATTTTGTAAATCAGTTTGCTAAAAAGCTAAGATTTTTTGTTTTCTCAATTCAGGAATTCTGGTGCCTTTTAATTCTTCTTTAGCATTTCTTTAACTTTGGGACTGTTCTCGTGTCCTTGAAACCACTCTGGTGACTCTGGTTAGAAGCCATATTCTAGGTCCTGCTTCAGGAGGATTTCTTTATCTCAGATTATGTGTGAATGATGGAGTTGTTTTAACAAGACCCTTCTAGAGCTGCTTGAGGTGATCAGGGGGCCTGAGTTGACAACGTCGCCCCCCTTGATTGCTTTGGAATCTCTAGGAGCAGCCTTGGGTGGTATTCTAGGGCAAGTACAGGCAACAACCCTTCTTCTAGAAACCTGGTTGTGCCCCTGGGCAATTCCAGGACCCCTCTCCACCCCACCAAAGTTACCACACCAGAAGTCAGGAATAGCTCCCTTTGCCCGTGTCTTGTCTGCCTGTGTTAAAGCCTTTGCTGTGTTGTATGTGGCTGGTTTCCATTCATCAGGGGCTTCTTGATCAATTGTGATGTGTATAAAATAGAAAAATGGCTAATTTTGAAACCTGAGTTCAGTATTTACATTCAGAAGCTTTAAAATAATTTTTGCATTTTTGTAAACTTTGCCTAATGATGTTCGGAATATAGTAGGAATGTCAGCTTTTTTCTTTGATGTTTAACAGATTATTCTGTCCACCAATATTGCAGAGAGTTCTGTCACAGTTCCAGATGTCAAATATGGTAAGATACTTCTCCGTTTACCTCCTGGCATTAGCTGTAGTGCCATATTTATTGGCTTATTCACCTCACTCAGGAATTGTTCTTCTCTTCCTTCCCATCTCCTCCCGTTTTGGAACACAGAATTGAGAAAAGTAGGTTTACGTAGTTTCTCCCATACTCTCAGTTCACCACCACCTCCTCTGAGTGTACCTGTTTCATCCTTTAGGGCAAGCTGGCTCGTCGGAAGTGTTTGGGGTGTTCCACTGGGCCTTGTGGGAAACAGCTTCGGGGCTGCCAGGTGGAGTTCTGTGACTGGAGGGAGGCAGATGTGGGGAGGAGCTCAGGCCATCTCAGCTCTGAAGGTTGCTTGGCAGGACACCATGTCAACTCTGGAGCAGCCCACTTTGTCATCTCATCTTCCACATATGTGTCTGTAATTACTTTGTGAGATTGCTTCATCAATGAGTTTTCTAAATTCATTAATTTATATTTGAAAACCTAACACATGTGTCGGGCACTGTTCTCAGTGCTGGCAGTACAGTGGTGAGTAAGACAAAGTCCAGTCCTCATGGCTGCTACGTTCTGGTGGGAGAGAGAGATGCTTAGCAGGTAAAAAGGTTTTATAATTTCAGGTACAGGTCAATGTTGTGTAGGAAAATAAATCAGGGGAAGGGGTACAGTTATTGGGAAAAATGATCTTTCAGATAGGATCTTTCAGATAGGAATTACCTCTTTGAGGAAGTGACATTTTAATAGAGACCTGGATTAAATGAGGAGCGAGCTATGCAAAAAGGTGGCTGGGGTGTAGGGAACGGGTTTGAGGAGCAGCACACGGCCAGTGTGGCTGGAATGGGTAAACCAGGGCAGATGATAATGAGCAGGTGTTTTGTCTTTGTACCAGCGAAATAGCAGTAAGCAAAATAGACAAAAAGCCTTTGTTCTCATGACACATTCGGGGTGGGTAGATAAGTACAGATATGGAGTAAGTTACATGATGGTGAGTGTATGAAGAAAAAGGGGTTATTGGGTAGGGAGTGTCAGGGAAGCACCATTGAGATTGCAGGTGGAGTGATCAGGGAATGTGACAAGTCACATCCTGAAGGAGGTTAGGGAGGGAGTCGGGTCCATACCTGGCAAAAGAGTGTTTGGGGTAGGAGAAGGCAAGAGTGTGCTTGATGGTTGTGAAACAGCACCATCAAGCAAGGAGGCCAGGGCAGCTGGACCAGTGTGAACGAAGGGGAAACGAGCCAGAAGAGAGGCCTGGGGGTAGCAGGGGCCATGCAGGGCCCATAGGACCTGGTACAACCTTGCTGTGCTGGGCAAGATGGAAAATCGTTGGTAGGTTTTGAAAACAGAAATGACATAACCTGAAGTTCACTTAACAGGATTTCTCTGGGAATAGACTAGAATGAGGCAAAGGAGAGAAAAGGAAGAGACTTAGGAGGGTGTCACAAGAATCTAGGCGACAATGGGTGGTGCTTAGAAAAGGACAGCAGCGGTAGGGGACAGGAGGTGGGGGTAGATCCCAGGGAGATTCTGAAGGCAGAGCTGGGGAGGATGTGCTGAGGTCTCTGATGGAGAAATTGTGAGAGACACATTTGGTCGGCCTCTAGACATGTGGCCTGAGAGACTGGGAGGATGGAGGCTCCTGCGAGATGGTGAAGGCTGTGGAAGGAGCAGGGTGGGGCAGGTGAGGAGCTGGGATTCGGGCTGAGACGTGCTAGATGTTCAGGTGGAGGTGTCATGGAAGCATCTGGCTGTGTGAGCCTGGAGACCAGGGCCAGGGAGCAGCTGGCGGGGGCGTCAGCCCGTGACTGGCGTTGGAAGGCAGGAACCTGGCCAAGCTCTTCTGGGAGTGCACAGAGGGAGGGTGGCCCCGGTGTGTAAAGGTGGGCAGTAAGAGCAGAGGGGCCTCCAGGGCAGTGGGAAGAAAGCCAGTGAACACAGAGGCCTAGACACCCAGTGGGAAAAGGGTCTTGAGGGGATGGAGTGGAGGAGTGCATCAGATGCCCATGGCGGGTCAAGGAGGACCTCCCAACGGGGCTGTTGTCAGTGACCTTGACAAGAGCAGCTTTGGTGGAAGCAAGCGTCTGCTTGGAGTGGGCTCAAGAAAGGATGGGAAGAAATGAACAAAGAACCGGTGGCGGCACACAACACTCCACAGGTGCTTTGCTGTAGGGGAGCAGAGGAAATGGGGCAGTAAGTGAAGGGGTGGCCCAAGGGAGTGAGTGTTGCTGATGGGAGATCCCCAGTGCTTTGCCTGTGTGAGGGGGAAAGGTGTGGTGGAGGGGAGGAGGCAGGCCACAGATGAGGATACTAAAGCGCAGAGACACTCGGCAGCTTATCCAGCCAGGCACACCCACATGCACACTTCTACCCACCCACCCACCCACGCGTACAGATGCACAGATACACACACCCATCCAGACACACACATACCCAGACACCCAGATCCACCCACAGGCACACACAGACGCGGGATTTGAATTCTGGCAGTCCCTTGCATCAGCTGCTCTTCTGTACTGCTGTTGTAATGATGCTCTTTTGGAGAACGTTACTCTTTCGGGTGCAGTCCAGGTAGGCCTTTTTATGACACGTTGGGTCTTACGGGTTATGCATTCTTTACACCTAGAGACTCCCTGTACTCAGCAAGAAAGGATGGGACCAGCAACTCCCCATCCTGGGCGGGAGTGGTCGGTGCGTGGCCAAACGTTTCTGCCTGTTCACTAATTCTTAAGGCTGCATGTTTCAAATGGCTTTATCACTATGCATTGTGATTTATTATGCAATGATCTCTTATTAGCATGGTGTTTACAGTCCTTTTTTTTAAATGGCAGTTATAGATTTTTGTTTGACTAGAACTTTGGTCTGTGATGAAGATACAAATTATCAGAGTCTGCGATTGAGTTGGGCTTCTAAAACCAGCTGTAATCAGAGAAAAGGTAAGACATTTGTGTTAAAGCACAATAATGAGTCATTGGTGACACAGTGGCACATTCAGGTGCTTTTTTTTTTTTTTTCTCTGAGACGGAGTCTTGCTCTGTCGCCCAGGCTGGAAGGCAGTGGCGCGATCTCGGTTCACTGCAAGCTCCGCTTCCCGGGTTCTTGCCATTCTCCTGCCTCAGCCTCCCGAGTTGCTGGGACTACAGGCGCCTGCCACCACGCCTGGCTAATTTTTTGTATTTTTTAGTAGAGACGGGGTTTCGCCGTGTTAGCCAGGATGGTCTTGATCTCCTGACTTTGTGATCCACCCGCTTCAGCCTCCCAAAGTGCTGGGATTACAGGCGTGAGCCACCGTGCCCGGCCATTCAGATGCTTTTCTAAAAAATTCATTTTTTGCACTTTTTACTTAGATATTTCCTTTCTTGGAACGAGTTTTAAGTTTTTAGCAATGGCTTCTCATATTGTCAGAGTGTCCATTTAAATCCATGCTTCTCCTCTCTTCTAATGTATGAGGTCTTTGTACATAATGGATAAACCCCATCATCCTGACACTATGTTTTTTTCTTAAAGTTAAGTTAAAAAATTATTGGTGAAGAACTATGGACACCAAGTGGATCACTTCAGTAATTTTTGATGATTTGATTTCTGTTTAACTTTGATCTTCCTAGGGTTAGTTTTCCTAAAGTGGTTCTGCAGAGAGTTCTGGATTTGCTGCATCAGCCACATGTATCACTGGGCAGAGATGAGGGTGTGTGGGGTCACTTTTGGGGTCTTGGGATGCTTCAACTACAGTGGAGGTATATTCATGACATACCTGGGACAGGTTAAGATCACCTGTGGCAAGAACTGATTTTACAGGACAGCATTCTCAGTGCAGACTGAGAAGTGGCTTTTTTTTTTGTTTGTTTTTTAGAAAACCTTTTGGGAAGGGTAGATAAAAGACCATTTCAAGAATACTAAAATACTAAATACACCCCCCAAAATAATAAAGGCAACATTGATTGAATATTTACCATATGCCAGACATTCTTCTAAGTATTTATTAACTCATTTAATCTTCCTAACAACCCTGTGAGGTAACGTACATGGTGTGTTAATTAAGATTTCCCATTTCTTAGTGAAGCAGTTAGCTGAGAGGCACAGAAATAGTAACTTGCTCAAGGTTATAGTAGGAAGTGGTGGGAATGAGGTTTGAACCCAGAAATCTGGCTTTGGTCTACATTCTTAACCTTTTTGTTATATCACCTCTCCTGAAATGACTTGCCTAGAGAGGGGTTAAGAGAATGACTAAGCAGCTGTTAAAATAGGGTCACAGAGGCCAGGTGCGGTGACTTACACCTGTAATCCCAGCACTTTGGGAGACTGAGGCGGGTAGATGCCTGAGCTTAGGAGTTCGAGACCGGCCTGGACAACATGGCAAAACTCTGTCTCTACCAAAAACACAAAAAATTAGCTGGGTGTGGTGGCTCATACCTGTGGTCCCAGCTACTCAGGAGAGTGAAGTGGGAGGATCACTTGAGCCTGGGAGGTAGAGGTTGAAGTGAGCTGAGATCGCACACACTGTACTCCAGCCTAGGTGACAGAATGAGAGCCCCGTCTCAAAAAAAAAAAAAAAAAAAAAAGTCACAGAGGTTCTCATCACTTTGGAAAAAACTTAAGTATTGTTATAAAGTGAAGAGAAAAAAGGATATTAAACTGTAAACACCTCACTATGTTTAACCACCTCTCCCCTCAAACTTTCTAAAAAACTATGCTTAAAAAATGACTAGAAATAGCTGGGTGTGGTGGCTTGTGCCTGTAATCCCAGCACTTCGGGAGGCTGAGGCTGGTGGATCATTTGAGGTCAGGAGTTCAAGACCAGCCTGGCCAACATGGTGAAACCCTGTCTCTACTAAAAATACAAAAATTTGCTGAGTGTGGTGGCACACACCTGTAATCCCAACTACTTGGGAGGCTGAGTTACGAGAATTGCTTGAACCTGGGAGGTGGAGGTTGCAGTGAGCCTAGATCACGCCACTGCACTCCAGCCTGGGCAACAGAGCAAGACTGTGTCTCAAAAAAAACAAAAACCTCAATAAAAAGTGACTAGAAATAAATATACAAAGATGTTAAAAGTGATTATCTTTGGGTCAGTCTTGGGATTATAGGAGTTTTGTCTACCTTTTTGTATATTCAAAATTTCTATAATTAGATATTTATTATAAAATTTCTTCCTCTATAAGATATTGCAAAAATAGCACATAGAATCCTTTGAATCCTTCTCTTATCTTCCCCTGGAGTAGGACATCTTTATAAGTACAGTCAACCAGGAAATTGACATAGTGTAACACTGTTAGACTATACACCTTGTTTCACAATTTTACCTGTACTGTGTGTATGGTTCTGTGCAGTTTGATCCCATGTGTAAGTTTGTGTAACCACTACTATGATCAGAGCACAGAACTGTCCTGTCCCACTGCTATGCAGGGGTGGCCCTGTGCTGCCCCCTTGCAGCCATACCTGCCCCTAACACTCTGTCTGTCAACTGGTGACCCGTCTTCATCTCTGCAGCTTCGTAATTTCCGGGATGTTAGATAAATGGAATCATACAGTATGTAACCTTTTGAAATTAGCTTTTTCCACTTACCATAGTGTTCTTAGGAGCCATCTAAGCCAATACAAGCTGCACGTAGCAGTGGCTCATTCCTTTTTATTACTAAGTAGTACTCCACTGAACATTTACCTGTTTAAGGACATTTGAGGTTTTTCCAATTCTTGCCGTGTAAATAAAACAGCTGTGAATATTCATGTACAGGTTTTTGTGTGGCCATAAGTTTTCATTTCTCTGGTATAAAAACCCAAGAATATAGTTACTGGGTCATGTGGTAAATCTATGTTTAGTTTCTTTTGTTTTGTTTTGACACGGAGTCTCACTCTGTCGCTGGGCTGGAGTGCAACGACGTGATCTCGGCTCACTGCAACCTTCACCTTCTGGGTTTAAGCAATTCTCCTGCCTCAGCCTCCCGAGTAGCTGGGACTACAGGCATGCCCCACCACGCCCAGCTAATTTTTGTATTTTTAGTAGAGATGGGGTTTCACCATGTTGGCCAGGACGGTCTCCATCTCTTGACCTCGTGATCTGCCTGCCTAGGCTTCCCAAAGTGCTGGGATTACAGGCATGAGCCACTGTGCCCGGCCTATGTTTAGTTTTATAAGGAACTACTGTAAACTCTTTCCATGGTGGCTGTGTCATTTTACATTCCATGAGCAATGTGTGAGATCTGTTTTTTCCGTATCTTTGCCAGCACCACTGTTAAAAGAAAAATTTTGGCCAGACACAGTGGCTCATGCCTGTAATCCCAGCACTTTGGGAGGGTGAGGTGGGCAGACTGCTTGAGCCCAGGAGTTTGAGATCAGCTTGGGCAACATGGCAAAACCCTATCTCTATAAAAAATACAAAAATTAGTCAACCATGATGGCATGCGCCTGTACTCCCAGCTACTCAGTAGGGTGAGGTGGGAGGATAGATTGAGCCTGGGAGGTCAATGCAGTTGAGCCATGATTGCGCCACTGCACTCCAGCCTGGGTGACAGAGTGAGATGCTGTTTCAAAAAAAAAAAAAAAAAAAAGAAAAAAATTTTAGACAAATTAAATTTAACAGAGTTTTAAAGAACAATTTGCAAATTGGTCTGCCCCTGAACTGGAAGAGGTTTAGAGAGACTCTGGTGCTGTTGCGTGGTCAAGGAAGATTTATGAACAGAAAAAGGAAAGTGACGTGTAGAAAATGGAAGTGAGGTACAGAAATGGCCGAATTGACTACACCTGGGCATTGGTCCTCTTTGAATGTGGTTTGAGCAGTTGGTTGCCTTTGATTGGCTGAAACCCGGTGATTGGCATAAGAGTGGGTTATAGTCTTTTTACATATCTAGTTAGGTTATAGTTTACTATATGCAGAGAGACTTTTAGGCTGAACTTAAAATATGTAAGGAGGCATCTTTAGGCTAACCTTTTTTCTTTTCTTTTCTTTTTTTTTTTTCTTTTTGAGACAGAGTCTTGATCTATTGCCAGGCTGGAGTGCAGTGGCGTGATCTCGGCTCACTGCAGTCTCCACCTCCCAGGTTCAAGCAGTTCTCTGCTTCAGCCTCCCAGGTAGCTGGGACTACAGGCGCGCACCCCTATGCCTGTCTAATTTTTGTATTTTTAGTAGAGACAGGGTTTCACCATGTTGGCCAGGATGGTCTCCATCTCTTTACCTCGTGATCTGCCCGCCTCGGCCTCCCAAAGTGCTGGGATTACAGGTGTAGGCTAAACTTAATTTAACAACTTTCCCTTTTGGTCAACCTGTCAAGATTAAGAGGTTGACCAAAACCTTAGGCATTGATGTCACTTTGTCACCATTGTAAATGTGTTTATTTGGTCTCAGATCTCCCTGGGAAGAGATTGAGATTGGCTCAATCTCTTGAGCCAAGAGATTGAGACAGTGAGTTTTGTCAGGTGGGAACAAGGACTTTAAGTTATTTTTTTATAAGGGTTAGAGTAGCGGGGACCTCTTTATGTTGGGATTTTTTATTTTTATTAGTAGGAGAAAAAGACAACTTGGTCTGTTTTAGCATCTATCTTATGCCTTAATAAACAAAAGACAAAGGGTAGATTTAGATAAAAAATTTTAATAGTACCTTTGTTAATCCATAATCAGTCAGAAACAAAACATTGGTTCACCCCTCTTGACCTACATCATAGGTTAAAGAAAACATTGCCAAGAGGCCTTCACCCTTCTAGATAGATATCTTTTGTTAGGATCTAGATCCCCATAGGTGGGGAAAGAATGCTTTTTGGGTTGCCCCATTTCTTTTAAAGCTGCATTTTAAGACTCCCTCCTACCCCTCCCTTCACTCTCTCTCCTTGGACTATTTTATTATGTGTTAGGATAAAAGAGTTGCTACTTCATAGGTGATAGAGTCACAAGAGAGTAGTAGTTTGTGTCATGGTCTCTGTGGGCCAGCCTTGGTTCTGAACCTTCTGCTTGTTCCTCACTCGGTCACGTAATGCGGTGTGGCTGACAGCTGGGAGGGTGCTTTGCAGTGGGGCAAGGAGCTGTGGGAAGCACAGGGTGCTGAGACAGCTCCTCGATGGCATTGTAGGGCCTGTCGCCAACCTCGTGACTTTCTGTTATGTACTGTGCATTTTCAAGAAGGGTGTACTTGGTTTCTGTTGCATATTGGGCCAAGGTTGTTTTCTTCAGAAATATGCATTGGATTTTATAATATTGGTCACTGAATAGAAGTCAGCATTTAGTCTTGTTCTATTTATTCTAATTTTTTAGGATAGTCATTCTTATTTAGAATAATGTTTAAAATAATAACTTATTAAGAATACACTAATGTATTCTAAAGTTTTTACTGACATAGTCTGGTGGAAGATACTTAAGGCTTTGCTTAATTAATATTTAATGACTGTTTAAAAAGATACCTTCATGCTGATGTTAAAGTAATTAATGCCAAACACTGTTTGCACATCTCTCCTTTGAAGGCCGTGCTGGACGAGTGTCTAGAGGGTACTGTTACCGGCTGGTACACAAGGATTTCTGGGACAACTCCATCCCTGATCATGTTGTTCCTGAGATGTTGGTAATTCACTTTGGTCATTGTCAAAGTTTATTTATTTATTTATTTATTTATTTATTTATTTATGAGACGGAGTCTTGCACTGTTGTCTGGACTGGAGTGCACTGGCATGATCTTGGCTCACTGCAATCTGCCTCCCGGGTTTACGCGATTCTGCTGCCTCAGCCTCCCAAGTAGCTGGGATTACAGGCACACACCACCACGCCCAGCTAATTTTTTGTATTTTTAGTAGAGACAGGGTTTCACTGTGTTGGCCAGACTGATCTCGAACTCCTGACCTCGTGATCCGCCCGCCTTGGCCTCCCAAAGTGTCAAAGTTAATTTTTTGTAGATAGTTTTGCCAAATAGTCTAAGTGATATAATTTCTAGTGTCATCTAATTTTGATTCCAGAAAAATCCTTGTCTTGCCACATTCCCCCTCACTCACAATCTGGGCTCACTATTGATTACACATCAGGCTACTGTCTAGGGCGTTACCCACATTTTACAGTTTTAATGAGAGGATGTTTTCTGGTATCTATGGGCTCTATAATAGGATTGTCTTTAAATGCTGCTGTTTTCTATGTCCCTTTATAATGAGTAATTGTGGGATCAGCTTTTTTTCCTTCCTCTTTTCTGTGTCTCTCCCCTTCCTTTGTCCTCCTTCTTTTTTTTCTTCTTTCCCTCTCCCTGCTTTCTTGCTCTCCCACTTTTCAGTCCCTCTTTTCCTTCTCTTTTTTCTTCCTTCTCTCTCCCCATCTTTTTATTTTTCCATCTCTTTCTCTCCTGTTCTTTCTTCTTCTCTCTCCCTTCTCTTCTCTCCCTCCCTCAATCCTCTCCATTTTTCTTTCTTCTCTCCTCTCCTTCTCTCCTCCTCTTTCCCTCTGAAGCACTGGTTATGTGAATCGGCTAACTGATTTAGTTATGTTATTATTTCTAATCTCAGGCTTGTTTCTTTTCAGCGTTGTCCATTAGGAAGCACGATCTTGAAAGTGAAATTACTTGACATGGGTGAGCCGAGAGCTCTGCTGGCCACTGCCCTTTCCCCGCCTGGTCTGAGTGACATTGAGCGCACCATCCTTCTACTAAAGGAGGTAGGACTGCCTGCTGGTTAGTACTGTTGGCATCTGTAGAGCTGTGTTCTACTGTGGCTCCCTCAGTCTGTGCCTCACTTTCCCACTAACTCTGATCCTCCCGCCTCACTTTCCCGCTAACTCTGTTCCTCCTGCCTCACTTTCCCGCTAACTCTGTTCCTCCTGCCTCACTTTCCCGCTAACTCTGTTCCTCAGCCTCCTTCTGGCTTGCTTCATCCATTCCTGGAAACCCTGCTCTTCCTACTTGGGATTCTTTGACTGCACACCTGACTCATACTCTGCTCTTTGAACTTGTAACCGAGGCCTTGGTACAAGCTGTATCCTAGTGTACATACTGTGCTGGGGCTGTGGACGTTCTGCTTCTGACCTTCGAAGTTGAGGATGCTTCTGGTGTTTTACCTTCTTTATTATGATTGATTGATTGATTAACTGGGTCTTGCTCTGTTGCCTAGGCTGGAGCGCAGTGATGCAATCATGGCTTACTGCAGCCTCAAACACTGGGCTCAAGTGACCCTCCCACTGTGGCCTCCCAAGTAGCTGAGACTGAGGTGTGAGCCACCACACTTGGCTGCCTTTAAATATGATACCTCCTTGGGTTTCTATGAAATACACTGTGTCAAGTTAAGGAAGTTTTTCCCCATACATAGTTCAGTAAGGTTTTGTTGACAGTGACAGCTGGGAGATCCTTCACTTAGTACTGTGCATGCCATATTTGTTCAAGAGTGAGGTGAGTAGAATTCTGTGAAAGTCCTTTAGTGTTACCTCCCAGGATCATACTTTTAAAAAAAAAGTAAAATGTGTTCTAAGTTTCAAGGGAAAATTTAAAAAGTTTTTTTTGGTAACATATCAACCTTTCATAAATTGACTTAGAATGTTATTCACCAAAATTAGGTCTTTGTTTCCTGTTTTGGACTCTCCACCTTAAGGGGAAGAAGTATGAGTAAGTCAGTGCTTGATAATAACACTAATTTTATTTTATAAAGGTTGGAGCACTTGCAGTGAGTGGGCAGAGAGAAGATGAAAACCCCCATGATGGTGAATTGACCTTCTTAGGAAGAGTTTTAGCCCAACTTCCTGTAAATCAGCAACTTGGTAAACTCATAGTCCTTGGACATGTATTTGGATGTCTAGATGAATGTCTTATTATAGGTAAGTGTGAGAACAAATAAATGCTAATGGGAAGTTTATATAACACCACTCTCACAATCTTACATTCTTCTTGTTTATTTTTTATGGTTAGCGGCAGCTCTTTCTTTGAAGAATTTTTTTGCAATGCCTTTCCGGCAGCATCTCGATGGATATAGGTACTGAACATTCATATTTTAAAGTGTCACTGTATTTTAATGGTATTGAATGACACTGTTATCTGTTTATAGGAACAAAGTGAATTTCTCTGGCAGTAGCAAGAGTGACTGTATTGCACTTGTTGAGGCATTTAAAGTAAGTTTTCTGTTGTGTAAACCATGAAAGCAGCTACCACAGATTGTTAGTACATTTTCATACCACAAACATATGAGGTAGAGACAGACAATGTTTTATCTAGTGAAAGTATTATCAGGGTTATTGGTGTCCAGTGTTAAATTAACCGTGCTGGAAGAAGTGAGTGAGGTGGAAGTCCAATTTTATGAAATTGATTGAAAAAATTAAATTTGTAAATTTTTATGTTGTAAATTTTCAGGTTTGTTGAAATTGTACTTAAAAAAAATTCAGTGAGCCAACACATTATTTTGAAAGTTTGGATCCTTTATTTTCAGACATGGAAGGCTTGCAGACAGACAGGGGAGCTGCGGTACCCGAAGGTTGGTGAGCCCTTTCCTGCTGCTTTCTAGATGGCTGGGAGTAATGAGAGAAGGACTCTGTCTTGGTACAGTCATAGCGTGTGAATCATGACGGTGCCACCTGCGGCTGGAGTCGAGGTCACTGTCAGTGCTCGCACGGCTGTCCCAAGAGTGGCAGGCCATAATCTCCGCAGACTGGTCCTTTTGCTTCCATCGCTTCTCGGGAGGCCGCTTGCTCTCAGGCCTGTGCTGGAGCTGTGCTGCTTGTTTCATGGCTCCACATTGTACTGATCTTGCCATGGTGTCTGCAGCCTCTTTGGCTGTATTTCATAGCTGTGGGTACTGGGTTGGACGTGTCAGTTCAAAATTGAGGGCCATGTGGCTGCTGTTTCTGTTTTCAGCTCTTTTAGATAACGGGCTTAAAAGAAATGTAATCTGTTACCCTCCATTTTATTGTTTTTTTTTTTTGGTCAGGCTTTGCTGTTCTTCTAAACTTATTTGGTTCAACAGACTGTTTACAGGTCTGCCGTTTCTGTGTGGAGATTTGCTGTGCTTAGATATATCTCTACCAATACATATATGAGTTAGGTGTTTAAAGTCTTTTTTTTTTTTGAGACGGAGTCTCGGTCTGTCGCCCAGGCTGGAGTGCAGTGGCACGATCTTGGCTCACTGCAAGCTCTGTCTCCTGGGCTAACACCATTCTCCTGCTTCAGCCTCCCGAGCAGCTGGGACCACAGGTGCCCGCCACCACACCCAGCTACTTTTTTTGTATTTTTTAGTAGAGATGGGGTTTCACTGTGTTAGCTAGGGTGGTCTCGATCTCCTGACCTTGTGATCTGCCCGCCTCGGCCTCCCAAAGTGGTGGGATTACAGGCGTGAACCACCGCGCCTGGCTTAAAGTCTTTTAAAGGCTCAGCTGTAGTATTTTTCTTGTTGGTATATAATTTGTCAGACATCTTTTTTCAAGATAATCAAGTTATGTCTACCTTTAATTTTTGAGACAGGTGAACTCAGAAGAGTTTCTGTATTGTGTTTATGGTTGAGTATTACGCTCTCTGGCTTCAATGTAAAATTGGATGTACCTGGAGAGGGAGTGCCACTGTCAACTTGAGTAGCTCAGTAATTTACATTCATCATTAAATTTTTGGATGAAATATGTATTAAAGTAGCTAAATTCAGCTCTAATTTATTACCTTAATATTGAGTATTCTGCTTTTATATATTTAAAGGATGAACTTAATTGGGGACGGTTAAATTACATTCAAATCAAGAGAATTAGAGAGGTAAGTTAAGTTTTTTGACCAAATGGATGCAAATAAAGTTGACTTATGAAATATTTATTAAATGACAACAATATTTATTAAGTACGTGGGTAGTAATGAGTATTCCAAGAAGTGTATTTCCTGCCTGTTTCCAGCTTTAGTAGGAGTGTCTCTTGTGTTTTCACCTTTCAGTAGAACTACTTGGGTTTCTAATAAATACTCCTTTTCCAGTTAAGGAATGTATTTCCCCTATGTATACTTTAATGAGGAATGGTTGTGTCATCTTGTTGTATGTCTTTTCAGTATATGTCAGGATAAAGAGATTGGGTGTCGTGGCTCACACCTGTAGTCCCAGCTTCTGGGAAAGCTGAGGTGAGAGGTTTGCATGAGCCTGGGAGGCAGAGGCTTCAGTGAGCCGTGATCGCACCAATATATTCTAGCCTGGGTGACAGAGCGAGAGCCTGTCTTGAAAAAGAAAAAGATAAACATATGGTATTTTAATTTTTTACCCACTAATACAATCTTACATTGCTTAATGACAGGAATACATTCTGAGAAATGAGTAATTACATGGTTTTATCCTTGTGCAAACAGCATAGAACATACTTACACAGACCTAGATGGTATGGCCCACTACACGCCTAGGCTGTATAGTGTAGCCTATGGCTTCTAGGCTGCAAACCTGTACAGCATGTGACTGTATTGAACACTGTAGGCAATTACAACAAAATGGTAAGTATTTCTGTACCTAAACATAACTAAACATAGAAAAGGTGCGGTAAAAATATGGTTATAAAACAGGGTTTCCCAACACCTGGGCCATATTCTCCTTTTGAGAATATAACTAATACCAGATCTCAGGTGGAGCAGTTTCATCCTGAAACCATCCCCATCTACTCCGGCCTGTGGGAAAATTGTCTTTCATGAAACTGGTCCCTGGTGCTAAAAAGGTTAGGGATCACTGGTATAAAAGATAAAAATGGCATACCAATATAGGGAGCTTATGGTGAATGCAGATTGCAGGACTGGAAGTGGTTCTGGGTGAGTCAGTGAGTGAGTGGTGAGGGAATGTGAAGGCCCAGGACACCACTGCACATGACTGTAGACTATAAACAGTGCAGACTTGGGCTACACTAAGTTCATAAAAATTTTTAAAAAATTAATTGTAGCTTAATATAACTTTTTTTAACTTGATAAACTTTTTAATTAAAAAAAATTTTTGGCTCATATTAACACTTAGCTTAAAACACAAACATTGTACAGCTATGCAAAAATATTTTCTTTCTTTATATCCTTATTCTATAAGTTTTTATCTATTTCCTTATTTATTTGGTTTTTGAGCTAGGATCTCACTCTGTTGCCCAGGCTGGAGTGCAATGGCATGATCACAGCTCATAGAAGCCTTGACTTCCTGGGCTCAAGCAATTCTCCTGCCTCAGCCTCTGCAGTAGCTGGAACTACAGGCATATGTCACCACTCGTAATTTGTTTTTTCTTTCTTTCTTTTTTTTTTTTTTTTGAGATGGAGTCTTGCCCTGTCACCCAGGGTGGAGTGCAATGGCACAGTCTCGGCTCACTGTAACCTCTGCCTCCCGGGTTCAAACAATTCTCCTGCCTCAGCCTCCCGAGTAGCTGGGATTACAGGTGTGCGTCACCACGCTTGGCTACTTTTTTGTATTTTTAGTAGAGACAGGGTTTCACCATGTTGGCCAGGCTGGTCTTGAACTCCTGACCTTGTGATCTGCCTGCCTTGGCCTCTCAAAGTGTTGGGATTACAGGTGTGAGCCACTGTGCCTGTCCTAATTTTTTTTATTCTTTTATTTTTTTGTAGAGACAGGGTGTCACTTTGTAGCCCAGACTGGTTTTATCTATTTTAAAAAATAATTTTTATTTGTTAAACTTTTTTGTTAAAAACTAAGACACACATACACATTAGCCTAGGCGTACACAGAGTCAGGATCATCAGTATCACTGTCTTCCGCCTCCACATCTTGTCCACTGGAAGGTCATCAGGGGCAGTAACACATGGAGCTATCATCTCTTACAGTATAATAGTGCCTTCTCCTGGATACCTCCTGAAGGATACCTGCCTGAGACTGTTTTATAATTAACTTTGTTTGTTTCCTTTTTTTTTTTTTTTGCTACTTCTTTCAAGACATGTGAAGTTAATTTAAAAAAAAAATAGGAGTATATACTCTGAAATAATGATGGTATAGTATGATAAATCCATAAGCCAGTAACATAGTTACTATCATTATCAAGTACAGTCATCCCTTGGTATTCACTGGAGGGTTGGTTTCAGGACCCCTGTATACCAAAATTCACGAATACTCAAGTCTTACAGTTGGCCCTGTGGCGCCCATGTGAATAGTCGGCCTTCCATATACTCGGGCTTGCATCCCTCGAATACTGTATTTTTGATCCACATTTGGTTGAGAAAAACCTGCATATAAGTGGGCCCTCGCTGTTCAACCCCATGTTGTTCAGGGGTGAACTGAAATGTACTGTATGTGTTGTATGTGCTAGACTTTCATATGATTGGCAGCACAGTAGGTTTGTTTACACCAGCATCACTGCAGACACGTGAGTAAACGTGTTGCCCTACAACAGCTATGACGTGACCAGGCAACAGGAATTTTCTAGCTCTGTGACGGTCTTATGGGTCCACAGTTCTATACGTGTCCATGGTCAACTGAGACACTGCTATGTGGTGCATGACTTATACATGAATACATGATGGATTTCCCACTGTTGACCCAGCCACGTGTTCTTAGAATAAACTCTGCTTGTTTGTAATGTTTTCTCCCAAAACATTGCTCGGTTCTGATTGCCAATATTTTCTCTAGAATTTTTGCCTCTATATTTATAAGTGAAATTGGCCTCTGGTTTACGTGTGTGTGTGTGCATGTGTGCGCACATGCATGCACAATACTATGAGATGTTGTTATTGATACCACCCTGGTAGGATGAACATCTTTCTGTACCCAGGAACCATTTTAATCAACAGTTTAATAACTAGAAATGTATTTCTTACATATTTGATAGAACACATTCAAAAACACCTTTGGGATTAGTGCCTTTTTGAGGGATCAATTTTAAAAAAAATTTCAATACCCCTGGTAGTTACTGATCCATTCTGGATTCTAATTCTTCTGGAGTCATTTTTGATGAGTTACGTTTTTTCATTCAGGTACCCATTTAATCCAGATCATGAAGTTTATTGATGTATAGTTACACGTAATTTTCTTAATTTCAAATTCATGTCAACTGGTAACACCTTTCTTGTTCTTATTGTTGTGTATTTGTGTACTCTCATTGTTTCTTGATTATATTTGTATATTCAGGGAGTCCCCAAGACCATCCTCAGGTTCACTGATTGGCTAGAAGGACTCACAGAAGTAGAAAAGCTGTTATGCTTATGCTTATGATTTATTTTAGCCAAAGGATATGGATTAAAATCAGCAAAGGTTAAAAAAAAAAAGTGCATGGGAGGAGCCCTGGAGAGACCAGGTGCAGGCTACCAGGTGTCCTTTCCCAGTAGAGTCTTATGGACAGTGATTAATTCTCTCAGCAACAGTGTGCGATGACAGGCATGAAGTATTGCAACCAGGAAGCTCACCTGAGCCTTGGTGTCCTGGGTTTTTATTGAGCACTGGTTATGTAGGCCTAGAGTACCCATGTGACTGACTTTAGTTACTCAGTCTTCAGTCCCTCCAGAGGAAACTGTTACCCTCATGGCCCAAGGCCCCACCGTCAATCATATTCTAGCGTGAACTCTTTTGTGTGGCCCAAGGCCCCAGGTCAGCATGCATACTCTTATCCAGGAGGGTAAGAGTCCCTGGAGGCTTGGCAATGACCTTTCAGGAGCTGGGCCAGGGCCAAGCCTTTCTCTGGAATGTGCATGGTCTGGACAGCCAGGCCTGCTGGATTACTCCTTTACTGCAGAGTCTGCAAGATGCTTCCTTTGTGTTATTGTATTTTCAGAGAGCTTACTCTTAGTTTCATTTGTCAGTTTTCTTGTGTATGTTTTTTGGGAGGGAAGGAGTAGGTGTGGGATTCTAAATCATTGCTTTTTTTTTTTTTCCATTAATTTAGTTCTCCTTTGACTTTTAGTTTACTTCAGTCTTTCTGAAATTAGTATTTATTATTAATAATAATATTTTCAGTCTTTCTAATTAAAAGCATTTAAAGCTATGAATTTTATTATGAGCAGCTTTAGCCACCACATCCTATTGATTTTTGACATTCCTGTCTATAATTTCTTTTAGTGTTGGTTTCCTCTCTGACTAAAGAGTTTATTTTTATTTTTTAGAGACAGGGTCTTTGTCTCCCAGACTGGAATGCAGTGGCATAACCATAGCTCACTGCAGCCTCAAACTCCTGTGCTTAAGCAATCCTCCTGCCTCAGCCTCCTAAAGCTCTGAGAGGTGTGAACCACCGTGCCCAGCCCTGAAATGTTTTTAAATATCTTTTTGTTGTTGTTCATTTCTGATTTTATTGCATTTTAGTATAGAGAGTGGCATAGTCTTGGTTTTTACTTAGTTCACTTACATGTGATTACAGTCACATGAAACAGTTCCATCCCTCAGGGGTACAGAGGCGAGCATCTGAGTGTGCTCTCCCTTGCTTCCCATGTCCCAGGCTTTTCCTCCCTCCACAGAGATAGTGGCTGCTGAGTTTTTCTGTCCTTTCAATTCTTTTTAGTTGTTATTCCCCCCAGTTATGTTCACACTTGTGACTGTATTCTTTTTGTAATTGAGATACTTTTGTGGTGACTTAATTTATGATCAGTTCATAGGTATTTGGAGTTGTGTATTTTCATGTGTGTACATTAAAGTTTGACATTTTGTGTGAAACAGTTTTTATTACAACTGGATATTGATTTTATTTTCCTGTTCGGAGGGACTATTTGGCCATAGGTCACTTACTTTGTTTTTAATCACAAAAGCCGTACATGTTCATGGCAGAGGCTGGGACGTGTTTCAAGGATCTAAAGCAAGGCTGTGGTCATGGCTCTCTGCTATTCTGACCTCTGGGTGGGCACAGTTATGCGTTTGCATTGGTTCCCATCTCAGGGGTGTGTGTTTATAAACAGATCAGGGAGCATATATGATTTTGTATTCTGGTATTTTCTCTAAGTGTTATATTGTTCATCCTTAACATTACTTATTAATTAATTTCTAAGAAGATGATTCTTGCCAGGCATGGTGGCACACGCCTGTATTGCCGGTTGTTTGGGAGGCTGAGGCTGGAGGATCACTTGAGCGTAGGAGTTCTGGGCTGTAGTGCGCCATGCTGATTGGGTGTTGCATTAAACGCAACACTGATGTGGTAACCTCTTGGGAGCCAGGGACCACTGTGTTGCCTAAGGAGGGGTGAACCAGCCAAGTTGGAGCAGGTCAAAACTCCTGTGTTGATCCGTGTGGGATTGTGCCTGTGAATAGCCACTGCACTGTCTAGCCTGGGCAATATAGCAAGATCTTGCCTCTAAAAATAAATTTTAGGCCAGGCATGGTGGCTCACGCCTGTCATCCCAGCACCTTGGGGGGCCGAGGCAGGCGGATCATGAGGTCAGGAGATTGAGACCATCCTGGCTAACACGGTGAAACCCTGTCTCTACTAAAAATACAAAAAATTAGCTGGGCGTGGTGGTGGGTACCTGTAGGCCCAGCTACTCGGGAAGCTGAAGCAGGAGAATGGCGTGAACCTCGGAGGCAGAGCTTGCAGTGAACCAAGCTGTGATCGCGCCACTGCACTCCAGCCTGGACAACAGAGCGAGACTGTCTCAAAAAAAAAAAAAAAAAAAGATAATAATAATAAAAATTTTTAAGAGATTATTTCTTTTTTTTTTTGGAGACAGAATCTTACTCTGCCACCCAGGCTGTAGTACAGTGACACAATCTTGGCTCACTGCAACCGCTGCCCTCCAGTCTCAGGTGATCCTCCCATCTCAGCCTCCCAAGTAGCTGGGACTACAGGTCTGCGCCACCACGCCCAGCTAACTTTGTATTTTTTTTGTAGAGACTGGGTTTCGCCATGTTGCCCGGGCTGGTTTCAAACTCCTGAGTTCAAGTGATCTCCCAACCTTGGCCTCCCAAAGTGCTGGGATTAGAGGTGTGAGTCACCGTGCACAGCCAAAAGATGATTCTTAATTAGCTGCAGTGTTTCATTCTGTAGCTGTGTTTATACTTTACCCGTTGTGCACTTATTTTCTAGTGTTTTCACTGCTCTGATGACATATGTACCTTTGAGACATCAGATTTCAATGTATTTTTCTTAGGTGGCTGAATTATATGAAGAATTGAAGACTAGAATCTCACAGTTCAACATGCATGTTGATTCTCGGCGACCTGTCATGGACCAAGAGTATATATATAAGCAGCGATTCATCCTACAGGTGTGCTGAAGTTTCCTGGATATTTTTTTTCCTGATTCTTTCTGCTTACAAGGTCTTGTGGTCGAGAAACTGCTTATTCCTGCTTTCTGATACAAACCAAACCTCAAAGGAGATTTTAGGTCCATAGTGTTCATACTGCGTTTGGGAACCAGGAAACATTCTTCTTTCATAGTTTGCATTATTTGTTGAGTTGATGATTCACCTAGAGAGTATTTATTGTTTATTTATTAATATTTAATGGATTCAGACCCATTTCTAATTTCCAGGGGAGTGTTTCTATAGAGTACCTGTGTTATCACTGCTTCAGGAGAGATCCTTTTGTTTTAGCTTTTAAGAAAGTGAAGTGCTCTTTATATCGTTCAGTGTATATAGCTATTCCCCTACACTGAAAATATTATTTTAACTTTGGAGGCCATGGATTCAAATTACTAGTAGTTAGCTGGAATGTAGCGAGTGAGAAGTGTGTCCTGGCCAGTGGAGACTGCCTCTGCTGTAGGGTTTCCTAGAAGGGTTGGCTGATGCATACGGAATCAGGTTTGAGGTAGATGCCTATAAACCGGGTGTGCTGGAAATGTGCGAGTGTTTTCCTGGATGTAAAATTGCTCTAAGGCTGGGGGAGTCTTTGGTGGGTGTGTTTCAAACTGGTATGTTTTTATTGAAGAAGGGACTCTTTGCAGAGTGCATTTTAGAGGTGAATAGTGGATGCCAGCCTGCTGCCCTAAATCTGAGTGCTCCAATTGGAGTTTTATCTGAACATCTGAGAGTACCTTGCACATAGATGTGTGTGGGGAGAAGTGGAGAAAGTTGGCCGACCTTGGGGCTTTGTGTGTAGGATGGTTTATGTCCTTGTTCAACTTGCCACTGTTTCCCAAGCCTCATTCTGAGAAGTACTCAAGCTCTTTTGAAGAAAGATGTTTCTGTTAGGTGAAAAAAGTGTTTATTTTTTAGTGTTTCTGTTAGATGAAATTACCAGAATTGTGACTTTCTGCTTGGTTGGTGAAAGGTCTAGTTTTCCATACAAACGATAACCATCTTTTACATTTATGGATGTCATATCATGCTGGGTTGAGATTAGTATATTGGTGAGAATAACTGATAAAATAATGCTGTTACTTCATGAAAATAAATTTCTTTTTCAGGTTGTATTGGCAGGTGCTTTCTATCCAAATTACTTTACTTTTGGACAGCCGGATGAGGAGATGGCGGTGAGGGAGCTGGCTGGCAAGGACCCCAAGACAACTGTCGTGGTAGGTGCTGGGGGCAGGCCGTCCTCTCTGGGGTGTGGTGGGGCAGAACATTTTTGTTCTCTAATTGTTTCTATTCTTGTGAGTCCTAAGTGAATTTTCCCCTGGCGTGAATATTAGGCTTGTTTGGCCTTTTCAGGTGTATCTAGGCTTGTTTGGCCTTTTCATGTGTATCTACTTGTCCCTCAGTCTCTTGCCTCCTTTTACAGACCTGGCCTTATAAGGAAGCCTTGAGAGTTTATACGTTCAAGGTCAATGCTGATTTGATCATGTGCTATTTTGAAGGATTTAAGGCACTTACAAGTTTAAGAACATTTTCTTAATTCACAACTTCATTTCATACAAAATAAAATGTTATTGGTTGGCAGCTGAGTGCTGTGGCTTAAGCCAGTGACCCCCCGACCTGGATGCCCAACAGAACTACCTGGAGAGTGCTTATTTTATTTATATTCGTTGAAATTCAGATCTGAAGGCTCTGCGAGATCTGAGCTAGAAAGTATGCCCTAGAAATCAGCATTCAAGTAGTGTGTACTTTGGGCATATCTAATGATCAGCCACAGGCCCTGACCATTGAATCAGCGTTTGCAACCCAGTTGTTTAAAGCCCAGCAGCAGGGAGACTCACACTGGAAGAAAGCTGAGACTGGACTGTTTTGGATCACTTGGTTCCAGTATGTGCCTGTATCTGATAAGGCGGGGTGAGAAGCGCTTGAAGTTCCTTCGTGTCATATCGTAAGGGCTCAGTCATTGCCAGATTTTATCCTGGTTATTGTTACACCACCACTGTTAGTCCTGAAGAAATAAATAGCTCATAAGGAAAGGGCGCAGATGACTTGAGATTACAACTGGAGGTCTTTGATGAGCACCAAAAGGAGCTGGTGCTCTGGAGATGAGAGAGGCAGCTGAGATACACTTGATACCCGTGGAAGGGACTTTAAAAGGAAGTCATTAGTTTTTTATAGCTACTGAGGATCATTTGATTGGCACCTCTGCTCCTGCTGGCCATCAGGTTTGACTAAGCTCTTTGCTTGGCTTCCTCTCTCACCCCTCTGCCCCTTCGTGGTTTTCTTCCCTCAGCTGTGCGCAAGAGGAAGGGTTCTATAGGTCTCTTCCTCAGACGTCTAGTAGCTATGCCTGCATCCCTCGACCACAGAGAGCCTAGTCTGGGGGCCCAAAATTACCTAGTGTGTACATCATAAAAGCTCAATAATAGCTGGCTTTACTTAGCACTTGAGAGGCTGTGTGTTAGGTACTTTTCATTCTTCTCTGAGCCTCACTCCACCCTTTGAGTTGGGGATTTCTCATGTCATTCTTATTTCATGATGTGGCAGTTGGGTCTCAGGGTAACTCTGTAACTTGCCTAAGGAGACACGCGGATTCAGGGAGTGAGGAGACAGGATCTAACTGGATCTGAGCCCCAGCCCATGCCTTCACTTACATGCCTTCTGTCACGGAGCCCCGTGCAGAGCTGCGCTGGCACAGGAGTTGTCCTGGTCCAGAAGAAAGTATGGAGTGCTTTGCAGAAACCCAGCATGGTACCTTGAGAGTTTATACATTAAAAGTCACTGCCAATTTGATCATGTGCTATTTGGTCTTTCCACTGTGGTGATGAGGAAATACATATTCCTCTCATTAGTTAGACATTTTCCTTTAAAGTTTACATTCCCATTATTCCTTATGTAGAAATATGTTTTGAAAAGAAGTATTTAGTAAGCTTGATTATTTTAAGGGAAAACAGAAGTAAACAAATCTTAATTTTGCTGTATTAGACTTACACCATTTTAACAGGGTTAGAATTAGCCTTTATTTAACATATTTATTATAGAACTTAGTTAGAATTTAAAAGTCTTTAAATGCACTGATCTGTAGAGTTTATATATTATGGTTAAAGATAGTAAACTATGTTTTTAGAAACTAAAACAGTGTGCAGCAGCTTTGAGCTTGTGAATGTTGAAACTATTTTGTTAGCTCTAGTAATCTGCTCTGATTTTGTGTTATATTTTACAGTTGAAACACATTCCTCCCTATGGATTTCTTTACTATAAACAACTACAGTCTCTCTTTAGACAGTGTGGTCAAGTCAAATCCATTGTATTTGATGGTGCAAAGTAAGTATATTTTTGTAATCAACTGCAATTATGAAGGAGGCATAATGATTCAAATGTTTCCAGACGCTGATTGTTAAAACGGAGTGCCCATGGAAATGGGTCCTCCTATGGGCTGCTGCAATTGGCTTTCAGAATGTAGCTTTGGTTTATCTTATGGTCAGAAGCAATTTGTCTTCTCTTTCTGCTAAGTGACCTCCTAAAGGAACTAAGCTGCTGGTTAGTGGTCAAGCATGGTCACTCCAAGAAGGCTCAGTAACTCAGTGTGATGCTAAGGCGGATTCTCTTAAAGTGATCTTCACTTTCACGCACTGGTCTGAGATTTTCTCAGTGAGTCATTAGTAAGAGTTATTTTGTGGGCCATGAAGGTGATCCAAAATAGAGTGTATCTGCTTATAGTTGTCTAAAGCAGATATGTTTTGAATATTTTTGGAAGGCAAACATTGTAAAAACTCAATTTGGCTCTACTTACTGCATGTAAGGAACAAATGTGTGTTTTGGAGCATCACTGAGTTTTTATTTCTAACAGGAAATGTTTATGTACCAAAAAGCCTAAAGTAGGATTTTTAATTTTTAAAGTTAGAAATTTTTTCCAGTGTTCTGTGAATGTTGTATAAATTTTTATTTAACTTTACAAAGCTTTGTAAATAAGAACAAACACTTTTTCTTTAATGTCCAGTTCACTCAAGTTGAACATTAAGTCCATTTTCAATTTGGGGTAATTCCCTCCGGCATTTTAAGTTCCATTTCTATGATTAATATATTGATTTTCTTTGTAGGCCTGTAAATGCTTCATGAGGCAAACACACAACTCCCTAATAAGCAAAACCTTCCTAAGTGCTTTGAACAACTCTTAGAGAATTAATTAAACTTGTAGTGTCTGAACTTTTCTTAAATATTCTGATGTAAATTATAGTAAGATTCTTAGTCACATATATAAAGTAACTTACTTAAAGCTGGAATCACACAGCTAAACTCATTCCTGAATAGTGTGCGTCTGCTTACCTGGGTGAGCTTCCAGTTCTGCATGGATGCTCCTTTGACTGATTTGAGTGGTCAGAAGGCTTGGCTCCCAGAAGATTGCAGCATCTTTGTTCCCTCTTCTTTACAACTGGATTGGGTTCTGTGTTTGTTGCCTGTTCTTCTTGCCTGGGACTTTTTTTTGTTTTATTATTTTTATTTATTTATTTTTGAGACAGAGTCTTGCTCTGTCATCAGGCTGGAGTGCAGTGGCACAATCTCGGCTCACTGCAACCTCCGCCTCCCATTGCCTGGGACCTTTTTTATAGGTGTTTATATCTTTTGCATTCCTCATATTTCCAGCTCTCAAGTCATAATACAAATGTCATACCAATTTTTTGGGGGAAGTAACAGTATTCTTTCTGTACCAGTACCAGTTCTTGGGATTCAAGTATTTAAAGGCAAAGGAAGTTACAGTGATTGAAAGAATAAGAAGTGTATTTCTTTTGGCATAGAGCAGGGGTGACTTCATGTAGACTCTGTGAGGTGCCAAGGGCGCATGGGCAGATGGGCACAGGTGGTACCTGGGCATATCATGTTCTCCCATAAGAAGCTTTCAACTTCGTGGTAGGAGTGGAGAGTCAAATTAGTTTCACAGACATTTGCCTGCTGTGAGATGTCATGGGAAAGGCCTAGAAGGTCAGAAGAAGACATTCTATCTGAGGCCCAATATTAGAGCAGTAACATTAATTTGAGACTTCCTCGGGTAGACGTCGGAGGGTTGTGAGGCCTCGGGCTGGTGCAGTGGCCAGTGCAGAGGTGGTGCAGTAGGGTCAGGTGGTTTTCCAGCAGGAGGCAGTCATTAGCTGATCTTGACAGGGGAAAGCTGAGACTGTGCACACATAGCTGGTAGCCGTTTGGGCAGAGCTGCTCCGTGTCAGATGGAGTCTGTTTTGTGGAGGTCAGGTGCTGACTTTGAGACAGTCTTCTGGCAGACTGATGAGTGTGAACATGACTAGGTGGGCACTTGGAGACCTTTGAGTGGTCTGTCCGGAACTGTGTTTTATGGAACTTACTCAGGGATAAGCGGAAGGTCAAGGTAAGAGGAGTAGAAGCCGGCCTGGAGTCTTTGCAGTAGTCCAAAGCAGAGGTACTGAGATGTGCAGCCAGTATGGTGCTGTTGGACATGAAAAGGAGCCAACAGACGGGAAGGAGGATGTCTTGGATTTGCCTGGTGATTGCATGTGGGGGGCAAAGAAGTGAGAGGAGCCCAAGAGCATCCGGCTTTCCAGCCTGGATGCTGGGGAGGATGCAGCTTCGAGGAGAAGACGCTGAGGTCTGGAGTTTAAAATTACTTCTACGGAGTCTTAGGAGAGACTCTAAAGAAGGGAGATAAAGCAGAAGGGCATGAATCAGGCAGTGGGTGGAAGGAAAATGCGTGCATTTATGAGTGAAGAGGATGGGGCGTGAAGGAGAGCGGAGGAGGCGGAGCGGGTCAGGGTTGATTCATGTACCTGCTCCACACACCTCCCCTGCTGGGCGTCTTTCCAAACTGCTCAAGGTGTACATTTCCAGGAGAGAGCTCATTACAGGACGATTTTTATAGTAGAGGAAGGGGCCCAGGTCTGTTTTTGTGGCTCTGTGATGATGTGGGGACCCAGGGGCATTAGAACTTGCATGCATAGCAAGGTAAACTTGATGCTGTCTTCCTTCTGCCTGGCACATCCAGCAGGCACCTTTTGCTCCATGCCTGCTCCTCATGCCCCAGAGTGGGGCTGGAATGGGACACCGAAATATGGGCTGGGGCAAGAGAGGGCATTTATCAATATTACTTGGTGTTTTATTCTGTTCTCTCGGTGCTATAAAGAAATACCTGAAACTGGGTAATTTATAAAGAAAAGAGGTTTAATTGGCTCATGGTTCTGCAGGCTGTATAGGCTGCTGCTTCTGGGGAGGCCTCAGGAAACTTACAATCATGGTGAAAGGCAAAGGGAAGCTGGCATTTCTTACATGGCTGGAGCGAAAGGAAGAGAGCAAAGGGGAGGTGCTTGTAAACAACCAGATCTCGTGAGAACTCACAAGAACAGCAAGGGGGAAATCGCGCTCACAATCCGGTCACCTCCCACCAGGCCCCTCCTCCAATATTGGAGATTACAATTCGACATGAGATTTGGGCAGGGACACAGATCTAAACCATATCACTTGGCAATCAATTTATATCACTTGGCAATCAATTTATATCACTTGGCAATCAATGGTTTTGGCCCAGGCGCTGTGGCTCAGTCCTGTAATCTCAGCACTTTGGGAGGCTGAGATGGGCAGATCATGAGGTAAGGAGATTGAGACCATCCGGGCCAACATGGTGAAACCCTGTCTCTACTAAAAATACAAAAATTAGCTGGACGTGGTGGCACACGCCTGCAGTCCCAGCTACTCGGGAGGCTGAAGCAGGAGAATCTCTTGAATCTGGGAGGCGGAGGTTGCAGTGAGCCAAGATGACATCCCTGCACTGGCGACAGAGCGAGACTCCATCTCAAAAAAATAAATAAATAAATAAAAATAAATTTAATGCTTTTTTTGAAGGGGAATTACAAAGATCACTGAGCTATATACATTTGTGTGGTTTTCTGTATCTGTTTTATTTTATGATAGTAAAGAAAGACATTCTGTTATAATCATGAAAATTCTTTTGCAATTATGAAAGTAATTATGAAGTAAGATTTCTTTGCCCCAAATTCCATGTGACTTTAGTGTTTATTCTGCATTATATTATACAAGGATGATACTTGGTTTTGGTTTAATGACATGTCATTATAACTTTTATTTCTCTTCAATTAATAATTTTCCATTGGAGAAATTAATACATGTTATTGATTAATTATAAATTGAAGAGTTACTGGCATTTTGAGGAGAGATGTGACAGAATTTCTGTCTTGAGAGAAATGAATATGCAGTTTTTAAACAGATGCCTGATAAATTTATTTTTAAATTTACATTTGTGGAACAGAGCCTTTGTGGAATTCTCACGAAATCCAACAGAGAGATTTAAAACCCTTCCTGCAGTATATATGGCAATTAAGATGTCTCAACTAAAAGTTTCACTTGAACTCAGCGTTCATTCTGCAGAGGAAATTGAAGGGAAGGTGCAAGGCATGAACGTCTCAAAGCTCAGGAACACAAGGTATTTTCGGGAGGGAGGTGGCAGACAGGCCGTGCCTGCTTTCACATTCTCAGGTGCTATTTTTACATGACCGTTGATCTGGCATTGCTTCAGATCATGGTAAAAGCACTGGCTTGGCTGGGTGTGGGGGCTCACGCCACTCATCCAGCACTTTGCGAGGCCGAGGCAGGCAGATCACTTGAGCCCAGGAGTTTGAGACCAGCCTCGCCAACATGATGAAACCCTGTCTGTACTGACAATACAAAAATTAGCCGGGCATGGTCGCACACACCTTTAATCCCACCTACTCGGGAGGCTGAGGCAGGAGAATTGCTTGAACCCAGGAGGCGGAGGTTACAGTCAGCCGAGATTGCACCACTGCACTCCAGCCTGGGCGACAGAACAAGACGCTGTCTTAAAAAATAAATAAATAAATAAATAAATAAATAAATAAAAAAGCACTGGCTTTGTGGTTGAGTGGAGCTGCTGTTGAATCCTGGTTGCATCATCTCCTCACTGTGTGCACTTGGGCACATTACCTAACCTCTCTGAACCTCAGTTTTTTTTCTGTTTAATAGAAATGATACCAGCCGGGTGAGGTGGCTCATGCCTGTAATCCTTGCATTTTGGGAGACCGAGGCGGGAGGATCACTTGAGGTCAGGAGTTCAAAACGAGCCTGGCCGACATGGTGAAACCCCGTCTCTACCAAAAATACAAAAAAATTAGCCGGGTGTGGTGGCGGGCACCTATAATCCCAGCTATGTGGAAGGCTGATGCAGGACAATCAATTAAACCCAGGAGGCAGAGGTTGCAGTGATGAGCTGAGATCACGCCACTGCACTCCACCCTGGGCGACAGAGCGAGACTCCGTCTCAAAAAAAAAAAAAAAAAAAAAAAAAAAAAAGGATACCTATGGTGTAAGGCTGTTGAGAGGATTGAGTGATATCATTGATGTAATTTTTAGTTAAATAGTAGGGATTAAATCTAATGTTAATTTCCTGTCTTCCTAGATAGGATTATGCATTTTGTTTTGCAAATTCTCTTTTTAAGTAATGTGGAATATTTTTTGTCTTCAACACAGCAGTCAGTGGGACATAATGGAGATGCAGCTGGGAGCACCTAGTTGCTTACCAGTGTAAGCTGCCCTTCCTTGCCAAATGGCATCTTTCCCTCCCGCCCAGAGAGTGGTACAGGGCCAGGGCTGTCTGTAGGGCTGGTCAGCCCAGGGCAGGAGCACTTGCTGCATGCAGCTGTCATAACCCTGGTGGATCTTCTTCTCTTGGACCAAACTGAGTCACCCATGGTATTTGTGACAGACTGCTTGCCTTTTGGCCATATCCCCATAGTCACCTATGTGGGAAGTCTCATTTATTATTTCTTAATTGTAGAGTTTTCAGTTCTGGGAGGAACTTAACAGGAATCTGAGGAGTTGGTGGAGGAAGGCAAATCTGTTCCATCTGGTTTCACCCAGTGTGTGACTTTTGGTTTCTGAGAGTTTGGGAGTGTAGTGGGTTCAGTCCTTCATGTAGAGAAGGCCTGTCCTGCTCTAGTGAGGTCAGACTCCACTTACTTTTGTAATCGAATGCTGGGGAGTCACTCATTGCCTGAGTCACTCATTAAAAATAGGTCTGGAGATTGGGAAAAGAGTTGGATCAAGATCTTTCTTATAATTCTTTCTCTTCATTTTAGAATAAAGTATTAGGAAATTTTTATTTTCTGTCAAATTTGTCTTTTGTATTCCAGAAGTTTAGCATTTACTATCTTATTGCCTTTAAGGGAAAATGATATTTTTGGGGTTTATTGGAAAGTCATGTGTGTGTTTTCTAACATAGCATTGAGCCAAGCGTGGATTCTTATAGTTTTCTAAAGGTCAAGGTGCACATTTGAAAACACAAGTTAGGAAACACTGCAGATAATTCTAAATCTCAGACCTTGAAAGTCTAAATTGATAATTTATTTATCTTGATAATACCTTGAAAGTAGATATTCTCTGAGAGTCTTGGCCTTCACAATTATATACTACTTGGAGGGTAGTATATAATTTTTGGGATGTGTACCCCTTCCAGAGCTCTTCAAAAAGCCAGCAGAAATTCATGTTTGAGATGAAATCAAATTTGTCATCTCTGGCTTAGGTATTTTATTGAAATGTTCTTTTCTTGTAGAAATATTAGAATAGTTCAAGTGATAATTTCACATATGTAAATGTGTTTTCTTTGTAAAACTTGATTTTTATTTTAATAAAAATTCGTATTATGTAGGGTGAATGTGGACTTCCAGAAGCAGACGGTAGATCCTATGCAAGTCTCCTTTAACACATCAGACAGGTCCCAGACAGTTACAGATCTCCTTCTAACTATTGATGTCACAGAGGTAAGGATGAAGTAATTGAGCTTTTCCTTCTTCTTAATCTAAAATCATCATGTTGTATACAGGAAGTTTACACACACACACACACACACACACACACACACACACACACAGAACTTGTGCACCTTGGTAATCTTGTTAATGTGGGTGAGTTTGAATTATCACTCTACTTGTTAAATTGAAATATGACTAAAATGGAAATTGAAACATACTTATTCTAGAATCAAAGTTAATTTTTAAAATATCAAGTACATTTAAAATGCTGAAATAAATCAGATTTAACAAGATACATGTTAGAGGAAAAAAAAGTGTGTATATTTTTGAAACAAAGTCTTGCTGTGTTGCCCAGGCTGGAGTGCAGTGGCACGATCTCTGTTCACTGCAACCTCTGCCTTCTGGGTTCAAGCGATTCCCCTGCCTCAGCCTCCTGAGTAGCTGGGATTACAGGTGTGTGCCACCATGCCCGGGTAATTTTTGTGCTTTTGGTAGAGACGGGGTTTTACCACATTGGCCAGGCTGGTCTCGAACTCCTAATCTCTAGTGATCTGCCCACCTCTGCCTCCCAAAGTGCTGGCATTACAGGCGTGAGCCACTGTGCCCCGCCGAAATGCTTATATGACCTCAGAACCTTTATTTATGTAAGAATGAGTCTTGTACCGCCAAGAAAAGGATATATTCCACACATTTCCTTACCTTAGTTCACCAGGGGACCCCCTCTTTTTGTCTCATAAACACCTGTTAAAAACCTGTAAATACTTATGTTCCGAGGATTAACGCTGGTGAGGTGTCGTACAGCACAGGGTGTCAGCCCTATGATTCAAGCTCATTTTCCTCCTTACAAAAGTCCTTTCTAGATTTCATCTCTTCTCCTCCTCTTCCTTTTTAGGTGGTTGAAGTGGGACACTTTTGGGGATACAGGATTGATGAAAACAACTCAGAGATTCTGAAAAAGCTTACTGCTGAAATCAACCAACTGACGCTGGTGCCCTTGCCCACTCACCCACATCCAGACTTGGTCTGTCTGGCACCTTTTGCTGATTTTGATAAACAACGCTACTTTAGAGCTCAAGTCCTTTATGTTTCTGGAAATTCTGCTGAGGTAGGTTTTTCTGTAACAAGTCACTGGAAGGGAAATGAGACAGACAGACGTACAGCAGTTTATCAAATATCTTTTATAATTGTAGGTGGAAATTAAAATAATTGCAGTTAGCAAAGTAGTCTGTTTCCCTCATTGATATGTGGATTTAAGCTCAGGTCACTCCAAGAATTCTATAATTATAGGATTAGAGCAGACTGCTGCATTGCTATTGCTCAGGTAGGGCATTGTTTTTGACCCCGTCGTAAAGTGTATACTTGCTTTATTTTCTAGGTATTCTTTGTAGATTATGGCAATAAGTCTCATGTAGATCTACATCTTTTGATGGAGATTCCCTGTCAATTTCTTGAACTTCCTTTCCAGGTAAGGTAGAGAAGACTCTAGGGAATGAATGCTGCATGCTGGACAGGATTCCTGGGTGGATTCCTGGGTCATATGGTGCCCTGCCTCGGCTTACAGCTAGGGGAGCCAAGGCCCAGGACAGGGAGGGACTTGCTTTGTCACAATAGCCAAATTTGGTTTCTGCTCTTCCAAAAATACATGAAAGGATTCAGATTTAGCAAAAAAAGTTGTTTTAATCCAGTAGTATCTTCTAATACTGTTTCTGAGTTTTCTGGTTATGTTGAAACCAGACAGACTTTTTAGGTAGGCCACAGACATAGTCACACATGCCCTTACCATCAGTATGAAGACAATCTAAAAATTATTCTAAATATTTCTTATTGTTGTTAAAAAGCAAACCAAGTTTCTTTAGGAAATTCTCACTACCCCAACATTAGTTTTATTGGGACTTTTATGAGAATATTATTGAAGGTACATGAACAAGGTCTGTTTTCAGTGGTATTTGGGATGAGTGTTTTGCTTATTTATAAAGCTGTTTGAGCTGTGCCCTTCTGTCCTTGTAGGCTTTGGAATTTAAGATTTGCAAAATGAGACCATCAGCAAAGTCTCTTGTTTGTGGCAAGCACTGGAGTGACGGGGCCAGCCAGTGGTTCGCCTCTCTGGTGAGCGGCTGCACCCTCCTTGTGAAGGTCTTCTCTGTGGTGCACAGCGTCCTGCACGTGGATGTGTACCAGTACTCAGGGGTCCAGGATGCCATCAACATAAGAGACGTCCTCATCCAGCAGGGCTATGCCGAGCTCACGGAGGAGTCCTACGAGTCCAAGGTGTGTGCTTTCGCCGTTGCTGGAGCACGCGTTTGTGTGAGAGAGAACGGGGCAGGCTTTCCTTCCTCTGTGGACCCTGAGATAGGAGGAGGCGGACAGTGTTCCTCTTCACCATTTGGTTTGCTGTACTTGTGTTAAGACTGGTGGCACCAATTTAAATGTCTTCTAGCTTTCTCTGAGACTAAAGTATGGTGGCTGGGTATTGTTTTTGTTGGTGAGTATTGTATTTGTTTGTCTCCTATTTAGCTTATTTTTAAAAATTATTTATTTATTTATTTAACATATTTTTTAGTAGAGATAGGGTCTCCCTGTGTTGCCCAGGTTGGTCTCAAACTCCTGGGCTTAAGGGATCCTCCTGCCTCAGCCTCCCAGAGTACTTCCAGGTGTGAGCCACTGCACCCAGCCTCCTATTCAGCTTTTTATCTTCTTAGGATAGATTTGAAAATGTTCTATATATGTGGGGAGTTTTAAAAATGGATTCCAAGATTTATCTCCCTAATGGAAGTAGTTAATAAAATATTTCAAATATTTCAAGCATTTCAAAACTTCTTTCAACTGTTTCTTTGAAAATCAGTGTTAGAGTTATTTTTCACGATTTAAAGGTTTGAGAGGCCACTTCTTTTTCCTTTTTTAGTTGCCACATAATCATTGTACATATTTATGGGATATAGAGTCATATTTTGATATGTGTATATAATGTATAATGATCAAGTGAGGGTAATTAGCAAATCTGTCACCTCAGACATTTATTATTTCTTTGTGTTGTAAACATTCAAGAACTTTCTTCTAGCTTTTTGAAAATATACCTTATAGTTAACCATATTTACCCCACAGTGCTGCAGAACGCAAGAACCTATTCCTCCAATCTAGCTGTAATTTTGTTTGTTAACCAACTTCTCTCTATTCTCCCCTTCCTGTCTTACCCAGCGTCTAATACCCACAATCCTCCTCTCTACTTCCATTATTTCAATTTTTTTTTAGCTCTTACTCATAAATGAGAACATGTCATATTTATATTTCTGTGCCTGACTTATTTTACTTAACATACCATCCTCCAGGCTCATCCACGTTGCCAAGAATGACAGGATTTTTTCTTTTTGTAGCTGAATGGTATTTTATTCTGTATATACTGCATTTTCAGTATCCATTCATCTGTTGACGGACACCTAGGTTGGTTCTGTATCTTGACTATTGTGACCACTGCTGCAGTAATCACGGGGTACAGGTATCTCTGATGTACTGATTTCCTTTCCTTTGGATAAATATCCAGTAGTGGGATTGCCAGATTGTATGTTCGTACTGTTTTTAGTTTTTTGAGTAACCTTCACACTGTTTTCAATAAAGACTGTATTAATTTACCTTCCCACCAACAGTGTATAAGAGTTCCCTTTTCTCAGCATCCTTACCAGCATTTATTTTTTGTCTTTTTGATAATAGCCATTCTAACTGGGGTGAGATGCTATCTCTCACGATGGTTTTGATTTGAATTTCCCTGATAATTAGTGATGTTGATCATTTTTCATATATTTGTTGGTTATTTGTATGTCTTCTTTTGAGAAATGTCTGTTCAGATGCTTTGCCCACTTTTTAATTGGATTATTTGCTTTTTTGCTGTTTGAGTTCCTTGTGTATTCTGGATGTTATTCCTTTGTCAGATGAGTAGTTTGCAAATATTTTCTCCCATTCTACAGGTTGTCTCTTCATTTTGTTGATTGTTTCCTGTACTATGCAGAAGGTTTTTAGTGTAATATAGTTCCATTTGTCTATTTTTGTTGCCTCTGCTTTTTGAAGTCTTGGCCATAAAATCCTTGCCTAGATCAGTGTACTAAAGTATTTCTCCTTGTTTTCTTCTAGTAGTTTTTTATAGTTTTAGGTCTTACATTTAAGTCTTTAACCCATTTTGAGTTGATTTTTGTATATGTCAAGAGATAGGGGTTTAGTGTTATTCTTCTGCATTTAGATGTCCAGTTTTCCCAGCACCATCTATTGAAGAGACTCTCCTTTCCCCAATGAATGTTCTTGGAGCCTTTGTTGAAAATCAGTTGCCTGTAAATGCGTGGCTTTATTTCTGGGTTCTCTATTCTGTTCCATTGGTCATCTGTGTGTCTGTTTTTATGCCAGTATAATGCTGGTTTGGTTACCGTAGCTTTGTAGTGTATTTCTAAGTCAGGTACTGCGATGTCTCTTGCTTTGTTCTTTTTGCTTAGGATTGCTTTGGCTTTTGGGGTATTTTTTGGTTCCATATGAACTTTAGGATTGTTTTTTCTATTTCTGTGAAGAATGTCATTGGTATTTTGATTGGAGTTGCATTGAATCTGTAGCTCGCTTTGGATAGTATGGTCATTTTAACAATATAAATTCTTCCAATTCATAAACATGAGATGTCTTAATCATTTGTGTCCTCTTCAATTGCTTTAATTGATATTTTGTAGTTTTCATTATAGAGATCATTCACCTCCTTGGTTAAATATATTCCTCGGTATTTTATTTTTGTAGGTATTGTAAATGGGATTGCTTTCTTGATATCTTTTTTAGCTAGTTATTGGTGTATAGAAATGCTACTGATTTTTGTATACTGATTTCTGTATCCTGCAACTTTTCTGAATTCATTTATCAGCTCTAAAAGCTTTTTGGTGGAGTCTTTAGGTTTTTCTATATATAAGATCATGTTATCTGCAAAGAGGGACATTTTGACTTTCTCTTTTCTAATTTGGATGCCCTTTCTTTCTTCCTCTTGCCTAATTTCTCTGGCTAGGACTTCCAGTACTGTGTTGAATATAAATGGTAAAATTGGGCATCCTTGTGTTGTTCTTGTTCTTAGAGGAAAAGATGGCAGTTTTCCCCTCTTCAGTATGGTGTTTGCTGTGGGTTTGTCATGTATGGCCTTTCTTGCGTTGAGATATGTTCCTTCTATACCCAATTTGCTGAGAATTTTTTTATCTTAAAGTAATGCTGAATTTTATCAAGTGCTTTTTCTGCATCTGTTGAGATGATCAGAGAGGCCACTTTTGAAGCTCATGTTGAAGGTCTTTTACTTCTGTTATTTCTGCTGGGGATGAAGAATACTGGGTATCAGGAAGGGACAGTCTAGCAAAATGTTAGCCAGAGTGCTGGCTAAATTCTGTATTTAATTTATATAAAAACACTTCAGGGAATTATGTTAATATTTCCAGTGTAAAACCAAAATTTTACATACAAAAAAGTCCTGTAAAAATGTTTCTTTCTTGCAAACGATAGTAAGAGAAGAAAAAAGAAAATTAAAAAAACTGTAGACCAGGTGCAGTGGCTCACATCTGTAATCCCAGCATTTTGGGAGGCCCAGGTGGGCAGATCACCTGAGGTCAGGAGTTCGAGACCAGCCTGACCAACACGGTGAAATCCCATCTCTACTAAAAATACAAAATTAGCTGGGCATGGTGGTGGGCACCTGTAATCATACTACTCAGGAGGCTGAGGCAGGAGAATTGCTTGAACCTGGGAGGTGGAGGTTGTAGTGAGCTGAGATTGCGCCATTGCACTCCAGCCTGGGCGACAAGAGTGAGACTCCGTCTCAAAGCAAACGAACAAACAAAAACCCCAAAAAACTGTAAAAAATGTTTATTTCTCTTAAATTCTCTAATGGGTAAAATGTTGCAAAGGCTGTCGGATTTCTTTTGTTTGAAGAAATAAGATTGTAAATCCTGTCATATTTCTTTTGTTTGAATCTTAAAATGAACTTGATAAAATTATTTCCCTATACTTTAATCAATGACTTCCAAAATCATCATTCTCAGTAAACTATCGCAAGGACAAAAAACCAAACACCGCATGTTCTCACTCATAGGTGGGAATTGAACAATGAGAACGCATGGACACAGGAAGGGGAACATCACACACTGGGGACTGTTGTGGGGTGAGGGGAGAGGGGAGGGATAGCATCAGGAGATATACCTAATGCTAAATGACGAGTTAATGGGTGCAGCACACCAGCATGGCACATGTATACATATGTAACTAACCTGCACATTGTGCACATGTACCCTAAAACTTAAAGTGTAATAATAATAAAATAAAAATTAATGACATAGAAATCAGAGTAACACTGTGCCTATGAAATATTTTGATTAGTTTGGAAGAAAGTCCTTGTAATATTTTCTTTTAACAAAACAAACTTTTCTTGTTTGTTCAGCAAAGCCATGAAGTTCTCAAGGGCCTCTTTTCCAAGTCAGTAGAAAACATGACAGATGGCTCTGTGCCCTTTCCCATGAAAGACGACGAGAAATATCTCATCCGGATTTTGTTAGAGAGCTTTTCTACCAATAAACTGGGTACTCCAAACTGTAAGGTGATTGTAGGAGTTTTAAAATGTAATTTAAAAGCTTAGTATCATTTTACATTTATGTGCTAGGAGTTGTAGTCAGTAGTCATGGTGGTTTTTTCTTTTCTGGCTTTTAATGCTGTTACTTTTCTCACAATTGATCCTCTTATAATAATAAGAAAAAACCCTGGGGTTTAGTGTTTAGTGGGGTTTAGAGAGAAGCTTTGACTAGTTTTTTTTTTTTTTTTTTTTTTTTAAACCCTCCTGACGTGTGCTTTTTTTGTCGGACTAAAGGAAGCACAGCGTGTGGGTTCAGAGAACTGGTGCCAGCCTTGGACTCCCTGGCTGGCTGTTAGAGCCGGTGCTGCCCGCCTGCTTGGAGAGGAGGGCTGGCCAGGGTGTCTCCTTGTTCAGGGACTCCACTTGTGTTTCCCCAGCCTCTGGTTGTGTGGTCTCAGGTCTACCTGTGCAACTGGGTTGGTCTGCTGCAATTGAAATAATAGTATTTTCACTAAATTGTCAATGATTCCTTTTTTGTTGTCCAAAGGCTTTCTTAACCATATATATCAAGGAATGTTAGTGAAATTGTTGAAGAGAATGAGTTACATCCCAGAAAAATACCTTCTTTAAGGCACTTTTTCTTAACTGAATCATAAAGACATTATGAATGAGATGTCTTTTTTTTTTCCTTTAAAGAATGAGCTGACTTTTGAGTTTTAAAAATTCATGTTAAGTGTTATCTTGCTTATTGGTAACACTTCCTATATTTTGTGCACGCAGGCAGAACTTCACGGGCCTTTTAACCCTTATGAACTAAAGTGCCATAGTTTGACCAGAATATCCAAATTCAGGTATGATTAACTTAAGTTTTCCATGAATTTTTTTTCTCTGCTTTTCTGTTTATAGATCTCATCAGAAAATAATGTATCTTTATATCTAAACTGTTGGAATGTGTTATCTTTTCTTTTCTTTTCTTTTCTTTTTTTTTGAGACAGAGTCTCATTCTGTCATTCAGGCTGGAGTGCAGTGGCGCAATCTTGGCTCACTGCAACCTCCGCCTCCCAGATTCAAGCAATTCTCCTGCCTCAGCCTCCTGAGTAGCTGGGATTACAGGCACGTGCCACCACACCTGGCTAATTTTTGTATTTTTAGTACAGACGGGGTTTCACCACGTTGGTCAGGCTGGTCTCAAACTCCTGACCCTGTGATCCACCTGCCTCGGCCTCCCAAAGTGCTGGGATTACAGGCGTGAGCCACCATGCCCGGCCGGAATGTTATCTTTTCTAACTTCTCATTTCTCTCCCAGCTCCTGATTTGAGGTAGTCTCTCTCTCACACACGTGAAAGCCATTCTATGTAAGACATTTTTGAGTATCTTTTATCAAAGACTACATTTTTTTCTGTTCTTGTTACAATTGTTATTCAGCAAAGCTGTGAGAGCCCACTGTATGCCAGGAGCAGTGTGTGGTTTGGGGCAAACTGTAGTGAACAAGAAACAGTTGTTTGTCTTCATGAAAATTATGGATGCAGTTGGCGGGTGGGGGGCATAGAGGAAGCCGGTAACTACAATATAGGGTGATAGGGCTCTTGATAAGGGCACAGAACATCATGAAAGCATCTAGGGGGCCCAGCCACCCTTGAAAGATCATGGAGCTTTTCCAGAGAAATCTGAGGCCTGGCGGATACAGAGGCGTCAGCCAAGGTGCAGGTGTTGGAGGAAGAGAGGGGAGGTGGGATGAGGGTGGCTCCACTGGCAAGTGCATAGGCCTGAGTTTGAGAGTTTGCACGTGTAACTCGAGTAAGTTTAGTAAGATTGGAGAATTGGGTGGGGGGAAGGGAGGTGCCAAGCTTGTGGTAGACGAGGGCAAACTTTGTAGACTTCATTCTGAAAGGGCCGTGAACCTTACTATGTGCATTTTAAAATGATGCCTTTGGGTAAGTCTTGTCTTCTCAAAATGTCTTCCGGGGAGCACATTGGAAATGCAGATGCCCAGGTCCCCTAGGGCCTTCCAAATGAGCCTGCATTTTCACAAGGCCTCTGGCGATCTGCCTGTGCTTACAGTCTCAGGAGCCCCAGTGTGAAGCCGGCATTGGATTTCAGAGTAGAAAGATCCTCAGGCAGTATTGTGCTTCTGAGGCTGGTCCCTGCTGTAACCCAGGGTGGGAATATGGGAAACTGAGTCCCTGGCAGGAGATACAGAAACAGCTTCACCAGCACTTTCACCTGCTGGAAGCAGCAGGATGGAGCTGCATTAGAGTCAGTGCTGAAGGGAAGAGGAAGAATTAAGGGTGCCCTTGCTGGGGCTGCAGCAGGCTTCTGCTGAGGGGTGACAGAGGAACTGTGGGGTGGACCACACTCAGTTCCCTCTGCCAGGATGCAGGTGATGGCCCTTATGAGTTGACAGTGCAGGACAGAGGGTCTCGAGTGGAGGTGGAGGTTCGGGCATCCCCAGCGTGTGCGTGGTTCCTAAGCCAAGGAGTGGTCGGGATCATGCACGAGGGAGTGGAGAGAGAAGAGGGCTGAGGACCAGCTTGAGGACTCCTGTGTGAAGAGGTGGTCCAGTAAAAGGAGATGTGCAGGAGAGTGGGGGGTTAAATATTTCTTCCCGTCTATCATTGCAGTTGCCCGTTTGTATTTTTGAAATGGGTTGCTTGTGGGTTGGCATAGCACATTGCCTGGTTAGTGGATCAGTCACCCCATCTCCTGGTGCTCCTGCCTTTTAGGTGTGTTTGGATTGAGAAGGAGAGCATCAACTCTGTCATTATCAGTGACGCCCCTGAAGACCTTCACCAGAGAATGCTGGTTGCAGCTTCCCTTTCCATCAATGCGACTGGTAATTTAAAGATCCTGTTTATTCCTTGTCCTCTCTTTTTTCTTTTCCTTGACTTCAGCTACTAGGAACAACTTATCCTATAATTGGTGAACAAGTCTACACTATGTACTATTCTTTTTTTTTCTTTTTTTTTTTTTTTGAGACAGAGTCTTGCTCTGTCGCCCAGGCTAGAGTGCAGTGGCGCGATCTCGGCTCACTGCAAGCTCCACCTCCTGGGTTCACACCATTCTCCTGCCTCAGCCTCCCGAGTAGCTGGGACTACAAGCACCTGCCACCATGCCTGGCTAATTTTTTGTATTTTTAGTAGAGATGGGGTTTCACTGTGTTAGCCAGGATAGTCTTGATCTCCTGACCTCGTGATCCACCCGCCTTGGCCTCCCAAAGTACTGGGATTACAGGCGTGAGCCACCGCGCCCAGCTTACGTGCTGTTCTTTTAGGCCATTTTCTGACTGCTTTGGCTGGTGCGAGGTTACGCGGTGGAGCATTCTCACTTTTCCTTTTATACAAGGATGTGGGAAGTATTAATAATTGACTCCTGGATCTTTCATTCATTCCACCCTGCTTGGCTACAGAGTAGAATACATCCAAGCTCTTGGCCCTGGGAAAAATCCAATAGCCTGATTAGGGGAAAGAGATGCAAAGAGTAACCAAATAGGAGTTATCCCCAAGTGGGGTAAAAGCTTACGCATCATAGCGTAGTGTCTCTCTGTAGGGTACTGTGGAAACAGAGAACAGGGAGTGTGCGTTACTATTGGGGTGGGCCTGTGGGGACTGGACAGACTCAGCAGAGGAGGGGATACCTGCAGATGAGTAGGAGCGGGCCGGGAGGGAACGCTGCCCTGAGCAGCGTGAGTTAATGCCCGATGTTGATTTAGCATGACTTGAACAGGATCTACGATGCTGCTGAGAGAAACCTCTCTGATGCCTCATATCCCTGGCCTCCCGGCTCTCCTCAGCATGTTATTCGCACCGGTGATAGAGTTAAGGTACGGGCATCCCTCTTGTCTATAGGCTTTGTAAAATAAGAACCTGGGCGGGAAAAAACGGGTGCCTCTCCTTGCTCCTTTTGGAAAGAAAGCCTTTATGGAAGCTAGCCATGGCACGTCTCGCTGCTTGGGGTGAAGCCTGTATTGTTATTGATTTATTTATGCTTGGGCTGATTTTGAAAGAAGCTCAGAAAGCTTGTAAAGGTACACACTGTGTCACATAGGAGCTTGAGGCAAAAAAGGGGTAAAATAAATTAAAAATGGAGCTAGGAATGAGGCTCAAAATAAATGTCATGGTGATGGACATCCCATTGTTAATGGGTGGTGAATGTGATTCCAAGTTTTCTGGTGACCAGTTGTCGACAAGAACCCGTCAGTCCCCCTTCTTGTGGTAACCATGACATCAGAAGGCAGATTGCCCAGCAGATTGTAGCTCTTGTTAATGCCACGATTAAGCCAGGATTTCTCCCAGAGACTTTGATAGAGAGGAGTGTGTGATGCCATGAGCAGAGCTCTTAAAGGCACCCTCACAGTGGGGGCTGCTGCCGTGTAAGGTTTTGTTTGCAGACTAGGGATTGACAGAGCATTCTCTGTGGGGAAAGCACTAACATAGGTTTTAGTGGAGCAGTGGGTGGGGGTGGCTAGAAAAGGAGTAATATTTGGGCTTTAGGAACTCACATTCTGCTGGGCAGGATGGAAATGGCCATGACGAGATTGCAGTAGAGGCCTGGTAGCACTTCAAGAGTCGGGGGCATGGAAAGTTACCCTTTTCTTCTTTTCTAGTCAGCTGGTGAGCATGGAGGGGTGGTCCATAGACCTAGAGGGCTAAGTTCAGTCAAGGCAGGTGGAAGGGCCCCACCGTTTACTCAGTCCTTTTTGCCATTACACTTGTTCAGAATCTGACAGTGCAATCTCAAAATGTGTAGTGCTTTTTTTTTTAGTTGTAAGAATATTTTTTTCATTAAAATATGTGCTACTTAGAAAAAGCTGAATGGGAAAAATTAACACATTTTTAAATTTATAGATTTAAATTTAAATAGTATACTTATTTTAAATTTGTATATACATATTTTTATTTAAGATTCTTGTTATACTGTATTCTTTTCCCACAAATACCAGGTTTTTCATATTATGATATCTTTGTAAATATCCATTTTGATAATTGTATCATATATCACTGAATGGGCATATGATGGCTTACAAAAATACCGCCCTGTTTTAATTATACATGCACTTGTTTCTGAGCGGCTCTTGTCTGAAAGGATTGAATATGCCTTTAATTGTTGAAATGTGACCTAATTTTGCAATGATGATGCAGTAAATCCCTCTGTAAGTTCAGGCGTCTTGGAGCCTCGGTGGGGAGACAGATGTGCAGGAACCACACGTGGCAGTGGGATGATCTCATGAGCAAATAGCACGCTGTGCACCTGCAGGCCTGAGGCTTGGCTAGTGCAGAAGCAGGTCCCTTCCTCTCATGGCACTTTGGACGCCCTGCTTGCCTTTTTAACTAGACAAAGCTCCTGCTTCACCTCTTTTAAACACCAGCTTTTGAGGATTTGAATGATATAGTGTGTTATTTTCACAACTCCAGAGTGCAAGCGTTTAGGTTGTAGACATTCAAGAAATACTGACATACTTGGTATTTAAAACACCATCTTTCTAGAAAAAGCACAAGCTTAATAGGAAAAGGTTATATATAACAATACACAGTGCTTTGCTGATTATATTCATTTTGTTGAATTAACTGAAATGTGCCAGATTTGGGACGGTTTATGTGACAGTGTGCGTAAGACTAGTTGTCTTTGAATCCACAGGCTTAACTAGGTGATTATCGGAAAGGTAGCAGGGGGGCCTGGTTGATTTTCCTCCAAACTCTGCCTGCCTCTGAGTAGTTGTATAAGCTTGGTTTTGTTGTTGTTTTTTATTTTGTTGTTGTTTTTTGAGACAGGGTCTCACTCTGTCTCTAAGGTTGGAGTTTTTTTTTTTTAATTTGTTGAGTGAGTAACAACTGTTTTTGAGAAACTTTGAAAGATGACAGCTGTTTGATTTGGGATGAGCATTCTCCTTTCCTTTCACTTTAAATATGCAGTCTTCTGCAGCGAGCAGGAGGGGGGTCTTCAGTACAGAACTGGCCCAGGGGTCCCAGCACTGTGTCTTAGGTGTGTTCCGGAGGGGAGCTGTCCTCCAAAGCCCACAGCTCCTGCGAGCCGCTGCCCCGCCATGCGCCCATGCCCGTTTGCTTCCTTTTGTGAGCCACCTCTCTAATGCGCACCCGCATGGGACTCGTCTCCTGTTCGGGTGGCGTCTGGCTGCTGCACTAGAGGCTGTCCTGGCCCCCCTTGTTAAACGCGAAGCTTGCAGTCTCTGGGTAAAGTCTGTTCTCCCTCCACATGTGTCACTGTCCTGTCACAACTGATTCAACTTTACGACTAAGTGATAATTTTTTACCACCTCTAACATACTCTTTGTACAATAGTGGCAGGAAAGGAAGATGAGCAGAAAACTTAATTTTATCTTGATTTTCAATTTAAAAAGGGGAAGGAGATATGTGTTATGCCCCATTCATAAGCAGAGACATCTAAGTGGAGGCCACTGTCCCCTTCTTTGCCAACTGGCTGTGGACTGACCTAGCTGCCATTTGTCTCCTCTCCTTTGTTCTTTCTGCCATGTGACCTTCACTTGTAGTTGGCCCCTCCATAACTCAGGGTGACTGAGCCTTGGTGCCAGCTTTCCTCTTCCCTTCATCGTGGAGCTGATCCACCACACATCTGTCCCCGGAGTGCGTCACTCCTCTTGCTGCCCCTGTCCTCGAGGTGTTTTCCCTGAACAGTTGGAGTAGTTGATGGTGTCAGCCTGGATTCAGTGGCATCATCATTGTGTACCTTGTGGAGCCCGCCTCCCTGGGTGAGCAGAATGCTCCATGGTAGCAGAGCCTGGCACCTCCAGGATGGGAGCAGACATCTGAGAACACGCTCTTATTGGTGTAGTGACAAGAACACTGTACTCACCTCCTTCCCTTGGTTCTTGGAGCCAGGTTTTGCTACTGGGGAGACTGCCAAATGCTGGCCATGGTTTAGAGGCTAAGTCACGTGTTGAGGGCAGTGCTGTAACCCTGGGAAGATGGTGCTTCTGAACAGGCATGAGAGGGTGGGGGGATCTTTAAACAACAACAACAAGAAGTTCTATCAATTAAAACCTAAAAATTAATATCTACACTTATATGTACCCACAAAAATTAAACAAACAAAAAATTGAATGAGGGTGGATTAAAAGAAGACTCTCACTGTTTAACTGGGTTTTCTGGCTACTGTGGCTAAAAACAAGCTACCCCAAAACTTCAGTGGGCTACAGCAACCTTCTTTGCCTCTGTGGGTGAGGAACTATGTCAGGGTACACAGGGATGGCTTGTTGTGTTCCCAATGTTGGGGCCTCCAGCTGAAGGATTTGGAGGCTGGTGGGTGTCCAGGCTCACATCTGGTGGTTGCTGCTTGCCAGAGACCTCAGTTGCTCTCAGTGAGGACTTCCACAAGTGATCTGTCTGTAGGCTAGTTTGGGTGTCCTCAGCATGGTGGGTTGGTGCTGAGGGTCCTGAGAATGAGCCAGGTGGCAGCTGTCCCTGTTTTTTTGTTTGTTTTTTTGAGTTGGAGTCTCACTCTGTCACCCAGCCTGGAGTGCAGTGGTGCCATCTCAGCTCACTGCAACCTCTGCCTCCAAGTGATCCTCCCACTTCTGCCTCCCAGGTAGCTGAGATTACAGGTGTGCACCACCACACCTGGCTAATTTTTGTATTTTTAGTAGAGAAGGGGTTTCGCCCTGTTGGCCAGGCTTGTCTCAAACTCTTGGCCTCAAGTGATCTGCCCACTTCAGCCTCCCAAAGTGCTGGGATTACAGGCGTGAGCCACCGTGCCCAGTATATTAGTTCATTCTCACACTGCTAATAAAGACATACCCGAGACTGGGTAAATTATAAAGGAAAGAGGTTTAATTGACTCACAGTTCTGCACGACTAGGGAGGCTTCAGGAAACTTACAGTCATGGTGGAAGGGAAAGCAAACACGTTCTTCTTCACATGGTGGCAGCAAGGAGAAGTGCCGAGCAAAAGGGGGAAAAGAAAAGCCCCTTACGAAACCATGAGATTTCATGAGAATTCACTCACCATCACGAGAACAGCATGAGGTTAACCACCCTCATGATTAACTGCCTTCCAGAGGGTCCCTCCCATGACACGTGGGGATTATTTAGGATGAGATTTGGGTGGAGACACAAAGCTTAACCATATCACCTGGCCTGTGTCACCTTTTGTAATCTAGCTGCAGAAGCCACACAGCGTGAGTTTTACTGTAGTCACAGTCACAGCTAGACCACTGTGGCTTCTAGGTCCCACTGTAATTCACAGTGTGGTTGGAAACTACTGAGACGCCTTAGGCAAGGGAGTAACATTGTATTTGTTTTGAAAAGCTACTCCTGTGTGCTATATGGAGAAAAGATTGGAAGAGGCAGGAGTAAGAGATGGGGAATTGGTCGGAAAGTTGTTACCAAGTCCAGGTGAGAAATGGCAGTGGCTTGGACCAGGCTGTTGGCCGCAGCCATGGAGAGGCTATTAGGGAGTGATAAAGGTGACAGGACGTGCCAGTGGTCAGAGGAGGGTGGTGATAAAACTGGGATACAAAACTTTGTAAGTGTGCACCATTGTTTTAGGATGAGAAGGTGGAACATTTTTTTAGGCTTTTACTAAGTGCTAGACTTGTTTGACAGGTCATAAATATGTACATAGCCCTTTCTCCAGAAATCTCCCTAATAAGAATTTAACCCATGGAAAGAATTCGAAGGCAAGGGAAAAAAAAACCCATTCATGATAAAATATTCTTTTCATTATCTTATCTACCACATTAGAAACTTAATAAAGTATTAATACAAATTATTAAGTATTAATAAAAATACTGAATTTACTATTCTTATAACTATATTTTATAACTATATTTTGATTGTGAAAACTGGCAGAAAAATGCACAAGTGAAATTAATTGCTGTACTAGGGCTGGCAGAATTTAGGATAATTTTATCGGTCAATTTTTACATGCTAAAACATATACTTTAACAATTCTGAAATAATGGACTCTTCTGAAAACATTCCATTTAGGATTGATCAGAATGGCAAGTACTATACTGGAGTCCTTTGTGGTTTGGGGTGGAATCCAGCTACAGGGGCTTCCATACTGCCCGAGCACGACATGGAGCTTGCGTTTGACGTTCAATTCAGCGTGGAGGATGTCGTCGAGGTAAGGGTAGTGCAGCATCACGGCACCACAACCCTGTCTCTCTCTGGTTTTGCTTACCTGACAGTGAGTGCAGGGTCTGCTGTGGAGCTCGCGGTGCAGACACACACCTCTGGTCCTGGAGATGTGCACGTTCCTTGTCCCTCCTGGAGTCACCCTCCAGGAGGACCGCTCCTTAACTTGCCAGTTTGATGTATCTTTCCTGTGAAAAGTAACTTCCTGATGGTGCTCTCTGAGTCTCTCATTTGGTGTCTCCTGGCATAAGCTTTTCTGGGCAATCAGCTAAACCACGGGGCTGTAGGGCTGCTGTGGGTCTCATTCCAAGTCAGGAAGTGGAACATCCTTGCTAGTTCTTACTGGGAAAGGAGGACACAAGGTCCTGCCCCTCTGCCCTTCTCCCGGCCTGGTGACCATGCTGAGCAGAGGGCTGGGTCAGCGTGAGTGCAGAGCTGAGCTGCTTGCAGCATTGTCTGGGCACCGCACTAGCTCTGGGGTGAGGTGGCAAGGCAGACAGGGAAACTGTGTAGCAAGTACACAAAGTATTTGTATGTCATTTGAATCTAATAATAGAAATGTGGGCTCGTATTTGTGTACATTAAAAAAGATCTTTCATCGTTATAGTAATTTATTTTTATTGCATTTTACAAAGTGGGAAGACCAAAACTGATCCTTTACCACAAATAGTTTGAGAAATGCTACTTTCTAAGTACTCAGTCGCCTTTCTTTCTTAGAAGTTCCATGAGACGGGTGAGGTTAACATAACCACACTGAAGGGCCGGGGGAAAGGAGGAGCTGCAGAGACAGCTGCCGATGCTCCGGGGGCAGGTATCAGTGTTGTCTCTGCAACTGTTAAGTCATAATTGCCTGGTCACAAGAAGGGGCTTATGGGCTTGAAAATACTCCTTAAGCCATAGACCTAATGGGAAAATGTAAAACTATTAAAGTGCTACAAGCAAATTCAGGAAATCTGTGTGACTTTGGGTGTGGCATGAGTTTATAAATACAACACCCAAAGCACAATCTGTGAAGGGGAAATTGATACGTTTGAATTTATCAAAATTAAAAACTTTTGTTCCGCAAAAGACCCTCTTCAGAGGAAGAAAAGACAAAGTGCACACCAGGAGAAAATAGTTACAGGTTACATATCTGATGAAGGACTTGTATCCACAATATGTAAGGCACTCTTAAAACTCAATTATAAGAAAACAAGCAACAGAATTAAAATACGGATGACAGTAAACCCATGAAAAGATGCTCAGCATCATATGTCATTAGGAAAATGCAAATTGAGACTTCCATGAGATAGCACCACCTACTTACTGGAATGGCTGAAATCCAAAACCTGACAGTAACCAGCAATGGCAAGGAGGTGGTGCAGGGGGACCGGGGACCTTTTGTTCATTGCTGGTGGGAATGCAGATTAGTACCACTATTTTAGAAGACAGTTTCATATGAAGTTAAGCCTGCATCTACCATATGACCCAGGAATCCCATCTGTAGGTATTTATTCAAGAGATTTGAAAACTAGCATCCACATAGAGCTTGTATGTGAATATCAATTGCAGCTTGAGTCATAATTGCTAAAAACTGGGAGCAGTCAAGATGCCTTCAGCAGGCGAGTGGATAAACCATACTGATGACAGAGAATACTAACTCTGAATGCTATGAATTCTCTAACGGGATGAAATTCAGTTACGACGGAGCCTTATGAGTGTTTATGTTGCTGTTCATTTACAGGTTAATATTCTCAGGGCTGCTATTAACAAGCTAGTCTGTGATGGACCAAATGGATGCAAGTGTCTTGGGCCAGAGAGAGTTGCGCAGCTTCAAGACATTGCCCGTCAGAAGCTTTTAGGGTAAGCTGTGTGATGACGCGGGCTTCTTTTCTTCCCAGTCAACTTTCTCAGCTGCCTTGATCATGGCTGTTTTGAATTGTGTAGGCAATGTGACATATTGATCACCTGAAGTGGAGTGCCAGTGCTGGAGGCAGCACTGGGAGGCATCAGAATGTAGGCACGCCCTTCCTGTGGAGAGCAGCACCCTTGTCCTGTGTGTGTGTGTCCCTTGAAGGGACAGCGTGGGCAGGGCATGGGAAGCCACAGTGGGTAATGTGTCACCCACCATTCCTAGTGGTGGGTGTCTTAGGGATTGGGGGAGTCCGGCTTGTAGGATTGGGCCTTACAGAGCTGGGCCTCTCTTGAACCTCTCTGCAGGGGAGGTTGGAGAAGGAGCATTCTGACCTGACTTCCCTGTTTCTCACCTCCTGCTGGACTCTCCATGGGACAAACCAAACCAGAATGCAGACACAAAAGGCTCCTGTTGGTGTAGCCCATGAGCCCAAGGCAGCTTGAGGGCCCCGGGAAGGCCAAGAAGAGTGGGAGTGGTCATGGAGGAGAAACCAGCATTCCACCTACCCAGTCCTGTGCTCCTGCCCCAGAGCCAGTCTCCCTGGGAAGGGCCCGGTCCTTCCTTGCCTGACAGTGTCCTGTGCTGGCTGGGACCTGGACCTCTGTGAAAGCAGGTGGCATCTGGTATCACGGTGACACTTCTCTCCTTCCTATGCCTTTTGGGTTGGTTTCTTTTAGTTTAATAAGCATTTTTTAAAAAGCTATATATAGCTGTCTTAGAAATGGTGAGAAAGGCCAGTTTTAGTTTTCTCTCTTCATTTTCTTTTATATAAAAATATTTTTAATATTTATTTATTTATTTTTAGAGACAGAGTCTCACCCTCTTGCTCAAGCTGAGTGCAGTGGTGCGAGCATGGTTCACTGCAGCTCCAACTCCTTGGCACACATGATCTTCCCACCTCAGCCTCCCTAGTAGCAGGGGCTACAGGTGTGCACCACCACACCTGGCTAATTTTTAAATTTTTTACATAGATGAGGTCTTGCTATGTTGCCCAAGCTGGTAATTTTTTTTTTTTTTTTGAGAATGGAGTCTTGCTCTGTCACCCAGGCTGGAGTGCGATGGCACGATTGCAGCTCACTGCAACCTCCACCTCCCGGGTTCAAGCGATTCTCCTGCCTCAGCATCCAAGTAGCTGGGATTACAGGCACCCACCACCATGCCCAGCTAATTTTTATATTTTTAGTAGAGACAGGATTTCACCATGTTGGTCAGGTGAACTCCTGACCTCAGGCGATCCACCCGCTTCAGCCTCCCAAAGTGCTGGGATTACAGGTGTGAGCCACCATGCCTGGCCAGTAAAAATATTTTTATGTAAAATGTGGGTTGAAGTTTAAGTACACAGGTATATGCCCATGTGGCCAGCACCGAGGTCAGAGCCCCGGTGCTCCTTAGGGTGTGCGGGTGTGGTTGTAGCCACCATCACTCCCTGCCCCCAAAACAAGGGTAACTGTATCCTGCCTTATTATGCCATAGGTAGTAGGTATTGGTTTGTTTGTTTTAACAATTCAATAACTCTAGTGAATTTATAGTTGTGCAGTCTGTCAACACAACCTAGCTCTTCAGCATTTCTGTCATCCAGAGAAGTTTACTCATAAGTATTGTCGGGAAAGGCAGTCTCATGCAGGCAGCCTTTGATCCCCTCTCTGCTGTCTGAGAACAGGCCTTGGGCCTGAAACGCTTCCTTCCCATAAGATTAAGGGTCCTCACAGCCTGTGGGGGGCTCGTCGCCATGTGTGGGAAGATCTTTCCTTGATTCCGGCTCTGCCCTGCTTAAGCCTGTGTGTCATACGGTACCTGGTCAATCCCACCACTGCAGGGATGGGACAGGGCTCTCCTGCTGCCACATAAGAGAGGGGCCTGCAGGCCTGCCTTGTCTTCCGGGAGGTACCCGCTGGCCACAGGGACCGCTGCCAGTCACTAGAGCTGATCCTGTCCTGTTGCCTCCCTCTGTAAGTAAAGGTTCGTTCCAGCCAGGGTCTGACTGTGTGTTTTCCTTGGCGACTCCAAGACAAGATGCAGGGGTGCCCTGACTTCTCCTGGCAGCAGGCAGCAGATGCCACCTGCTTGACTAATATATTAAAACAGAATGTGTCATTGTTTGTACAACCCCATAAATTTACTAAAACTAATCAATTATGTTCCTAAAGTTGATGACTTTTAGGATATGTAAAGTACACCTCAGTAAAGCTGTGTTGAGGATCGAAAGTTCCCCCTGTCCATTTACACGCAGTCTTGTTCCCACCCCAGCCCAGGTACCACTGATCTGCTTTCTGTTTATATATTTGCCTTCTCTGACATTTTTATATATGTGGAATCACATTTTAATTTTAAAATCTGGCTTCTTTCACTTAGCTTAGTACTTTTGAGGTTTATCCATACTGTATCATGTTCCTTTTTACTAAATAATATTTCATTGTTTGTTATGCCACTTTTTTAATCCATTCACCAGTTGATAAAATATTTGGATTATTTCCAGTATTTGGCCATTATGAAGAAAGCTGCTATGAATAGTCACATACAGTCTTTTTGTGAACATGTATTTTTCTCTCGGGAAGATATCTATGAGTGGAGTTGGTAGGTTGTATTGGTAGGTTTATGTTAATCTTTTAAGAAAAGGCCAGGGCCAGACGTATTGGCTTACGCCTGTAATCCCAGCACTTCGGGAGGCTGAGGTGGGCAGATCACCTGAGGTCAGGAGTTCCAGACCAGCCTGGCCAACATGGTAAAACCCTGTCTCTACTAAAAACACAAAAATTAGTAGGGCATGGTGACACACGCCTGTAATCCCAGCTACTTGAGAGGCTGAGGCAGGAGAATTGCTTGAACCCAGGAGGCGGAGGTTGCAGTGAGCCAAGATCACGCCATTGCACTCCAGCCTGGGTGACAACAGCGAAACTCTATCAGGAAAAAAAAAAAAAAGGAAATAGCCAAACTGTTTTCCAAAATAGCTGTACAATGTTACATTTCTACCAGCAACATAGGCTGGCTCTGGCTTCTCCACATTCTCACCAGCACGAGGCACCGGCACGTGTTGTTACTGCAGTCAGTCTGGTGAGTATGGTAGTATCTCATTGTAGCATTAATTTTCGTTTCCTTAATGACTAATGATGTAGAGCAACTTTTTATATTCCTCTTAGCCAGTCATTTATCCTTTTTTTTTTTTTTTTGGTGAAATGTCTGTTCAGATCTTTTGCCCATTTTTAAATTTGTCTTTTCATTATTGAGTTGTAGAAATTGTTTTTAAATTTTAGATACACGTCTTTTATTGGTTAAGTAATTTGCGATTAGTTTCACCATTGTGTAGCTTGTCTTCTTATTTTAATGATGTCTTCCAAAGAACACAAATTTTTAATTTTGATGAAATCTACTTGCTGTGGTTTGAATGTGATATGTTTGAAACCTAATACCCAATGCAACAGTGTTGGAAGGCTGGGCATAATAAGGGGTTGACTGGACTCATGTCATCATTGTGAGAGAGGGTTAGTTATCAAGAGAGTATGGATTGTTGTAAAGTGGGTCTGCCCCGGTGCCTCTTCCTGTCTCAAGTACTCACTTGCCCCTCTGCCATGTCATGATGCAGCAAGAAGGCCCTGGCCAGGTGCTAGAGCCATGCTCCCGCACTTCCCAGCTCCAGAACTGTGAGAAATCAAGTTCTTATCTTTGTAAGTGACCCACTCTCTGGTCTTCAGTTATAACAGGGGAAAATGGACTAAGACACTACTTTATCTTTTTTTTGAGACGGAGTCTTGCTCTGTCGCCCAGGCTGGAGTACAGTGGTGCAGTCTCGACTCACTGCAGCCTCCACCTCCTGGGTTCAAGCGATTCTCCTGCCTCAGCCTCCCGAGTAGCTGGGATTACAGGCACACGCCACCAAGCCCAGCTGATTTTTGTATTTTTAGTAGAGATGGGGTTTCACCATGTTGGCCAGAATGATCTCGATCTCTTGACGTCGTGATCTGCCCGCCTCAGCCTCTCAAAGTGCTGGGATTACAGGGGTGAGCCACCGCGCCTGGCCTACTTTATCTTTTTAAAAAATGAATTATGTTTTCGGTGCTATATCTTAAAAAATCCTTGTTAAACTGAAGGTCACAATCATTTTCTCTCTTTTTGTAATTTTTTATGTTTAGGTTTTTGATCCATTTTGAGATGATTTTGTATGTGGTATGTGATACAAGAGCCTAAAGTCATTTTTTGCATATGAACATCTAGTGGTGATGACATCATTTACTGAAAAGCTATACTTTTACCATTGAATTGCCTTGGTACCTTGGTCAAAAATGAATTGGCCATAAATGTAAAGATTTATTACTGGGTTTTCTGTTTTGTTCAATTACTTTATATCTATCTTTGTACCAGTGCTATACTGTCTTAATTGCTGTAGCATTAGTCCTCCTGTTTTATTCTTTTTCTTTTTCTTTTTTTTTGAGACAGAGTCTTGCTCTGTTGCCCAGGCTGGAGTGCAGTGGCGTGATCTCGGCTCACTGCAAGCTCCGCCCCCCGGGTTCATGCCATTCTCCTGCCTCAGCCTCCTGAGTAGCTGGGACTACAGGTGCCCGCCACCACACCTGGCTAATTTTTTTGTATTTTTAGTAGAGACGGGGTTTCACTGTGTTCGCCAGGATGGTCTCGATCTCCTGACTTTGTGATCCGCCCACCTCGGCCTCCCAAAGTGCTGGGATTACAGGCGTGAGCCACCGCACCTGGCCTGCTCTTTTTCAAAATTATTTTTACTCTTTTATATTCTTTTCCTTTCCATGCAAATTTTTGGATCAGCTTGTCAGTTTGTATAAAAATCCTTGTTGGAATTGTGGTAGGGATTGTGTGGAACCTGTGAGTCAGTTTGGGGAGAATTGCCATCCTAACAGTAGTGAGCCATCCAGTCCATGAAGATGGAGTGTCTGTTCATTTGGGTATTCTCTAATTTCTCTTAATACTGTTTTAGAATTTTCAGTGTGCAGGTCTTGCACTTTAGTTGTTTCTAAATATTTTAGTTCTTTTAATGCTATTGTGAATAAAATTGTTTTCTTAATTTTGTTTTTGAATTTTTTTTAGAAAGGAACAGTTGATTTTTATATATTGGTCTTTTATCCTGTGACCTTGTTAAACTTCTGTATTCTAGTAGTTGTTTGTAGATTCCTTAGGATTTCCTACATACAAGATCATTATTATTATGAAAGCTTTCTTTCTCTAGTAATGCTTCTTGTTTTAAGGCCTATTTTGTCTGATATTAATATAGCTACCCCAGCTCTCTTTAGCTACCATTTGTGAGCTTTTTCTATCCTTTTACTTACAGTATATTTGCAGTTTTGAATTTTTTCAAATATTTTTTTCTGCCTCGTGCCCGCTCTCTTCTCCCCTAGGGAGACATTGCTTTGCACGTCTGTCAGTGCGCTGGTGTTAAACGCGTGCTGACACGGTCGATACGGCCTCACTGGTCTTTGAGGCTCTGGTCACTCTTCTTCAGTCTCTTTCCTTTTTGTGCTTCAGATTGGTTAATTTCTGTTGATCTGTCCTAAGGTTACTGATCCTTTATTATTTCATCTCAGGTCGACGTGGATGCGGTACAGAGAATTTTCCATTTCAGTCATTGTACTTTTCAGCTCTAGGATTTCTGTTGTTTCTTTGGTAGTTTTTAATTTTTATTGAGATTATCCCTGATTCATTGTTATCCTATTTTTAAAAAACTTCTTGGCACCTGTTCACAGTGGCTGCCTTGAGGTCTTTGAGTGCTGAACCCACAGCTGGCCACACACTCAGCCTCTACTGGCTGCTCTTCTGTGTGTGGGCCACACATTCCTGTGTCTTTGATGTCTCCTAATTTTTTTGTTGGAAATTGGGTACTTTAGATAATGTACTGGAGCAGTTCCCCCAGAGCTGCTGTTTTTGGGTTTTGTGGTTTTGTTTGTTTCACTTTAGAAAAGTGCCTAGTCTTAACCTGTAAGTCCATCCCCTGTGATGTGAGGTCACTGATGTCTGGGTTCTGCTGTTTTGTTATGTTTTTAATTTTAATTTTTATAGAAACAAGGTCTCACTTTGTTGCCTAAGCTGGAGTGCAGTGATGTGATCATAGCTCACTGCAGCCTTGAACTCCTGGGCTCTGGCGATCCTCCTGCCTCAGTCTCCCAAGTAGGTAGGGCTACAGGCATATGTGACCACGCCCAGCTCGTTTTGTTTTCTTTATTCTTATTTTTATTTTTTAGCCTGGCTTCCTAGGTGTTGTCCTTGTATCTGATCTGCACAGCTTAGTGCTTAGCCAGTGATCAATCAAAAGTTGTCTTTAAATACTGCCCTGAAGGCTTCTGCCCTTTGCCATTGGAGCTAAGTATGGGTTGAAAAGTGCACTCCAAGTTCAGGCACTTTTTGATTCTTCCCTGGCCTCTATTTTTCTCAGGGCTTCCCAGGTTTTTCCCACGTGTGTGCACCCCTCCATCAGTCAGGGATGTGTGGAGGGCCTGCTCCCCCTCTGTGGCACTCTCCTTTCCAGAGTCTCCCTTTTACCTCCTGAATAGTCTGGTCTGCTGCTGGCCCCAAGCAGGATGTGGCGTGAGGCTGGAAAGCTATGGGCTTTCCCCATCTGTTTCCTTCATTGCTGTTTTTACTGACAATGCTCCAAGTCAAGGTGTGAGGATTTTTCCCCCTCTGATCCAGATCACATAGCCTTTATGGCCCTGGGAGTGCTGTGGTGCTGGGTTCAGGGGCAGGTGTATGGGGTGGGAGCGGCTCCCTACCCCAGCAAGAACTCCACATACTCCACTGTTCTCACCTGGAGCTGGCAGTTTGTCATGAATGAATGCTTCTCAACTTGTTGTTTGCCTTTGCCTTTGGTTAATTTCCAGAGCCTTCAAATGGTTGTTGTTGGTATGTATGTATGTATGTATGTATGTGTGTGTGTGTGTGTGTGTGTGTGTATGTATGTATGTATGTATACAGTTTTGCCTTGTTTTATAGTTTTTTAGTGGGGAGAGGCTCTGCAGAACTCTTTACTCCCTCATTGTTCAAATTCCCTATCTTTTTAAGCTGATGATATTTCCAACTTGTCATGATTGCTTGAGAGCTAATGGTACAAAATGTCCTGTTACATTTCAGAGAACTTGACTCATTCATGTGGTGTGCAGTGCTGGTTGCTAAGGGAACATAGAGACAAGACTAGGTCTTACAGATCTGTCACACTCCATTTCTTTCTGCTTTTGAATATGCCATAGATTAAAATATTTTCTGATCATAACTGCATAAATGTTGACCTTTAAACAGTTTATTCTAGTTCCAATTCTGTGGGAAGCATATAGGATTTAAATCTTTAAAAAAATCACAGCAGTGTTTTCAGTTACTAATATATAATTAAGATAATTTCTTTTTTTTTTAAATTAGTTTGTTCTGTCAGTCAAAACCAAGGGAGAAGATTGTTCCCAAGTGGCATGAAAAGCCCTACGAGTGGAATCAGGTGAGTGGGACGCAGGCTGCTACATGAGCAGAGGCCACGTGGAGGAGGGGACAGGCCCTGGGCAGACCCAGGGTTCAGAGCCAGGGCTGGCCGAGGGTCTGAGAGGCAGAGACAGGAGGCAAAGTGGATGGCTTTGGGGGCCAGCTGGCAAATGTCTCAGACCAGACAGGCTGTTTCTGCACAGTGTCTTCTATGTGATGTCCCGGCAAAGAGTCAGACACCAGGATAACTCACTGCCTGTGAGTTGGGAAAAAAAGGTATGAGGGTCTGGATTGAACCTTCCTGCTCTTGTTGGTCTTTGTGAAATGCACCTTGGCTGTTCCTTCCATGTGGCTGGCTTGGTGGCTTTCGGGCTGTACTGGTTGTTGTCTTTGTCTGCTTGAGCTGCTGTCACAGTGCCACCACGGGTAGGGGCTTAGGAACAGCAGACATTTGTTCTCACAGCTCTGGAGGCTGGAAGTCCTAGGGAAGGTGCCAGTTTGTGGGTCCTTGTGAGGACCTCTGAGGGACATCTGCAGATGGCCACCTTCTCACTGTGCCCTCACGTGAAAGAGAGACGTCCTCTCTTAGGGCACAAATCCCATCCTTGGGGTCCCACCCTTGTGACCTCATCTAACCCTTATCACCTCCCAGAGGCCCCATCTCCAAATAACATCACAGTGGGGGTTCGGGCTTCAGTGAAGGAATTTTCAGGGGCCACAGTTGAGTCATGAAGAAGGACAAAGCCCTTCATAGGCTCCCTGGTACTTCCTGTCTGTAGGGCTAGAAATGGAATAAAATGTGATTTCAGAGAAAGGAGCCCAAAGGAGTTTGGAGATTTAATTCCAGAGCCAGGGATATCTCTAGATACAAAGCAGCAGGGGCAGTCTTCCCCTCCCCTTTGACGATCTAAGTGAGGCTCTGCCTTGGAGGACTGTGTCCCATCCTGCGCCTCAAGGTTGCTCCTGCTGTGAGGCTCGCCTGCTCCCCCTGTGCCCTGTGCCTAGGTCCCTCTTTAGAGACCCCAAGGCTGATCCTGGCAGCCGGCCCCATTGTGTGCAGAGCTCCATGGGCAAGGAGAGGGGCGGCCACACCAGCCCCCATGGCCATCAGGCTCGGTTGGAGTGTCTGAGGGTGACGAACTAGCAGGACTTTGTTTGAAAACAGAATTTCACTTTGAGGTTAGTATGTTTTAGAAAATTTCAGTGTCTTCAAGACCTGTAATGCAATTACCATCCACATTTACATAGGCATGCATGGGAGATTTCTCAGTAAAGCTTGCCATAGTATTAATCATGAATTTATTTATTTGCAGCTTTTATTTTAGATTCAAGGGGTACATGTGCAGCTTTTGTTACTTGGGTAGGTGGCATAATGCTGAGGTTTGAGGTACAATTAATCCCATCACCCAGGTACTAAGCATAGTACCCAATAGGTAGCTTTTCAATCCTTGCCTCCCTCCCCCATCTAGTGGTCCCCGGTGTTTCTTGTTCCCATCTTATGTCCATGAGTACTCAATGTTTAGCTCCACTTTTAGGTGAGAACAGGCAGTATTTGGTTTTCTGTTCCAGCATCAATTCGCTTAAGGTAATGGCCTCCAGCTGCATCCCGATTGCACAATTTCATTCTTTTTAATGGCTGTGTAGTATTCCATGGTATGTGTGTACCACATCTTCTCTATCCAGTCCACTGTTGATGGCCACCTGGGTTGATTCCATGTCTTTGCTATTGTGAATAGTGCTGTGGTGAATATGTAAATGCATGTGTCTTTTTGGTAGAACAATTTGTTTTCTTTTGGACATATACTCAAGTAATGGAATTGCTGGATCAAATGGTAGTTCCGTTTTAAGACCTTTGAGAAATCTCCAAACTGCTTTCCACAGTGGCTGAACTAAGTTGTATTCCCACCAATGGTGTATAAGCATTCTCTTTTCTCTGCAGCCTTGCCAACATCTGTTGTTTTTTTGACTTTTTAATAATAGCTATTCTGACTGGTGTGAGATGGTATTTTGTGGTTTTGATTTGCACTTCTCTGATGATTACTGATGTGTGGAGCATTTTTAAATGTTTTTGGCCCTTCAGTGTCTTCTTTTGAGAAGCGTTCATGTCTTTTGTCCATCTTTAATGGGGTTATTTAAACATGAAATTAAAAATGAATTATCAAACCTATAGTATGAAGTGTGAGAGTAGAGAAGTGTTCTGTAAATATTTTTGGAGAACTGAATTATACTTTGTGCATCCTGGATGTTAATGCATGTGTATTTTATGTCTGGAAAAGCCCTGTCACAGAGCCTGACTGGTCCGCTTGTCTACCCCATTAGGTTGATCCAAAGCTGGTCATGGAGCAGGCCGACCGTGAGAGCAGCAGAGGGAAGAACACCTTTCTCTACCAGCTCCACAAACTGGTTGTGCTCGGCACCTGAGCATGTCCACAGGTGGCCTCCAGCACACCCCTCAGGAAGCTGTGGAGGCTGGATTCCAGGCTCCCTCCGCAGACTGACTTTCCTCTGTGTCTGGGTGTTACAGTCTGTGCCCACTGCATCCTAAAGGCCTTTTCTTTCTTCTTTTCTCTTTGGGTGATAGTCAGAGAGTGGTGTTTTTGTTCAGGTGGGAAGGATTGGAAACTCTAGTCTTTTCTAGAAACAGAAAATCACTGTATTAAATATTTTGGAAAGATTGTTCTGAAAGAAGTCTGTTTGGATAAAGAGCTGTATTTTGCTTTAAATTTATTAAGGTAAATATAAGTAGTTAATCTTAGATGTAAGGTTCCAGAATGTGCTTACATATTCTGTTCTGTTACAGTGATTTAAACCAGTAGTATAGGAAAAAACTTAAAAAAACAAAAAAACCATGTAGTATTTTCTGATTTTTTTTTCCATGAGGGAAAATATCTAATTTTTATAAGACTAAGTTGAGTTATACTTCTTGGTTCACATTTTGGAAATCAGAGATTACAGATTACATGGCCATAGCTTATCTGTGTTAAAACAATAAAAGCATTAAATGAAGTTTCTGTTTCTGACAGTTTTTAGTCAGAGGAGATTAAGATGTATTTAGTTCCAAAAAATCTGAAATTGTACAACTGATACAGGGATACAGACCTCTTTTAAAAGCTCAACTCACATCAGTCAGGGTTTGGTCAGAAGAACAGAGCTGTTGTAAATACAGCAGTGAAAGACGCCAGTGAGCTCGCACGTGAGAGGGAAGTTGTAGGATCAGAGAAATGCTCTGCTTAAACTGACTTGTCCCAGATGGACAATTTGAAGATGGTGAGGAAACAGGAGAAGCGTGTGCATGGGCATCAACTTGGGATCATAAACGGGAGCTTGTGTGGGGTCTTGGAAGCCGTCACATCTTGGGGAGCATTGGCGCTGTGCTGGGCCTCTGTGGGTTCGCTGGCCAGCAGCGGGAAGCTGGCAGATGCCAAGCGGGAAGACCACCAAGCAGCTGTGGTGGCTGGGCAGCACTGCACCCCTGTCACTGGGCCACTGTCCTGGCCTTCTGGGGAATGTGCTTCCCAGCCTTAGGGAGTAAGTGGTCATACCAAGTTGGCACACATGGAGGGCTCTTGGAAGGTTTTGAGCACGTCCAAAACTTGGTTCCGCTTTAAAGTGAAGGTTTTGCCCGTCGTCAGAAAGCCCTCTGAGAAAGCCTCCGGGGAGGGCAGCAGACACTTTGATTGGCTTTTCTCTTTGCTCTGCCGACCTATGAGTACTTAGTCCATGTGGGCAAGGTTACCAAATGTGTGGCCTTAGCAGTAGGGGACACTCACAACAGTCAAGCACTCATTCTGTTCGTTTTTTAACCAGACTTTTAGTAAGTGACTAAAAATTTAGGCCAGGTGCAGTAGCTCACACTTGTAATCCTAGCACTTTGGGAGGCCGAGGTGGGAGGATTGCCTGAGCCCAGGAGTTCAAGGCTGCAGTGAGCTGTGATTGTACCCCTGCGCTACATCCTGGGCAATAGGGCAAGACTCTGTCTCAAAAAACAAAAACAAAAAAATTTAAGTAGTACCAAGAGGCTTGTTTAAAAACAAAAACACCCAACTCTCAAAGGAAACCATACTAACTCTTCCCTATATTTTTCTGGAATTGCTTTCATCTTGCTGAGGAATGTTTTTGTTCTGCTTTTTCATGGTTGCCATCTTAGCCATCAGCTGTTGAGCAGCAGATGAATATTGGCTCCTTCCCACTGTTCTGCACCTCCTTTGCTATCTCTACGCACGGTCACAGCAATATCACTGGCCAGGTCAGTCATTGTGCTTTATAACGTGGATTTTGTAGATAGCAAAGAAAATTATCTTCTGTAAAACCAAGTGGTGCACTTCGACTGCATTGCCTTCCTTATCTATCTTAAGAGGGTACTTGCCTTGTTTGTTTGCAAAATTCTCCTCATATTTAAATACATAATAATGTTCTTAGTATAATAATACATGTCCATGACATAAGATGAAGACATTTGAAAAGGGTCTCTAGTGAAGTCTCTTTCATGCCCAGCCCAAGTGCTCCTCGGAGGCAGTCGTTGTTTCATCCTGGTGCATCCCGTCAGCACGCCCTGTGTTCCACACACTGTCACGGACGCTGAAGATCCACTCCGAGCAAAGTGGCCCAGGTTTCACTGCACTCAGGGAGCAGTGGGTAGAGGCAGATGGTGGTCAAATGCGTCAGGCGACAGAGTGAGAGCTGTCAAGCGGCAGGACAGGAGCGTGCACACTTGTTTTTGCTTTGTGGGCCATGTGGTTGCTGCTGCTGCTGTTCAGCTTTGTGTTGAAGCTCAGGAGTAGCCATAAACAAACGAGCAGGGCTGTGTGCCCGCAAAACCTGATTTATGAGAACAGGCATCAGACTTGAGCTTGGGTCTTAGCTGCTGATCCTGTGATGGGGGGAAGTACAGGGAGTGACACTGCTTTAGAGAAGCAGCTGGGGACAGCCTTTCCCATGTGACATTCAAGCAGAGGCCCGGCCCAGGCTGCACTGGAATAGCTGGGAGGAGATGCGTGAGGCTCCAAGGAGGCAGCAGGCCTGGTGCGTGTGAGGAGCCACCAGGCAGCCCGTGCGGCTGGCACAGAGTGTGGAGGGTACTGGTGGTCAGGCTGGAGAGCAGCCAGGCCAGGTGGGCCACACGCAGGTTTTGGGGTTTACTCTGAGTGAGGTGGGGAGCTCCTGGAGGGTTTTGAACAAGGGAGTGTCATGCCTTGATGACGTTTTGAGAAAGATTATTCTGGCTGCTGCATGGGGCATAGGGTGCAAAACCAGCACAGTTAAGTCCAGGAAGAAACACTGGCGTGCAGCAGGGGTGGGAGCAGTGGAAGGGCAGGGTGGCCAGACAGAATGTGCACCAGAGAGACAGCAGAGTGACCAGAGGCAGGCGTGGCACCACGGCTCAGAGGAGAAGGTTCTTGGAGGCACCATGGTGGTGGGCAGAGTGTTGACCCCCTCCCTGGACATAGTCTGGGGCTGTGTCCATGTCCAAACCCCCACAACTCCCTATAAATGGGACCGTATTTGGGAAAAGGGTTTTTGCCAGTGTGACTGAGTTAAGGATCTCAAAATGAGGTGATTGTCCTGGATTTAAGATGGGACCTGAAGCCAATGACAAATGTCCCGATAGAGGAGAAGGCCAGTGAAGGCAGAGGCTGAGATTGCAGCAATGTGGCCACAGCCACGGAAGACCTGGGGCTGCTGGAGGCTGGGAGAGGCCAGGCCAGGCTCTCTCCAGTGCCTTCGGAGAGAATGTGGGCCCTGGATGCCTTGGTGTGAGAATTCTGGCCTCCAGAACTGTGAGAATCCATTTCTGTTGTAAGCCCCCTGTTTGTGCTTATGTGTCCTGGTGGCCCCAGGAAGAGAATCCAGCCAGTGTCTTCGGGGTCCTTTCGGAGCTCCTTTCTTCATATATGGGCACAAGCCTCTTCATTTTCATGAGTCGTTGCATACTGCACATGCTGATCTCTACCTTGACTTTTCACTGATTGTTGTGGATTGCACTGCTAGATCCTGCACAAAGAGGTGCCTCATTCTTTTTAAGTGCTTCATGGTTATATCATTTTGTTCATGTTTCATAATTAATGACACCCCTGCAACGGGCATTTGGATAGTTTCTAGTCTTACTATTATACACAGTGTTGCAGTGGATGTCCTTGTACACCTGTCATTTCACATGTGTATAATTTATTATAGAATAAATTCCTAGGATTGGGATTACTGAGTCAGAGGGCATTTAGTAAATCACTCCCTTCCTAGATGTTGCCACATTGCTCTCCATAGAGCACACGCTCCCCCCAGCACTATAGGACAGTCCGTACCCAGACTCTCACCCTCCGAGTTAGGACAGTGTTGGACACTTGGGAGATGCCCTTTCTCTCTGGCAGGTGAGTAGTCTTGAGTTTCTCCTTATGAGTGGCCTGAGCATCCTCAGATGCTGAGGACCATTGGCTTCTCCTTGTATGTGAACTGTTTGTATCTTTTGCCAGGCTTTCTTTGTGTTAAAATTGATCTTGTTATGTAGTTTAGTTTATGAATTTTTATGCCGTCTCAAAAAGTGTCTCCCCTAGTTTGAGATTATTAGAATTCTCTCCCATATTTACTTCTAGTACTCTTATGGTTTGATTTTGTACATAAAATTTACTGAGGTAAAATTTACATACAAGGATTGCAAAGGTTGCCTACTAGGTGTTCTTTCAGAATTTCCATAGTTTTAGCTTTTATATTTAGGGCTGTGACCCATTTCAAGTTTTATTTTTAATTTTTTGCTTATTTTGTTTTTTTGGGGGGAGGGGGATCAGCGGTGATGAGAGGTTGATTTGCTTTTCCATACATTTTTTGAGAAGAATATACTCTGACCCTAAATTCAATTACCTTGAAAACTTTGTAAAAAATCAGCTGACCATATAGGGTCACAATTGGATTCTCTTATGTTACACTGGTTTATATGTCTGTCCTTAAAACAGTAATGCCATACAATACAATATTGATTATTGCAGCTTAAAATGCTAAGCCTTGAAATAAGATTGTGGAAGTCTTCCAAATTTGTTTCTTTCAAAATGGTTTTAGTATTCTAGATCTTTACCTTGCCATATAAAGTTTGGGCTCAGCCTGTGAATTTTTACAAAAATGCCAGCTGGAATTCCAATTGAGATTGTGTTGAGTCTGTGACTATTCAGGGAGCACATCTTGAAAACTGATGAACAAGGTATCTTTCACCATTTACTTAACTCTTCTTTAGCCTTCTCTTACTACTGTTTTATTCCTAGGTATTTCGTGTTTTTGCTATTGTAAAAGTTATTTTCTTTTGGCATTATGGAAATTTTCAAACATACAGTAAAGTTAATTTTACAGTGAACATCAATATATTCACTACCTAGATTTTACATTACCACTTTACTTGTTTTATCACTTATTTATCAATTCCTCTATTCTTCAGTCCATCTTTTTGATGCATTTCAAAGTAAACTTGACAGCATTACACTTCCCCTAAATACTTCAGCATACATATTAACCGCAGTGTTTTCTTTTTTTTGTGACACGTATATGCGTTGAAACATGTAAATCTTAAGTTTATCCAGTGAGTACTGGTGAATGGAACCAAACCCCAAGATACAGGACGTTATCATCACCTGGAAAATTCTCTCATCTCCCTTCCTAGGCAGCCTCTCACTCACAGATAAGCACCCACAGTTCCGAGTATTTTCTCCACAGATTAGCTTTGCCTGTTCTAGAACTTCAGTTAACATATTATTTTTTAAAAGTTGATTAACACACCTCATTGTTTTAAGGCAGTTTTAGTTTTACAGAAAAATTGAGCATATAGTACCGAGAGTTCCCCTGTGCCTCTCTCTTCTCTCTCCTCCACACAGTTCCCCTATTACTAACATCTTGTGTTAATGTGGTACGTTTGTTACAGTTGATGAACCGACATTGATACATTGTTAACTAAAGCACACAGTTTACATCCTCAGGGTTTACTCTGTGTTTTACCTTCTGTGGATTTTGACAGATGCCCGACGTGACATGTCTACCATTACAGTATCATACAGAATAGTTTCATTGCTCTAAAAATCTTCTGTGTGCCACCTGTTTATCCTGCCCCCCATTCCCTTCCCATTGGCCACCACTCATCTTTTTACTGTCTCCAGAGTTTTACCCTTTTCGAAGGAATGACATATATTAATAGTTCAAATCATATAGTATGGAACCTTTTCAGACTGGCTTCTTTCCCTTAGCAATGTGTATTTAAGGTTCCTCCATATCTTTTCAAGGCTCACTAACTCATTTTTATTGCTGAATAATATTCCAGCAATAAAAATTATGGATGCTAATTGGCTACTTGCATTTATGGATATTAATGGGCTACTTGGCTATTTCCAGTTTTTGGCAATTTGAATAAATCTGCTATAAATATTTGTGTGCAAGTTTTTGCATAGACATTGGCCTTCAGCTCATTTGGGTAAATACTGAGGAATGCAATTGCTGGATCCTAGGGTAAGAGTGTGTTTAGCTTTGTAAGAGACTGTCATACTCTCTTCAAAGTGGCTGTACCATTTCGTATTCCCACCAGCAGTGGATGAGGATTCCTTTTGCTTCATGTCCTCATCAGCGTTTAGTGTGAGTGTTTTGGATTTTTGCCATCCTAATAGATGTGTAGTGGTATTTTATTATTGTTTTAATTTGCACTTTTCTAATGACATGTGATGTTGAGCATCTTTTCATATGATTGTTTGCCATCTGTATATATTCTTTGATGAGGTGTCTATTCAGATCTTTTCCCCATTTGAACTGGGTTGTTTGTCTTCTTGTTGAGTTTTAATTAAGAGTTCTTTGTATATTTTGAAACAATCTTTATCAGATTTTTTTTTGCAAATATTTTCTCCCAGTATGTGGCTTTTCATTCTCTTTATGCCTTTCACAGAGCAGATGTTTTTTCATTTTTTTTTTTTTTTTTTTTTTTGAAAGAGAGTCTCACTCTGTGGCCCAGGCTGGAGTGCAGTCGCATGATCTTGGCTCACTGCAACCTCCGCCTCCCGGGTTCAAGCAATTCTCCTGCCTCAGCCTCCCGAGTAGCTGGGACTACAGGCGCCCACCACCACACCCAGCTAATGTTTTTGTATTTTTAGTAGAGATGGGGTTTCACCATGTTGGCCAGGCTGGTCTCAAACTCCCGACCGCAAGTGATCCGCCTGCCTCAACCTCCCAAAGTGCTGGGATTACAGGTGTGAGCCACTGCACCTGGCTGATATTTTTAATTTCAATAATTCCCAAGTTAACATGTTTTTCTTTTATAGGTCATGGTTTTTGGTGGTAAAACTAAAAACTTATCAAATCCAAGGTCACACAGGTCCTATGTTTTCTTCTAGAAGTTTTATGGTTTGTCATTTTACACTAAGGTCTATGATCCATTTTGAGTTAATTTTGTAGAAGGTGTAAGGTCTCCGTCTAGATGGATTTTTCTGTATGTGGACGGCCAGTTGTTTCAGCACCGTTGGTTGAAGAGACTGTCTTTTCTCCATTGAATTGCCTTTTGCTCCTTTGTCAAAGATCAATTGACTATATTTGTGTGGACATGTTTTTGGGGCCTCTATTATGTTGCATTTGTCTGTTTGTCTATTTTTCACCAATACCACACAGTGTTGATTATGGTAGCTTTATAGTAAGTCTTGAAGTTGGGTAATGTTGATCTTTTCTTCAGTACTGTGTTGGCTTTCCTGGGTCTTTTTACTCGCTACATAAATTTTGAAATCAGTTTAATATCACGAAATATTTTTGTTGGGATTCTGTTGAATCTGTAGATCACCTTGGGAAGAACTAACATCTTAATAATATTGGGTCTTCCTATCCCAGAAAGTAGAATATCACTTCATTTCCGTAGATCTTTGGTATCTTTCGTCAGAGTTTTGTGATTTTCTGCATATAGATCTTATACATATTTTATTATATTTATACCTAAGTATTTCTCTTTTTTTGGTGCTAATGCAAATGGTACTGTGTTTTAAATTTCAAATTTCAGTTGTTCATTGCTGTAATATAGGAAAGCAATGGACTTTTGTATATTAACCTTGTATCCTGCAACTTTGCTATAATCCCTTATTCATTCCAGGAGGATTTTTCAAAGTAGATTCTTTGGGATTTTCTATGTAAACAATCATACCATCTGCGAACAAAGATAGTTTTACTTTTTATTTCCTTTTCTTGTCTTACTGTATTAGCCAGGACTTCCAGTACAATGTAGAATAGGAGTGGTGAAAGGAGATATCCTTGCCTTATTTCTGGCTTAGCGGTAAAGATTTCAGTCATTCTTCATTGAGGTTGAATATGATGTTGGTTATGGGTTTTTCATAAATGACCTTTCTTATATTAAGGAAATTCCCTTTTATTCCTAGTTTGCTGAGAGTTTTTAAAGTCATGGGTGGGTTTTGGATTTTGTGGAATGCTTTTTTTGCACCTATTGATATGATTGTATGATTTTTCTTCTTTGGCCTTGCTGATGTGATGGTTTACATTAATTGATTTTTGGATGATGAAATAGCTTGCATAACTGTAATAAGTCCCACTTGGTTGTGGTGTATAATTTTTAAAAACATTGTTGGATTCTATTTGCTCATCTTTGTTTTATTCGCTACTCTTTGTTGAAGATCTTGTTGAGGATTTTTACATCTAGGATCATGAGAGATACTTATCTGTAATTTTCCTTTCTGGTGAAGTCTTTATCTGGTTTTGGTATTAGGGTAATGGTGGCCTTCTAGAATGAATTTGAAAATATTCCTTCTGCTTCTATTTTCTGGAAGAGATTGTAGATAATTGGTATGCTTTCTTCCCTAAATGTTTGGTTGAATTCACCAGTGAAACCATCTGGGCCTAGTGCTTTCTTTTTTGTAAAGTTATTTAGTATTGATTCAGTTTTTTAGTAGATGTAGGCATATTCAGATGATCTGTTTCTCATTGTGTTAGTTTTTGTAGACTATGTCTTTCAAGGAATTGGTTTATTTCATCTTAGGTATCAAACTTCTAGGCATATAGTTGCAAATAATATTTTTTAATTTCCCTTTTAATGCCCATGAGATCAATAGTGATGGCCCTTCTTTATTTTCTGTTATTAGTAATTGATATTTCTTGACTCTTCTTGGTTAGCCTGGCTAGAGTTTTATAAATTTTATTGATCTTTTCAAAGAACAAGTTTTTGGTTTGATCAATTTTAGTTTTACCTGTCTTCGGTCTTATGATTTCTACTCTAATTTTTATTTCTTTTTTTTTCCTGCTTGCTTTAGGTTTATATTGCTCCTCTTTTCTGTAATTGCCTAAGATGGAAGTTCAAATTCTTTTCTAATATATATATTTAATTTTATAAATTTCCTTTTGAGTACTACTTTTGCCACATGCCATAAATTTTGAAAAGTTGTATTTTAATTTGCGTTTAGTTAAAAATATTTTAAGGTTTTTCTTAAGCCTTGTTTTTTGACCCATGTGTTATTTAGAAATACATTTTTAAATATCCAAATATGGGATTTTTAGCCATCTTTTTGTTATTGATTTCACTGTAGTCTGAGAGTGTACTTTCTATGATTTCTATTAAATTTATTAAAGTGTTTTATGTCCCAGAATGTTGTCTACCTTGGTGAATGTTCCATGTAGCTTGGAAAGAATGTGTATTCTGCTCTTGTTGGATGAAGCATTCTGTAGGTGTTGATTAGATCCAGTTGATTGATGATGCTGTTCAGTTCAACGGTATCCTCACTGAAATTTCACCTGCCAGTCTGTCAATTACTAATGCATGTTGAGGTCTCCAGCTATAATAGTGGATTAGTCTATTTCTCCTTGCATTTCCCTCAGTTTTTGCCTCTTGTATTTGGACACTGTTGTTAGGCACATGCACATTTGGGGTTGTTACGTCTTCTTGGAGAATTGACCCCTTTATCATTAGGTAATGCCCCTCTCTAGGCCTTCTAATGTCCTTAGTTCTGAAGTCTGCTTGTCTGAAATTAATATAGCTACTCCAGCTTTCTTCTGATTTGTGTGTTAGCATGATGTATCTTTCTCCATCTTTTTACTTAGTTTTAAATTGAGGTGAAATTGATATAATTTGATTAACCACTTTAAAATGTGTAATTCAGGCATTTATTGTATTTGCAATGTTCTGGAACACTCTGTAGTTTAAAAATGTTTTCATTATCCAAAAAGGCACCTTATTAAGTAAGTACTTACCAGTTAAGTAACCATTTTCCCTTTTCCCTTCCCTTTCCCCCATACCCTGGTAACAATTTATATGCCTTCTGTCCCTATGGATTTACCTATTCTGGATACATCATATACAAGGAATCATACAGTAGGTGACCATTTGTGTCTGGCTGCCCTGACTTCACGTAATGTTGTCGAGTTTATCCACGTTACAGCGTGTATCAGTGGCTTGATCCTTTATTTAGGTGGATAATATCCTGTTGGATGTGGATGCCACAGTTGGTTTATTTACTCCTCTGTTGATGGACATTTGGATTGTTTCAGACTCTGGGCTATTATGAATAATAGTGCTATAAACATTTGTGTACAGGTTTTGGTGTGTACATGTTTTTTCATTTCTCTTGGGTGTATACCTAGGAGGAAGATTGGTAGGCCATGTGGTAACTCTATACTTAACTTTTGGAGGAGACACCAAACCGGCTGCACCATTTTACATTCCCCCCAGCAGTGTCTGAGGATTCCCATGTCTCTACAGCTTTGACAGCACTTCTTAGTTTCCCCCTTTTTTAAAAAATTAAAGCCATCCTAATGGGTATGCATATATTATTGTGGTTTTCATTTGCATTTCCCTAATCCCCAGTGATGATGATCATCTTTCATGTGCTTGTTGGCTACTTGTGTATCTTCTATTGAGAAATATCTGTTCAAGTCCTGTGACTATTTTTTTTTTTTTGAGACAGAGTTTCACTCTGTCACCCAGACTAGAGTGCAGTGGCACAGTCACAGCTCACTGTAGCCTCAATCTCCTGGGCTCAAGTGATCCTCTCCTCTCAGCCTCCAGAGTACCTAGGGCTACAGGTGTGCACCACCATGCCTGGCTGATTTTTTTTTCTTTTTGGTAGAGACCAGGTCTTGCTGTGTTGCCCAGGCTGGTCTCAACCCCCTGAGCTCAGGCAATCTTCCTGCCTCAGCCTCCCAAAGTGCTGGAATTACAGGTGTGTGAACAACCACACCTGGCCCTAGTGGCTATTTTTAAATTGAGTTGTCTTCTTGTTGAGTGCTAGGAGTGCTGTATACATTCCGGATATTATACTCTTATCAGATATGTGATTTACAAATATTTTCTCCCATTCTGTGAGAATCCTCCCACCAAAGTCCAGGAACAGACAGCCCCACTACCAAATGTTCTGTGAAACATTAAAGAAGAATTAACTCCAATCCTGCTCAAACTCTTCCAAAAAATGAACAGAAGGGACACTTCCTAACACATTCTGTGAGGCCAGCACTACCCTGATACCAAAGCCAAAGATACTGCAAGAAAACTACAGACCGATATATATATATATATATATATATATATATATATATAATATACATTTATATATATTTATATTTATATTTTGAGACAGAGTCTTACTCTGTTGCCCAGGCTGGAGTGCAGTGGCACGATCTTGGCTTACTTCAACCTCTGCCTCCCAGGTTCAAGCAATTCTGCTTCGGCCTCCTGAGTAGCTGGGACTACAGGTACGTGTCACCACACCCAGCTAATTTTTGTATTTTTAGTAGAGACGAGGTTTCACCATGTTGGCCAGGCTGGTCTTGAACTCCTGATCTGTGATCCACCTGCTTTGGCCTCTGAAATTGCTGGGATTACAGGCATGAGCCACTGCGTCCGGCCAAACCGATACTTTTATGAATGTAAATTCACAAATCCTTAGCAAAATGCTAGCAACCAAATCCAACAGCACATTAGAAGGATTATACACCACAGCCACGTGGTGTGTGCTGCCCTAAAGTCTGTACGCCGTCACTCCAGTGGGGGACAGAATCCTGCCTCTCGTCTTTTGATGTCCATCTTTAGAAACCCTTCCCTGCCAGGAGACAAGGGAGTATGTGGAGGTCTGGGTGCTGGGACTTCCTGAAGTGTCCAGAACCACTAAGATGTTTGATTTCTTTATTTGGCCGGATGCTTTTTCTTGGTGGTGGTAATAACTTAGCAGTGAAGTTGTGGAAGAGTGAGTACCACAGCTTTCTTTAGAGATTAATACTAGCCAGTGAGAAGAACTCAGTGGTGCAGAACCTGGTATTTTTGAAGCCAGATCCTTCACACTGTTTTCCTTCTTAAAAAAAAAAAAACAGCTTTATTGAGATATAATTCATATACCATATAATTCACCTATTTAAAAGTGTCCTGTCCAGTGATTTTAGTATGTTCACAGTGTTCTGCAGCCATCTCCACAATCAACGTTAGAGCATTTTCATCACTCGAGAAAGAATCTCTGGAACCATTTGAGGTCATCCCAGTTTCTCCCTACTCCACGCTTTCCCCGCCCCAGCCTCACCCTTGTCCCCAGGCAATCACTTATCTGCTTTGTCTTTGTATTTTGCCTGTTCTGTCTCTATATACATGCCTGTTCTGGACGTCCCGCCCCTTGTAATTATATATTATCTGTTGACCAACATCTTTCCCCGTTGGACTCCCTGCAACCGCCCAAGCTCTGGTAACCGCCATTCTACTCTGTCTGCCTATGAGATCAGCTGTTGTAGGTTCCGCATGTGAGTGAGATCATGCAGGATTTGTCTCTCTGTGCCTATTTCATCCAACTTAATGTTCTCCACATTCATCCATGGTGTCACAAATGACAAGATTTCCTTCTTTTTATGTATGCTTATTGTTTTTCTGTAGAGTGAACCCCATCTCCTGCCAGGCACTGACTGGCAGGTTTAGTGTTTTTGTTGGTTTTGTTTTGCCAAGGGAGTGGGAGGCAGGTGGTCCACTGGGCCTCAGCTTGTCTCCTTGTCTTCAGCTCTGCTGAAGGGCACTTCACCACCTTGTCCTCGGTACTTGGTGCAACCCTCTTATGGCTTACCCAGGAGGTAGATACAGCCCCGTCGTTGATATCATTCCTAGTAAACGCAGTTGGTAGAAAACACAAAATACAGCAGACAATGATAACATGTATTATAGAAAGCTGAAGAATTACATTTAATGGTGACATTGAAAACGGTTAGAATTTATCTGGGGAAAAGTAAGCTTGACAGGAATAATCCTAAAACCACAGCCAGTGACAGTGGTTACTGTCTAAAAATGGAGAGAACAGCCATCTTTGTAAAATTTGACCCAGGAAAATAATGGCTCCCAAAGATAATCCGTACACAGATGCTCTCACCAAAAAACACATAGGCAGAACTTGCCTCCCCAAAGCTTGTCTGGAAGATAATTAACCTGATGAAAAATCTTTTAGGAAATTTTAAAAAGAAAATATAAAAAGTAGAAACTACTTTGTTTAGAAAATTGAGCAAAGAAGTATACTGACTTGGTGAAATTCATTTAAGAAAATACTTTTTCAGTGAAAATTCATCATTCGTATAATGCTGATTAATATGTTTTAAACTTAAGTGGGCGGATCACCTGAGGCCAGGAGTTCAAGACCAGCCTGACCAACATGGAGAAACCCTGTCTCTATTAAAAATACAAAATTAGCCGGGTGTGGTGGCACATACCTGTAATCCCAGCTACTTGGGAGGCTGAGACAGGAGAATCGCTTGAACCTGGGAGGCAGAGCTTGTGGTGAGCCGAGATTACACGCCATTGCACTCCAGCCTGAGCAACAAGAGTGAAACTCCATCTCAAAAAAAAAAAAAAAAAAAAGAGAAAAAATGTTTTAAACTCACACTTTGTCAGAAATGGCAGGTGTATTAGTCTGTTCTCGCACTGCTATAAAGAACTACCTGAGACTGGGTAATTAAGAAAAGAGGTTTAATTGACTCAATTCTGCCAGCTGCACAGAAAGCATGGCTGGGGAGGCCTCAGGAAACTTACAGTCATGGTAGAAGGGCAAAGGGGATGCAAGCACCTTCTTCACATGGAGGAGCAGGAGAGAGAGAGTGAAGGGGGAGGTGCTACACACTTTTAAACAACCAGATCTTATAAGAACTCACTATCACAAGAACAGCAAGGGGGAAATCTGCCCCCATGATCCAATCACTTCCCATCAGGTCCCTCTCCCAACACTGGGGATTACAATTCAACATGAGATTTGGATGGGGACACAGAGCCAAACCATATCATTCTGCCCCTGGCCCCTCTCACATCCCATGTCCTTCTCACATTTCAAAACCAATTATGCCTTCCCAAAAGTCCTTCAAAGTCTTAACTCATTCCAACTTTAACTCAAAAGTCCAAGTCCAAAATCTCATCTGAGACAAGGCGAATCTCTTCCACCTATGAGCCTGTAAAATAAAAAACAAGTTAGTTGCTTCCAAGATGCAATGTGAGTACAGGGATTGGTTAAATGCTCCCATTCCAAAAGGGAGAAATTGGCCAAAACAGGGGCTACAGGCTCTATGCAGGTCTGAAACCCAGCAGGTCAGTCATTAAATTCCTAAAGCTCCAAAATGATTGATTCTTTTTACTCCATGTCTCACATGCAGGCCATACTGATGCAAAGGGTGGGTTCCCAAGGCCTTGGGCCGCTCTGCCTCTGTGGCTCTGCAGGGTACAGCACCTGCAGCTGCTTTCACAGCCTGGCATTGAGTGCCTGTCGCTTGTCCAGGCACATGGTGCAAACTGTTGGTGGATCTACCATTCTGGGTTCTGGCAGATGGGGACACTCTTCTCACAGCTCCACTAGGGCAGTGCCCCAGTGGGGACCGCGTCTGGAGGCTCCAACCCCACATTTCCCCTTTGCACTGCCCTAGTAGGTTCTCCGTGAGGGCTTCACCCCTGCAGCACACCTCTACCTAGACATGCAGGCATTTGCATACATCCTCTGAAATCTAGACAGAAGATCCCAAACCTCAATTCTTGACTTCTGTGCACCTACAGGCTGCATGGGAGCCCAGGCTGACTTCTGCCTGGACATCCAGGTGTTCCCATACATTCTCTGAAATCTAAGTGGAGGCTCCCAACCCTCAACTCTTGTCTTCTGCGTACCCACATGCCCAACACCACGTGGAACCCACCAAAGCTTGGGGCTTGCACCCTCTGAAGCAATGGCCAGAGCTGTACCTTGGCCCCTTTTAGCCATGGCTGGAGCTGAGAGTGTCGGGGACACAGGGTGCCATGGCCTGAGGCTGCACAGAGCAGTGGGGCCCTGGATCTGGCCCACAAAACCATTTTTCCCTCCTAGTCCTCCAGGCCTGTGATGGGGGGTGCGGCAGTGAAGGTCTCTGAAGTGCCCTGGAGGCATTTTTCCCATTGTCTTGGCTATTAATTAACATTTGGCTCATCTTATGCAAATTTCTGCAGCCTTGACTTTTTCCCCAGGAAATTTTTTTTGCTGCATAATGAGGCTGCAAAATTTCCAAACTTTTATGCTCTGCTTCCCTTTTAAATGTAAGTTCTAGTTTCAGGTCATTTCTTTGTTTATGAAAATGAGTATAGGCTTTTAGAAGCAGCCAGGCCACATCTTGAATGCTTTGCTGCTTAGAAATTTCTTCCAGATACCCTAAATCATTTCTCTCAAGTTCAAAGTTCCACAGATCTCTAGAGCAGGGACATGATGCCACTGGTCTCTTTGCTAAAGCATAGCAAGAGTGACCTTTACTCCAGTTCTCAGTAAGTTCCTCATCTCCATCTGACACCACCTCAGCCTGGACTTCACTGTCCATATAACTATCAGCATTTTGGTTACAACCATTCAACAAGTCTCTAGGAAGTTCCAAACGCTCCCTCATCTTTCTGTTTTCTTCTGAGGCCTCCAAACTGTTCCAACCTCTGCCCGTTACCCACTTCCATCCAAAGTTGCTTCCTTATTTTCAGGCATCTTTATTGCACTGCCCCACTTCTCTGGTACCAGTTTTCTGTATTCATTTGTTCTCACACTGCTCTAAAGACATACCTGGAACTGGGTAATTTATTGATAATAGACATTTAATTGGCCCATGGTTCTGCAGGCTGTACAGGAAGCATGGCTGGGGAGATCTCAGGAAACTTAGAATCATAGAGAAAGGTGAAGGGGAAGCAGGTACAATCTTCACATGGTGGAGCAGAAGAGAGAGGGTGAAGGGGGAGGTGCTACATCCTTTTAAACAACCAGATCTAGTGAGAACTCACTATCACGAGAACAGCAAGGGGGAATCCACCCCCAGGATCCAATCACCTCCCACCAGGTCCCTCCCCCAACATTAGGGATTACTGTGCAACATGAGATTTGGGTGGGGACACAGAGCCAAACCATATCAACAGGGTTGTGATTTTGGAGTCAGGGTGCCTTGTAGATGGAGTTTCCTAATTTCGAATTGCTGCCTCTTCTCTTATTCTTCACCCTGCAGCCATAGGTTTTTTCTCAATGCACCTCTGAGCAGCAGCAGGTGTACGAGGCCTCTAGTCAAGCCTGGATGTGCTCCTGCAGCTGTCTTGTGAACTTCACCTGTAGCCAGAATCATTGGCCAAGCCCCATGTAGATGCCGTGGGAAAATCATATGTGGCTATCAGCGGATACTGAAAAGGGATCCATTTGAGGTTCAGCACCCATTCCTAACTTAAAAGAAGAAATAAAACATGTAAAATAGAAATAGGAAAAAGCTACAGTAGTTTTTGCATTGCATGGAGGGCCAGCATCATAAAAATGGTGGTTCTGCAAGCCGAAACTGTGCAGAGCAATCCTACTGAGAAGCAGCTGCTCCATCACCTGTGAAGCAGTACAGTAAAAACTCCCACTGTTTGTTATTGGTTACAAATGTGTAGAGAAATGAAAAGAGCAGTAAAACTAATGTATTTAGCACACTGTGATTTGAAACACTAGAAACATTGGGATTAAAGCATTTTGTCTCTTTCTAAAGTCCCGTCAATAGTAGTTTAAACAGCACTTGCCGCCACTGCCTCTTCCTACAACTTCCGCTTCTGGGCTTCTGGCCGAGCATCTTCTCCGGGGCCTGTTGAGTTGCCACGCTCCTTTCTAGTTGGATCGGCTTCCAACACTGTATCATTTGCACATCCCGTGTTGCAAAATGCCTCCCAGAGTTCCTTTCATTTGCGGTTTTTTGCTGGCGTCACACCCCCGAGGCTGTCTTCATCCTTCTCGTCACAACTGTTTGCTCATTGTGAAGATTAATACTGAGTGTCAACTTGATTGGATTGAAGGATGCAGAGTATTGATCCTGGGTGTGTCTGTGAGGGTGTTGCCAAAGGAGACTCACATTGAATCAGCGGATTGGGAGAGGCAGACCCACCCTCCATCTGGGTGGGCACCATCTCATCAGCTGCCAGCGTGGCTAAAGTAAAGCAGGCAGAAGAAAGTGGAATGAGAGAGACTTACTGTCTTCCAGCCTTCATCTTTCTCCCGTGTTGGATGTTCCAAGTTCTTTAGCTTTTGGGCTCTTGGACTTACACCAGCGGTTTGCCAGGGACTCTTGGGCCTCTGGTCACAGACAAGGCTGCACTGTTGTCTTCCCTGCTTTGAGGGTTTTGGGACTCGGACTGGCTTCCTGGCTCCTCAGCTTGCAGACGGCCTATTGTGGGACTTCACCTTGTGATTGTGGGAGTCAATACTCCTTAATAAACTCCCCTTTGTATATACGTACATCCTATTAGTTCTGTCCCTTTAGAGCACCTTAATACACTCATTTACGCAGACAGGCTGCCCCCTCTCAGCCTCTCTGGCTGCACCGCTGGAGCCCCTGGTTGGCAGCAGCGTCCACGTTCCCTCCCTCAGCTGTTTTCTCTGTGACCTCACTTAGGTTTCATTCAAATGTCACTTCCAGGGTTGTCACATTTCATTTCTTTGCTGCATTTTCACCTTTGTGGGTTGGTTCCCTCTTTCCATTTTCATAAACTGTCGTGTGGGCTTATCACTGGGAGGCAAGGAGGCAACAAACTTTTCTGTGTGAGCTGAATAACAGGTGCTCAGTGATCAATTCCTGATGGGCTTTGAAAGAAGTGTCGGGATGGGTTCCTGATCTGATGCACACCTGTGATTTGCACATTTGTGGGTTGAAGAGTTGGCAGCACAGTTTACTCTTCGTGCGGTTTCTCACGGTTGTATGCCAGGGAGACCGGTACTTGAATTGTGCTGTTGGGGGGGGGGGCTTTGTTACTGAACTATGGTAACAGAAATGCGTGCATATCACAGCTGTGTAAAGTAAGGACTACCCATACTGAAATGTGATGAAAATCAAAAAATAATGGTAAACGTTCTTTTAAGTGGCAAAACATTAAAGCCATTTCAGTTAAAATTAGAAACTGGTCAGGGATGTGTACTCTTCCTGTTACTTAACAATCACTTGAAGGCCCGAAATTATAATGAGAAAAGAAAGATGAAATAACCGACGTAACATTAGACAAGAAGAGAGAAAGCTCTTTTTGCTGCTCTGATGTGTACACGTGTTGAGGATACCCAAGTCCACCCCAGGTTCAGTAATTCACCAGGACTTGTAGGACTTAGCATGCAGTTGTGCTCATGGGTGAGATTTACTATCGTGAAAGGATGCAGAGAAAATCACAGGGAAAAGACACGGGATGAAGTCCAGAGAAAATCAGGTCCTCTGCTGGGGGAGTCACACAGGACATTCTTAGTTTGTCCACAGCATGTTGTGATAATGTGGGTGAAGTGTGTGTGCCAGGGAAGCTCATCAGAATCTCAGTGCCCATGTTTTTATTGGGGACTGGTCATGTAGGAACCCTCTGCCTAGCATGTGCCAAAATTACAGACTCCCAGTTCAGTGTAGACCACATTGTTTGTTCAAATAGTTGAGGCACAGTGAGACACCCATGTCAGAGAATGGTGGGAACCCTCCTAAAATTCAGGCTCCCGGCTGCCAATCAAGGGCCAACTTTGGAAGCAGACCTTTCTAAGGAGTGCAATCTTGGGCTTGCTGTGTGAATTCTTTTTCTGCATAACCTAGAAGACCCCCTGCTATAATAACATATTTTGCTAAGGCTTCTGGATATAAGCTAAAGATACAAAAGCCATGGGCTTCTCCGCTGTGGCAATAAGAACCTAGCAATGGAGAAAACATTCTGTGTGGCCAGGCGCGGTGGCTCATGCCTGTAATCCCAGCACTTTGGGAGGCCGAGGTGGGTGGATCACGAGGGCAGGGGATCAAGACCATCCTGGCTAACACGGTGAAACCCCATCTCTACTAAAAATACAAAAAATTAGCCAGGCGTTGTTGCGGGCACCTGTAGTCCCGGCTACTCGGGAGCCTGAGGCAGGAGAATGGCGTGAACCTGGGAGGCGGAGCTTGCGGTGAGCCAAGATTGCCATATGGAGTTTTAATGCTTATGTACTCAAATATGTTTGTATCTTTTTACATGGCTTCTGATTTTCCAATCTAGGTTAATATTACCTAAAATGTGCATACAGTAGAATTCTATTCTTAGGCATTTATTCATCTCCACAAATTTTAAGATACTTTTTATCCAATTCCCAAAAGACACTGTTGAGATTCACTGCACTCCAGCTTGGGCAACAGAGCGAGACTCCATCTCAAAAAAACAAGCAAACAAAACAAAACAAAAGACATTCTATGTATGTGGTGAAAAAAAATAAGATGTTTTAGAATAAAGGTGTAGGACCTATCCCTAAGTGAAGAAAACTGAGATCTTATTGAAAGACATAAAATTGGCCAGGTGCAGTGGCTCACGCCTGTAATCCCAGCACTTTGGGAGGCCGAGGTGGGCAGATCACCTGAGGTCAGGAGTTCGAGACCAGCCTGGCCTGACGTGGTGAAACCCCATCTCTACTGAAAATACAAAAATTAGCTGGGTGTGGTGACATGAGCCTGTAATCCCAGCTACTCAGGAGGCAGAGGCAGGAGAATTGCTTGAACCCAGGAGATGGAGGTTGCAGTGAGCTGAGATTGCACCACTGCACTCCAGCCTGGATGTCAAGAGCGAAACTCTGTTTCAAAAAAAAAAAAAAAAAAAAAAAAAAGACGTAAAATCCAGATGGCTGAAAAAGCGCAGCTGAGAAGATTTCATATAACTTTTGTCAACTCTCCCAAGTTAATACGAAAATGTAATTCCAATTAGAATCTCAACAGTGTCTTTTGGGAATTGGATAAAAAGTATCTTAAAATTTGTGGAGATGAATAAATGCCTAAGAATAGAATTCTACTGTATGCACATTTTAGGTAATATTAACCTAGATTGGAAAATCAGAAGCCATGTAAAAAGATACAAACATATTTGAATACATAAGCATTAAAACTCCATATGGCAAAAGATACCCATGTTTGGCGATATAACATTTTAAAAACCTCATATAGCAAAAGATACCATAACCAATCAGTGGATAGGTTAGATTGCATAGATTGATGTAAACAACAAAGGGTTAATATGTATACACAAAAACCTTTTTAAAAATTGTCAGGCAAGGCTGGGAGTGGTGGCTCACACTTGTATTCCCAGCACTTTGGGAGGCCAAAGCAGGAGAATTGCTTGAAGTCAGGAGTTCAAGATCACAGTAAGACCTGATCTCTTTCTCTCTCCCTCTTTTTTTTTTTTTTTTAAGATGGAGTCTCACTCTGTCACCCAGGCTGGAGTGCAGTGGTGTGATCTCGGCTCACTGCAACCTCTGCCTCCCGGGTTCAAGTGATTCTTGTGCCTCAGCCTCCTGAGTAGCTGGGATTATAGGTGCCCACCACCACGCCTGGCTAATTTTTGTATTTTTTTTTAGTACAGATGGGGTTTCACCATGTTGGCTAGGCTGGTCTCGAACTCCTGACCTCAAGTGATCTGCCTGCGTTGGTCTCCCAAAGTGCTGGGATTACATGTGTGAGTCACCGTGCCCGACTGAGACCTGATGTCTTAAAAAAAAAAAAAAAAAGTTACAGGTGGTGAGTGCCTGTAGTCCCAGTACCTCAGGAGGCTGAGGCGGGAGGATTGCTTGAGCCCAAGAGTTTGAGGCTGCAGTGAGCCATGAATACACCACTGCATTCTAACCTGAGTGACAGCAAGACTCTGAGAAATAAAATTTTAAAAAATTGTCAGGGAAGAGCACAAGAGTCAAACAGGAAACCACGACAATGATATGAATAACTGTCCAAATGACTAACACGTGAAAATGCTCAAATTCCTTAGTAGTAAGGGAATCATAAATCAGTGAGCTTTATAGACTGGCAAGATTTTAAAAAGAGCTGTATGGCTTGTTGTTGGGGAGGTGGAGGGAAGAAATACTTGCATATTGCTGGTAAATGTATGAAGTCTTAAAGTTTCTTTTGGAAGTCAATCTGGCAACATCTGGGAAAATTAAAAACAGGCATATCCTTTGACTTAGATATGTCAGGACAACTGTACAGTGTAATAACTGAACACTAGAAATGATGAATGTCACACAAAAGGAAACGGTAAACATGTTATAGCAGTCAATGTCAAGAAATACCGTGCAGCCATGTGAAGAGTGAGGTGAGAGTTACAGCTGTTGGCCTGAAAAGATGTCCACAAGATACGGCAAGTGAGAAAGAAAGATGCAAAAGTGTGCGTAATATCTTCCTAAAAATCAGTAACCAGGCTGGGTGCAATGGCTCACACCTGTAATCCCAGTACTTTGGGAGGCTGAGGTAGGCAGATCACTTGAGGTCAGGAGTTCAAGGCCAGCCCAGCCAACATGGTGAAACCCCATCCCTACTAAAAATACAAAAAATTAGCTGGGCATGGTGGCACGTGCCTGTAATCCCAGCTACTTGGGAGGATGAGGCAGGAAAATCACTTGAACCCGGGAGGTGGAGGTTGCAGTGAGCCGCGATTGTGCCACTGCACTCCAGCCTGGGCAACAGAGTAAGACTGTGGAAAAAAAAAATTCAGTAACCAGAAAACGCACATAGATGTATCTGTGTAAGTGTGTATGTGCTTGTGCATGTCGGGATGGGATTAAGAGCACAGAGAACAACGTGGAAGGATGTTCTAGATAATGACCTCGGTCATCCAAGGTGGGAGATGATGGAACTGGGTGGTAATGAGGGTAAAGGGAGAGAGGGAGCCATGGATAGATGGGAACACGATTATGCCAATGCATGCATCTGATCACACTTACTCACCAAAAATACATAAATCCATGAGTTGTTATCTGTGGCAGAATTTATACTGTTTTTCCCCCTTTTCTGTTCTGTAACAGAACCTGGTTCTCTTGAGAAGGCAGCAGTGTGTTTACCTACGAGATTACGTTTCCCAGCATCTCTTGCAGCTAGGCATGGCCATGTGGCTAGTTCTGACCAATGAGATGAAAGCAGGAAGTGGTTAAAGCCTCCTCCCTTAAAAGGGAGACAGGTTACCGCTGGGCCCTTTCATTCCTTTAGATGTCTTCCTGCTTCCCTGGAGTGCACACATGATGGCTGGTGCTTGAGCAGCCATCTTCAACTTTGAGGGGACCTTAAGAATGGAAACCATTGACAAACAATGGCAGAATCTGGGTTCCTCTCAACCATAGAGCCATCCCACCAGCCTGGACTGCCTACCTGGAGACTTCTTTTATGTGGGAGAGAAATTAACTTTTTAAAGCCTCTGTTAGGTTTGGTCTGTGTTATAAGCAGCCATAGTTCCTGTTTAAAACAGTATGTACTAAAAAACCCAAGAAGTCAAAAGAATACACATTCAATCACAAAGTGCTAAGCTGCAGATGGAGTATTAAAAGTGGGAATTAAGAGACCACAGTAAATGAGGTATCCTAGACCGCATGTGGTCGTGTATATTTGCTTCCAGGCTATTTATTCAGAATTGCCTAAGCTCAAAGTAACTTAACCAAAACCTACTTTCTACTCTGAAAAGTTCAGGCTTGCTTCCATTTAGAAGCACAGGCAGTATCTCAATAATCGGAATTCAGGTAACAAAGCATTTATTAAGCATCTTCTCTCTCCACCATAAAGTAACCACTCTAAGGAAGACAGAAGATGTACATGACCCAGTTCCTGATGCCACGTTAAGACTCACTGAGAAACTAGGGCACAGTAGCAAATGCTGTAATGAAATACTGGGGCGAGGAAGTACTACGGCCTTTAGGCAGGTTCTTGATTATTCTCTGGATTCACTTTTGTATTTGGAAGATCTTAGTACATTCATTTGAAAAGGCTTTTTAAGCAAGAGAAAGATGCCATTATAACCTCAGAGAAGTGCAGTCGTGTGTCACTTGACAGGGATACGTTCTGAGAACTGTGCCATTAGGCGATTTTGTTGTGTGAACGTCATGGAGTACACTTAGACAAACCTAGATGGTACAGCGTATGACACACCTAGGCTATCTGGTGGAGCCTATTCCTCTACTAAGAACCTCTGCAGCATGTGACTACCGAATACTGGAGGCAATTTTGTTTGTTTGTTTGTTTGTTTTTGAGAGGGAGTCTCGCACTTTCGCCCAGGCTGGAGTGCAGTGGTGCAATCTTGGCTCACTGCAAGATCTGCCTCCTGGGTTCACGCCGTTCTCCTGCCTCAGCCTCCTGAGTAACTGAGACTACAGGTGCCCACCACCATGCAAGGCTAATTTTTTATATTTTTAGTAGAGACGGGGCTTCACCATGTTAGCCAGGATGATCTTGATCTCCTGACCTCATGATCCACCCGCCTTGGCCTCCCAAAGTGCTGGGATTACAGGTGTGAGCCACCGTGCCCGGCCTACTGTAGGCAATTGTAACACATTGGTAAGTATCTAAACATGGAAAAGTACAAGAAAAATATAGTATCATCTTATGGAACCACTGTCCTCTAGGTGGTCTGTTGACCAGAATGTCATGATGTGGCACATGGCAGTAGTATAATGCGGAAATCTGACTGGCAAAGACTTTAGGGGAGTCTCTCAGGTTAGACTGTGTTTCTGAAGATCTGTAATTAGAAAGGGGCATAGAATCACTTACATAATATTTTCTGCTTAAATTGTATTTTATAATGAGATCCTTATACGTGGGCTTTAGTAAACCCGTTCAAGACTAGGGGATGTTTTTTCCCCTCGTAAATTGAGAAATGTCACTGAGAACAGCACTGCCATCTAGCCCGTTTCTCTCAGAACTGCAGGTTTTGCCTCTGCAGCTTTTGACTTTGTAGGCAAAAGGTGAAGTTTCTCCTGCAGCTTTTGACTTTGTAGGCAAAAGGTGAAGTTTCTCTAAATACTAGCTCGCAAACTATCAATAGAAGCAAATACCTGAGAACTGAAGAAAACCCCCAACAATTGGAAACATCGATGAGAAATAATGGCAAGTTAAGAAAGCATAGCTTCTTCCAACTTTGTGAGGCATATTTAGAAAGAATTTGGAAAAGGTGGAAGGGTGGGATGGGGGTGAGGGATGAGAAATTACCTATTGGGTAGAATGTATACTTTTATTAGAGTGACAGTTACATTAAAAGTCCAGACTTTACTAGGCAACATATCCATGTAACAAGACTGCATCTGTACCCCCTAAATCTATCAAACAAAAGTTTAAAAAGACACTGGGCATGGTGGTTCATGCCTGTAATCCCAGCACTTTGGGAGGCCAAGGCAGGAGGATGGCTTGAGCCTGGGAGTTTGAGACCAGTCTGGGCAATACAGTGAGACCCCCATCTGCAGAAAAATAAAATCGCCAGGTGTGGTGGTGTGTGCCTGTAGTCCCAGCTACTTGGGAGGCTGAGGTGGGAGGATTGCTTGAGCCCAGGAGTTTGAGGCTGCAGTGAGCTATGATCGTGCCACTGCACTCCAACCTGGGTGACAGAGTGAGACCTTGTCTCAAAAAAATGAAAAAGAGAAAGTATGCTTACATTTGCCCATCCTAGCTACACATGTAAGCCTGAGTAATATGAACCAATGGAGAAATAAACAAGTTCTAATAACATTCTCAGAGTTTGCTTACAAGAAAAAGAGTTTGGAGAACTGTTAGATTAAGAGTTTTGTTGTTACTGCTCATTTAGGTTCATTGTAACAACTTTTGATTTGGGATGGTATAAGACTAAAGGATAGTTTAGGGTAAGAAATAGAACTTCAGCATTGATAGTCTGTGTTCCCTCCTCCTTTTTTCACATAGCTGTAGATTAGAGATTCTTGTTTCCCCTTTAAAATTGTTTGAGGCATAATTTGCAGAGAAATGTACAGATCTGAATTATAGTGCAGATATAGCATTGATGAATTGATACACCCATGTGACCACACCGCTGCTAGGATAACAGTATTTCCATCACCACAGGAAGTTCCCATAGATACAACCGCCCTTCTGATTACTTTCACTATAGATTTGTTTTGTTTTGAGACAGTGTCTTGTTCTGTTACCCAGACTGGAGTGCAGTGGCGTGATCTCGGCTCACTGCAGCCTCCGCCTCCCAGGTTCAAGCAATTCTCCAGCTTCAGCCTCCCAAGTAGCTGGGGCTACAGGCTCATGCCACCATGCCTGGCTAATTTTTGTATTTTTAGTAGAGACAAGGTTTCACCATGTTGGTCAGGCTGGTCTCAAACTCCTGACCCCAAGTGATCTGCCTGCCTTGGCCCCCAAAAATGCTGGGATTACAGGCGTGAGCCACCGTGACCAGCCTATAGATTAGTTTTGATTGTTGTAAAAGTTCATGTAAATGGAATCCTACAGTATGTAATGTTTTGTATCAGGCTGCTTTTGCTCAATATAATGTTTGTTTGAGGTTTATTTATGTTATAGCAGCACAAAACAGACCAAGATACACGTTTAAGTCAATAATTTGTTCTTTTGTTTTCTATTGTATAAATATACCAGTTTCTTGGCTGGGCATGGTGGCTTATGCCTGTAATCCCAGCACTTTGGGAAGCTAAGGTGAGTGGGTCACCTGAGGGCAGGAGTTCGAGACCAGCCTGGCCAACATGGTGAAACCTCGTCTCTCCTAAAAATACAAAAATTAGCCAGACGTGGTGGTGATCGGCCCCTGTAATCACAGCTACTCCGGAGGCTGAGGTAGGAGAACTGCTTGAACCCAGGAGGCAGAGGTTGCAATGAGCTGAGATTGTGCCACTGCACTGCAGCCTGGGCGACAGAGCAAGACTCCATCTCAAACCACGCACACACACACACACACACACACACACACACACACACACACACTTTATTCTTTGTTCGTCTACTGATGGGCATTGGATTGTTTTCACTTTTTACCTATTATGAATAAAATTTCTGTGAACAAGTCTGTAGATAGATTTTTGTTTCTCTTGGGTAAATACCGAGGAGTTGTGGGATTACTGGGTCATTGAGCAGGTGGTCGTTTAATCTTGTAAGAAACTACCAAATTTTCTAAAGCGGTTGTAATACTTACATTCCGTGCTAGTTGGAGCTTTTCTCTCTCAGCCCTCAATCCATCCTTCTTTCGTCTGGCGTCCTGGAGCTAGACTGTAAACATTTCTTCTTTCCCAGCTGATGCAATGTTAGGCGTTGCCGGCAGAGGGCACTGGAGGGACACTGCAGGAGGAGCGGAACTACTCTTCCTGTTTCTGGTGCTGCTTGCCAGCAGGTGGCCTCCCAGCACCTCTCAGCAATAAGCAGTTTCCTGCCTCCAGGCCCAGCCTTTGCACCTCTGGCCATTCCGTGGCCTCAGCCACTCTCTCTCCGAAGAGGTCTGAGTCTCATTCTGGGTGTGGGAGCAGGGCTGTTCCAAGTTTCTTCCTCCCATGGGTGTTGTCCTTGATCCTAGAGGCTGCTGCACATCTTCTCTTCCTATGTTCTTTAGACATGTTTCTGCCCTTCTCAGTAGTTAATTCCCTTTAACTGAACATTTATTTTTATTTTTTTAGCGACAGGGTCTTGCTCTGTCGCCCAGGCTGGAGTCCAGTGGTGTGATTCACTTCCTGGGTTCAAGCGATCCTCCTGCCTCAGCCCCCTGAGTAGCTGGGACCACAGGTGTGCACCACCACACCCAGCTAGTTTTTAATTTTTGTAGAGAAAAATTTTCTCTGCCTTGGCCTCCTGGTGCTAAGTTTACAGGCATGAGCCACCACACCTGGTCCCCTAATTTTTTGTGTTAAAATTTGCCCATATCTTCCTTTGTGAAGTATCTGCTTAAATCTTGTGCCCCGTTTGGGGGGAGTTGTTTGTATTTTTATTGAGTTGTAGGAGTTCTTTTGTGAGAATGCAAATCCTTTGTCTGGTATATGTCTTGTGAACATTTTCTTCTAGTCTATCCTTGCCTGCTCACTTTTTTTATTGTGGTAGAAAACATAAAAATGTACCATCTTAACTATTTTTAAGTGCACCGTTCAGTCGTGCACCGTTAAGTATATTCACATTGTTGTGAAAGGGATCCTGGAACTTTTTCATCTTGCACATCTGAAACTCTGCACCTATGAAGCAACTTCTCAGTCCCTCCTCTTCTCAGCCCTGGCAACCATCATTCCACTTCTGTTTCTATATGTTTGGCTCCTCATAGAGTCAGTCTGTTTTGTGCTGCTGTAACAGAATACCTGAGACTGGGTAATTTATAAACGACAGATTTATTTCTCACAGTTCTGGAGGCTGGGAAGTCCAAGATCAAGGAGCTGGCATCTGGCGTCTGGTGAGGATCTGGGCTTCTGCTTGCAAGATGGCACCTTGAAGTCTGTGTTCTCATGTGGCAGACGGGTAAAAAAGACCAAACTCCCTCAGTTAGGTCGTTTTATAGTGGCATTAACTCATTCACGAGGGCACACCCTCATGACCTAAACATCTCCTAAAAGGCCCCACTTCCAAACACAGTTGCATTGGGGATTAAGTTTCCAACAAGTGAGTTTTGGGGGATACATTCAGACCTCAGCATCTAGTACCCCATATAAGTGGGATCCTATTGATAGAAGGTCTCTGATTTACGAAGTTTGAACTAAATGATTTTTTGACTTATGATGGGTTTATTAGAACATAATCCCATTGCAAACATCTGTATTTGTCTTTCTGTGATTGGCTTATTTCACTTAGCATACCCTATGTTGTAGCCTGTGGCAGGATTTCCTTCCTTTTCTTTTTTTTTTTTTTTCCTGAGACAGAGTCTTGCTCTGTCGCCCAGGCTGGAGTGCAGTGGTGCGATCGCTGCTCACTGCAAGCTCTGCCTCCCGGGTTCACGACATTCTCCTGCCTCAGCCTCCTGAGTAGCTAGGACTACAGGCGTCCGTCACCACGCCCGGCTAATTTTTTTGTATTTTTAGTAGAGATGGGGTTTCACTTTGTTAGCCAGGATGGTCTCGATCTCCTGACCTCGTGATCCGCCTGCCTCGGCCTCCCAAAGTGCTGGTATTACAGGCGTGAGCCACCACGCCTGGCCGATTTCCTTCCTTTTCTATGGAGATACCACTTTGCTTATCCACTCATCTGTGGATGCACACAGGTTGCTTCCACCTCTTGGCTTTTGTGAGCAGTACTGTTATGAACGTGGGTGTGAAAACATCTTTTTGAGACCTTCCTTTCCAATCTTTGGTCTCTGTTCTCAAATGGAATTGCTGGACGCTATGGTAGTTCTAATTTTAATTTATTGAGAAGCCTCTACTGTTTCCCATAGTGGCTGTATCATTTTATAACCCCACCAGCAGTGCACCAGAATTCCAATGTCTCCACATCCTTGCAAACACTTATTTTCTGTTTTTTTTTTTTTTTTGATAGTAGCCATCCCAAAGGGTGAGTGGGGACACCACGTGGCTTTGCTTTGCATGTCCCTGATAATTAGTGATGTTGAGCATTTCTCGTATGCTTCTTGGCCAAGTGTATATCATCTTTGGAGAAATGTCTGTTCAAGTCCTTTGCCCTTATTTATTTATGAGACGGGCTCGGTCTATTACCAGGCTGGAGTGCAGTGGTGCGATCATAGCTCATAGAGTGACCCTTCAGTGCTTTCCCACACTCCCCTGGGGTCCAACCTTCTGCCGAAGATGCCCCAGCTCTCTGCAGTTCCCTGCCCAGGCCCCAAGACTCCTTTCCCTGTCGGAAAGTTTCTTAGGCTTCCTCTCTCTGGGGTCCCCACACACCTCTGTTCCCCTCCAGCACACTGGCCCAGGCCGGGCCAGCCTGCTTCAACACAGTGTCAGGAACTCCTGTGGTGTCCACAAGCCCAGTGCCAGCGCTTGCCTGCCGTGGGACGCACTGTGTGCCTCAGGCCCCTCACTCGCCAAATAGGACAGTTATCCTCTGCCTCGGTGTGGTCACAGGGGTGAAATGTGCCTGGATTTGCAGGGTGGCTGCAACAGCGCCTGGCCCATAGGCAGTACCATGAAGACTCACAGTGTAGGGCAACAGACGACGCCTGAGCGGCTGAAGAAGGTGGGCTCCCAGGGCCTCCCTGCCCAGGCCTGCTGCCACGGCCAGAACCCAGGGGGGCACCGTGTACCTCGCCAGTGGCCTCAGCACTGCGCCTTGCCTCCAGGAGTCTTGGCTTGTTTGTGTGGAGCTGGGGACTGGGAGAGCAGAGCTTGTGACCTGAGGCCCCCCAGCCTCAGGGTGGAGGTGACCACCCTGGACCAAGGCCTGCCCCAGTTAGTGGCTGAGGACAGACAGGAGTACGTGTGGCATTCCTGCGGCCCCTTGCTCGGCACCCAGGCACTTCCTCCTGCCCCTCTGCCTCTGGAAGGCCAGCCATGGCATGGCCACGGGGGCCTGCCACCTGGCACCTCCCCAACACAATACATAAATGAGTGGGTGTGGCTGTTCCAAGAAAACTGTGTTTACACACACAGGTGCGCCAGGCCTGGCCGTCGAGCCCTGGTTTGCCGGCCTTTGTTCGAGACCAGTGGTTCCCAAATGTGCACCTGTATCAGCATCACCCAGAGCGGGGTCAGAGTCTGGACTCCTGGGCCCCACGCGGAGTTGTTGTCAGGGGCCTGGGCTTTGCATTTCCACAGGTTCCAGGTGCTGCTGCTGGAGCGGAGGCCACGCTCTGAGCACCCTGCTCTAGAAGAAGAGATGCAGAAAAGACAGGCAGGGCTGCAGAAAAGGTAGGCAGGGCTGTAGGGTGGTCCGGACCACCGGGCACTGTCAAATGGCAGATGTCCCTCCGCTCTGCTCTGGGTGGGGCTGGGGCCGGAGTGGATTTTATAAACACTCTGGGAGGGTCCCACCCAGAACTCTCCTGCGCTGTGTGGAAGGAGGGCCACTGGGGAGGGTGTAGATGGGAAGTGAGAGAGAAGAGGGGACGAGGAGACCCCTGGGTGGCCAAGGAAACACTTTTCTGAACAATCAAAAATAAAGGAGGGGCAGGCAGAACGTGGGGACTTGGCTGGGGCTGCCTAGGTTCCCTGGACTCACCTCCTGGCACTACACTGCCTGGGGAGCCAGGGGGCCAGGAGCCAGGGAGCGACTGGCACACCCCACACCTTCCTAACCCAGCCCCTGGTGGGGAGCCCTTCCTTCAGCAGCAGGCAGCACAGCGATGGCCAAGTGTCCCTCCAGGGGGACAGACGTTTGCCCCTCCACGCCACTCACCCGGGGTGAGGCCGCAGCACCCTCCACCTTGCTCCACCGTGGCCAGCTTCTGGCCTCCCCTCACCAAGCCCCGGGACTTCACGTGAAGATCACTTACTGGCCTTCTCCCCTCGCGGTCCTGGGTTCTCTCCTCCTCCTGGCCTCTGAGGCCAGAATGCTGAGGCTCAGACTAGGGCCTTTGTCTCTGCTGACACCTCGCTGCTGTCACGACTTTGTGGTCCCTGTGCCACTGACTGCAGGACGCGCAGCTGAGTCTCCTTGGACCTGCCCAGGTGGCCCCCAAGCAGGATGTGTCCAACACACCTTGCTTCCCTCTGCCTGGCCCCAGGCCCCACTCTGGCCCCTGCTTTCTCAGTAAGGACATCCCCACTCCGTGGCTGCTCTGGCCAAAGACAGGAGAGTCACCCTTTCTCTTCGGCGCGTACCCCTCAAGCTCCAGCTTGTGCTCCCAGCACTCCCACCTTGCACTTCCCCATCCCCAGCTCCTCCCCACCCTGCCCAAAGCCCTCCTGAACCCATTCTTGTCTCAGTCTCCGCACATAGCAGCCAGAGATTAAAACAAACCAGCCCAACCCTCGGTGGGGCTGGTGTTCACCTTTGGGGTTAAATTGAAAGTCCTTGCGTGGCACCACAGTCACTCAGCGGGCATCCCCTCCCTCTGAGTGCTCTCGCCCCACTGACCTGGGCACTGTGGGGCCATGCTCACTCCTGCCTCGGGCCTCAGCACCTGTCCCTTCCTGGCAGCCTGTCCCGCCTGGCATGCTGGCTTTGCTCCAATGCCAACCCTTCGGAGAGGCCTTCCCTGGCCACCCTGTTGTAAACAGCACTGCCTGTCTCCGTGTTCCCTGAGTGTTCCTCCAGGCACTGTCACTGCCAGACGCTGGTATTTTTGTCTACTATGGCCCCCACCCTGGCTGGTACACTCAGAAGGACGGGCTGCGTCCCCTGTGCCTAGAGAGGCATCTGGCACAGAGCCAGCCTTCAACATATATTGCATGAAAGATTCCGTCCAAGGACGCTGTAGATGTAGGTGGACGCAGACAAAAGCAAAGCAGGACAGTGGATTCGTCCAAAGACCGGCAGTGTCTTCAGGTGAAGCTGCAGCGTCGAGTCCTGGTGCTTGCAAGGTTTCAGCAGCAGAAACCTGATGGGGCTCCTTGCACCTGGGAGAAAAGCCACTCCAGTGAGGATTATTGCCAGTGAAGGCTGCCCTGGCCCCAGACAAGTTTTCCTAGAATTTATGGTAGCAGGCGGGTTGTTAAAGGATGATTCCCGAAAGGGCCAGACATGGTGCTCACAGGGATGCAGGGTGAGCATGCGTCGAAGAGCTTCCCTAGCCCAGGCAGCTGTGAGGACCAGCTCAGAAGAGAAGTCCTGAAACAGACACTTACAGATGAGGAATATTGACATGATTGTGCAAATGGACCTGAAACTGGATTTTCAGGGGGCTGTGATGGGCTGGATTGTCTCCCTTAGATTCTAATGTTCAAGTCCCCCACACCCCAGTGTCTTAGAATGCAACTGTATTTGGAGGTAGACTTTAAAGAGATGGTTGAATTAAAATGAGGCCCCAAATTCAATCTGACTGGTATGTCTATAAAAAGAGAAAGTCTGGACATCTGGAGATACATCAGGGATGCGTGACTGCTCAGAGGAAAGACCCTGTGAGGCACAGCAAGAAGGCACCATCTGCTTGCCCAGGAGACACCAACCTGTGACACCCTGACCTTAGACTTCCACCCCCAAGAACTGTGAGAGGTAGACCTCCTTGCACTGTAAATCACTCGTTCTGTTACTGCAGTCCCAGAAAACTAACACAGACCTTTGCTGGGCAGAATGCCTTTGCTTCTCTGCAGACAAGATTACTTTTGCACTATTGCACTGTTGTTATCAAAATAATTATATGGGGCTGGGCATGGCGGCTCACACCTGTAATCCCAACACTTAGGGAGGCTGAGGTGGGTGGAGTACCTGAGGTCAGGAGTTCAAGACCAGCCTGGCCAACATGGTGAAACCCCGTCTCTACTAAAAATACAAAAAAAAAAAAAGAAAAAAAAATTAGCCTGGTGTGGTGTGCACCTGCAATCCCAGCTATTCGGGGAGGGGGCTGAGACAAGACAATTGCTTGAACCTGGGAGGCACAGGTTGCAGTGAGCCAAGATCTTGCTACTGCCCTCCAGGCAACAGAATAATAATAATTTTTATTATGGAATCAGTGTCAAATGCTGGTGCCTTCTGGGGGCAACACACAGTTTCCCACCAAAGTGCATCAGTGCCCCAGGCAGTCAAGGTGCCAGGAGACGAGGAGGCCGCGGATCTTCTGTCCACCTGGGAGCAAGCCTGCAGCTTGGGACCCTCCTGGGACCCTGCACCCGCCAGTGCCCTGCCCTCCTGGGCTCTCATGGGAGTGAAGGAGGGTGGGCTCTGTAGGAGTTAAAGAAAGAGGAAAGAAACATGAAAAGCGGCTCAACAAAGGCAGGTTTATTTTGGAGAATAAACCTGAAAGGGACTTCTGGCCGATTTTGGTCAGGAGCCATCTCTCCTACAGACTAAGGATCTTTAAGGGTTTAGGAAGTGGGGAGCTTATCGCAGGCTCGGAATGTTTCTATGTGAGGGAAAGTTTATTGCGGGCTTGGAATGTCTCTGGTCGGAGGGGAGGTTATCTCGAGGTTGGCATGTTTCTGATTGGAGATGTTATTTGTGGTTTACGGTCGTGCTGACATTAGCTATTGGGCTGATGTGTTTTGGGCTGGATTTAGGCAGCTTTTTAATCAAAGGGAACCTAAAATGGCGGTGTTTGTCCAAGAAGGCCATACTCCTGCTCTGTCCCGCTCCAGCCCTTGGGGGCCCCTCGGGCTCTTCTCTTGGATGGTGTGTGAATGGGCACATGTGGAGGGGCTGGTCCAGCTCTGCCTGCCTCTGGCCATCCAAAGGAGGGACAGCAGGGCCTGGGCAGCAATGCCGGCCTTGGAGCCCCGGGGCTGTGGAGGCTGCTTGACAGGACACGGAGCCCCCTCTGTGCTCAGGTCGTGGAGGGCCTCGGGCACTACGGTCTGCCAGGCACCACATGTCACAGCTACTCAAACACCCAGGGCCGCCACGGAGGGCCAATGGCCGCAGGATGGCTCAGGACCCGCCCCACCCCTGTCGCTGCCTTTCTGGCTGCCCCCTAGTCCCTGGACAGGCGCTCCCCAGCCCCAAGCAGGCCCCAGCCAATCTCCTGCCCAGGCAGGAGCTCCCCCTGCCGCCCTCACAGACCTCACCTCTTCCTACACGTTTCCAAGGCCGCGCCCCGCCCCGCACCCCGCCAGGCCCCGCCCCGCACCCCGCCAGGCCCCGCCCCGCACCCCGCCAGGCCCCGCCCCGCACCCCGCCAGGCCCCGCCCCCACCCCGCCAGGCCCCGCCTCTCTCTCCGACCCTGGACAGTCCCCGGGACCCACCCCGCCCCCAGGTCCTGCCCCCGCCCGCCTCCGCGGGGCCTCCCACCCTCCCGGGCAGACTCCACTCCCGCCCCCTCCCCGTGGGTGCCCCCGCCGGCCCCGCCCTCCCAGGCTGCCCCCGGCGCCCCGGGCCTCCTCCGCGCAGTCCCTGAGTCCCGCAGGCCCTGCGTCCCCGCTGCACACCCCCGTCCACTCCCGTGGTCCCCGGTCCGGCATGGCGCGCGCGGTGGGGCCCGAGCGGAGGCTGCTGGCCGTCTACACCGGCGGCACCATTGGCATGCGGAGTGAGCTCGGCGGTGAGTCCGAGACCCTGGGCGGGGTAGGCCTCTGGACCTGGCCGCGACCGGGAGCCTCGGACCCTCCTGCACCCACGGGGGTCGTTGGGGAGTCAAATCCGCGCCTGGATGGGGGGTGCGGGCTGAGGTCGCTCTCCTCCGGTTCCGGCCACCGGCGTCCCCACGCATGGAGCCCCGACCTGGACAGAGGAGATTGCGGTGGGTTCTCGCCGTCGCGGTGCTCCCGGGAGCGCCCTGCGACCCTGGGGCCAGGCCCCCTGTGCTGCCGCTGCGCCCCTGAGGGCCAGCGTCCTGAAGTCCTGGAATATGGGGCGGGAGGGCCCCAGGGCATTGGCCTGCCGCTCCTGCTCTGGACACAGAAGGCTTAGGAGGCTGCCCTGGAGAAGGCTTAGGAGGCTGCGAGGACCCCTCAACTGCGACACCCAGGAGGGTGTCCCCGTCCCCTGGGGTCCTGGTCAGGCAGCAGTGGTTGGCACGATACTGGGGCTACCTGGCATCTGCGGGGACGCACGTGTTCACACCCGAGGTGGCCTCAGAGCCCTGCTTCCTCTGCCCCTGTGTGGACCTGGTTGACCAGAGACCAGCGATTGCGTCTGGACTGAGTTCTGCCTGGGTGGGGTCAGGGCCTGGGACAGGCACCGAGCTCTGTGGTACTCCAGCACAGTGCTGCCAGCCTGGGCTGGGCACAGGAAGGATGGTAGCTTGGGGAGCCTGAGGCCACCGGGATGGGGAGAGGACGGTTGCACTGGAGCCTCCAGAATGCCTGGGTGTTCCCCAGGAGGGCAGGACACTGCCTGGGGCCCCCAGATGGGCTCTGCTGTGATGTGGGGCCTCCCTTGGGGCCAGGACAGCCCCCTCGCCCCGTCTTGAACCTGTTTGCGACCCTCCATGGGCCACTGCCTGCCTTTCCCTCAGGAGCCCTTTCCACTCCTCCTCCTCCCACTCCCTGCTGCCCTGGCCCCTCCCCACACTCCTGCTTGTGTCCAGCGCAGCTCTCTCTCCTGGGACGGCTGGGACCCTCTCCGGCTCTGCCAGAGCCCAGGGCCTCCCCTGGCATGACCAGAACATTCTCTTGTCCCTTGCCCATCTGCCAACCACTTCCCCGCCCCTCCTATCCCCACCCCCTCTCACGGCCTGTTCCCTGGCAGCTGCCCCTCCTGGCCACCCCTTTCTGCTGAAGTGGCTGCTCAGAAGCCACCAGCACTCTGTCGGTGCTCTCAGATTCCACCCACCACACTGTGGCCGGTGCAGACCCCTCTGGAGGCCCACTCTGCGCCCAGCCCAGGAGACAAAGCCTAGTGGGGCTCGTCCACGAGGGACTCAGGTCCCCAAGAACGTGGCTGTCCAGGCTGCCGGGAGCCTCCTCTGCACTTCTCCTTCTGCCTGTGAATGGAACAAAGTCATTCACAGCTTGGCAAACGCCCCTGTGTGACACTCCACTGACACAGAGTGACACAATTCCTGTGCTTGGCCCTCACAAGCTAGAGAGAGAGGCTGCCATTGAAGGGATGGCATGCATTAAGGAGCTAGTCCCAGGGGCAGGATCTGCCAGGGCCCTGTAGGGGCTGTGGGCTGATAACAGGGTCTGAGCTGGGTGTGTGGATGGTGTGGAGTTTGGAGGCAGCCCAGGGAGGGCTTCTCTGAGGACACAAGGCCTGCAGGACAAAGATGGGAGAGGGCCAGGCCAGGAGCAGCCCTGCAAGGTGCAGGAAAGAGGAGTGGGGAGCCCAGCAGGGCCGGAGCCTGCCAGAGCTGCCCCCGAGTGGGGACAGGACCTGGGGACTCTGTGTGGGGCCTCGTCCGACGCCCCTGACGCTACCCCTTCAGGCTTGGAGTGTGGCCAACTGCAGTTTCGTTGAGCTCAACATGTAGTTCTTGAGTGGTCCGAGCTGCAGGGGCAGGTGGACTCTGTAACCCCACCACACACCCGTCTCGCTTGGCCCCCGCGTGCTCGCCGCAGCAGCCTGTGGGTGCACTCACACGCGTGCACCGCATTTCTGAAAGAGGCTGTGAGGTCCTGTGTCTGGGTGGGAAACAAGAGACTTGGAGGCTGGAAATTGGGTGTGGGGCGTCAGTCTTCAGACCTGAAGCAGCCTTCTGAGATCCCTTGGTGCTCTGTGCACTGGGGTCCTGGCTTCTGCTCAGCAGCCCGTCCTCGTGTGGCTGCGAGGTCACCCCCAGCTGTTGCTAGCTGACCCATGTGGGGCATCCACTTCCAGGAACCTGCAGGAATGGGCTCCCCCAACCCCTCGTGAGGTTGGAGCAGCCAGACTGTCAGGCGTCAATGATTTACTCCCTCCACACTGCTGACGTGGGCTCTGGCCTTCCCTGGGGAGGTGAGAGGGGAGTGGTGGCTTTGCCCTAGTAAAGCTGTTTGATTGTCGCTGTTGGAACGGCTTCTGCGCCTGCTGGTAAACAGTGACCTGTGGGTGGAACGCTGCACACCTGGAGCCCTGCCAGAGTTCAGGGAGGGCAGAGGTGATGCCAGTGGGGACGCCCCTTGACCCATCCCTTCTCTGAGTTCATTGAAGCTATCACAGGTCAAGGGGCATAGCGAATCCAAACACGGCTGATAACCCCAAGCCCAAGCTGGCATCAGTGGCCACGTTCTGTACACCCGAGAAACTTGAAGACTTCCTATGTCAAACTGGGAACCCCACCTGCTTGCCGGCCTGTCCCAAAGTCCCTCCTGAGCCCGGCTCCTTGCAGGCACAGCAGGGAGGGCAGAGATCTGGGGCCAGGCAGCTGAGAGAAGCTCCCTGCCCGGTGACCACACGGGTCCCAGCAGTCGAGAGTGTCAGTGGAGTGATGCCCATGGCTTCTTGGTTACTGCAGTGGCGTCTGTGCCCTTGGCCTGGACCTCCTTCCTGAATGGGTGCTACACGTTCACAAGTTTCTAAGCCTAAGCTTGACTTCGCTGGTGACAGTGGGGCCCATTGTCTTAGAGAGCAAAGCCTCCTTTCCAGGTGTTTGGCAGGGGGCTGAGGAGTTTCCAAGTCACCAGCAAACTCAGGCACCTGCCTGGATGGGCCAAGGAAGAGGTTCCAGGCAGGGCTGGAGGGTTCAGATTCTGCAGCCCTTGAAGCTTTTGGAGGGCCCTCATTGAGAAAAGTAATACAAGTTACAAAATCATAGTTAGGTGTGAAAGCCGGTGTTTGTTTATTTTTTATTTATTTTTATTTTTTTGAGATGGAGTCTCACTCTGTCGCCCAGACTGGAGTGCAGTGGCGCGATCTCAGCTCACTGCAAGCTCTGCCTCCCGGGTTCACACCATTCTCCTGCCTCAGCCTCCCGAGTAGCTGGGACTACAGGCGCCCGCCACCGTGCCCGGCTGAAAGCTGGTGTTTATTTAAAATAACAAAAGAAATTGCCCCAGCTGACTGGGCGCGGTGGCTCACACCTGTAATCCCAGCACTTTGGGAGGCTGAGGTGGGTGGATCACTTGAGATCGGGAGTTCAAGACCAGCCATGGACAACATGGTGAAACCCTGTCTCTACTAAAAATACAAAAAAAAAATTAGCCAGATGTGGTGGCAGATGCCTGTGGTCCCAGCTACTGGGGAGGCTGAGGCATGAGAATCGCTTGAACCCAGGAGGTGGAGGTTGCAGTGAGCCGAGATCTCGCCACTGCACTCCAGCCTGAGTGACAGAGTGAGACCCTGTCTCAAACAAACAAAAAAAACTGATGCCACTACATACCTGTTAGAATGGCTGCTGACGTACAACACATTGACTGCGGGGTGAGTGCTGGAGCCCCAGAGTTGGAAAGTGGTCCACTCGCAGGTTGGTAAGAAAACTTTACTGGCGACAGTATAGGTTTGAAAAAGGAACGTTTGGCCAGACATGGTGGCTCAGGCCTGTAATTCCAACACTTTGGGAGGCCAAGGCGGGTGGTTCACTTGCCTTGCTAACATGGCGAAACCCCGTCTCTACTAAAAATAAAAAATTAGCTAGGTGTGGTGGTGCATGCCTGTAATCCCGGCTACTCGGGAGGCTAAGGCAGGAGAATTGCTTGAGCCGGGTGGGTGGAGGTTGCAGTGAGTCGAGATGGCATCACTGTACTCCAGCCTGGGCAACAGAGTGAGACTCTGCCTCAAAAAAAAAAAAAAAAAAAAAAAAAAAGGAAGAAAGGAGAAGAAAAAGAAAAAAGAAAGAAATTGGCCAGGCTGGTTTTGAACTCCTGGGCTCAAATGATCTTCCTGCATCAGCCTCCCAAAATTCTGGGATTACAGGTGTGAGCCATAAAAACCACTGCAAAAGCACATATGGAGTGTTTTGCTTGAGAGAAGAGGACACCAAGAGAGTTTAGTCTTGTCTTTGGCTGATTTCGCCTGTGGTGCCCACACATGCCCCCAGCAGGGACAGCAGGGCCCATATCCACGCCTACCACTCTGCAGCATTCCTGGAAGTTTCTGGAAGCTGTTCCCCCACATGAGTCAGCAGCAGCTGGAGGTGACCTTGCACAACGTGAGCATGTCCCACAAAACCAAACCAGATATGCCCCCTCCACCTTTCCCATAAGGCACCCCAGCTTCACCCGCCGTGATGAGTGGAGAGTGACTTTTTGTTTCCTGTGGCCACTGTGCCGGGCGGCTGAACATCACAGAAGTTCGTTCTGGGTTCTGGAGGCCGAGGCCTGAGAGGGGTTTCCCCGGGCTGAGCCAAGGTGCTGCAGGGCACCGCTCCGTCCTGACGCTCTGCGGGAGGAGCCACCCCTGCCACCTCCAGTGTCTGGTGGCTGCTGCAATCCTTGGCTTGTGGCCGCATCACTCCAGTCATCCAGGCCAGCATCTCCAAGGGCCGCTCTGCCCTGTCGTCATATGGCCTTCCCCTCCCCGTGCCCTGTGGCCTTCCACCTGTGAGGAAACACGAGAGGGCGTTTAGGGCCCACCTGGATTGTCCAGGGCCACCTCCCGCCCCATGACCCCTAATATCACATCCGTAAAGACACTTCCATATGAAGTGACACCCACAGGTACCGGGGATTGGGATGTGGACATCTTTTTAATTTTTATGTATTTATTTAATTTTTTGAGACAGTCTCATTCTGTCACCCAGGCTGGAGTGCAGTGGTGCGATCTTGGCTCACTGCAACCTCCGCCTGCCAGATTCAAGTGATTCTCCCGCCTCAACCTCCCAAGTAGCTGGGATTACAGGCACCTGCCATCATGACCAGTTAATTTTTGTATTATTCGTAAAGACAGGGTTTCACCATGTTGACCAGGCTGGTCTTGAATTCCAGACCTCAAGCAATCTGACACCTCGGCCACCCAAAGTGCTGGGATTCCAGGCCTGAGGCACTGCGCCCGGCCCTGGGATGCGGACATCTAGGATGCTTTTTCAACCCACCATACATGAGACAGGGACACTTGGACACCGGTGTGGGGTGGACCCTGAGCCCCCTGGATGCCCAGGGTCTGAGGTTGGGTCCTTGGGGTTCACAAGGCTGGTGAATCCAGACCTTTGTTCCGGCAGCCCGTGTCCTGGCTGTGCTCTGGGCGCCTCGGAGGGCAGACGGGCAGACAAACATGTGCGGGCTCCGCCTCCCCCGTCTGCTGGCTGAGCCCTACTGGCGGGGTGATTTTGTCAGCGGCTGCACCTCAGCCGGCCTGCATCTTCCAGTCCTCTGGCAAACGTCCCCGGGGCTCCACAGGCCTTTGTGTAAGGCCAGAGGAGGATCACGGGTGCCATAAACCTTCACGGGGCCAAGGGCTGGTGTCCCGGGGCTGGTGACTTAACAGGCAGAGATGTGGAGACCAGGGTGAGCCCAGCAGTGGAGGGCGATGTCAGGGAGGGGTGCGGCTGGAGGGATATTAGAGGGGGCTGCTTTAACTTGCCAAGTTTGGGGTTAATTTGTGAGCCAGTGATAGGCGATGGGTACAGCTGCAGAGGGCGAGGGGGGAAAGCAGGTGACCATGGCTGGGATCTGCAGGATAGGATGGGGCATTGCTGCTGGGGGAGGGAAGGGAGGGCCGGGAGGGAGCTTTGGGACTTGCTGGAGGCCCTGGAGGGGTGGCTGAGGGGTCAGGGCTTTATACTGAGCAGCTGGCCCCAGGGAATGAGTGGTGTGGCCAGGTCTCCATTTAAGGGACAGAACTGAGATGCAGAGGCTGCAGGAAGGTGGCAGAGTTGCTGGGGGTGGGACCAGCCCGTCTGTGCACTTGCTGTGTGCTAGGCCCTCCAGGTCGGGGAGCTGGGGAAGGGGACCTGGGCTGGACCCTGAGGGAGTCACACAGTCCGTGCCCTTTGGGAGCTCGAGGGCCAGTGAGGGAGAATGTGGGAATAGCACTACAGCCTGGGCATCTGGGAGGGCTTCCTGGGGGTGGTGTCCCAATCTGGGCCTTGAGGCACCTACTGGGTGAGAAGTGGGGACGAGGCAGGACTTCCAGGCAGAGCCCACAGTATATCCACAGTGAGGCAAAGGCTGAGCCCCGTGGGCCTTGGTGGGGAGTGTGGACTAAGCATTTGGAGAAGGAGGTGGGAGCAGGGGCAGGGCCTGGGTGGAGCAGCTAGAGACCTGGGCAGAGCTCCTGGGGCCGTCCAGGTGCGAAATGAGGAATCACCACGGGCTCCAAGGCAGGAAGCCATGGCTTCCAAACGCGGGTCAGCCGCCTGCCCTCTGAGGGGTCCCAGGGGCAGCCATAGCCCTTCCTCCCAGCCTCTGACTGTCATAAGACCGGAGCCCCATCCCACCAGCTCTGGTCCTGCCCCTCAGTGAGGGAGGAGGCGGCCATGGCTGTCAGCCCCTGACCCCAGCATCCACCTGGACTCTGCCTGCAGTGCTTGTGCCCGGGACGGGCCTGGCTGCCATCCTGAGGACACTGCCCATGTTCCATGACGAGGAGCACGCCCGAGCCCGCGGCCTCTCTGAGGACACCCTGGTGCTACCGTGAGTGTGGGCTCCTCCCAGTCCCGGACAGGGCATGGCTGCTGAGGGGCACCGATCCTGAGGCTGGGCACTGCTGGCCAGGCCCACGTGAGCCATTTGCTCACCCCTGTCTCTAACATCCCCTCAGCTTACAGGGCTTTAGGACTGACCAGCAGTCGCCTTCCACCAGAGCCTGAACCTCTGAGGGTGCCCCGTGCCTGGTCCCACCTTCCCTCCCCACCCTCCTCCCACACCCCCAGCCAGGCTGCTTCGGCAAGTGTGATGAGGGCGCCCCGTCTAGGGATCCTGTATATCAGGAGCCAGCTGGCCCAGGTGGCCTTGCCCCCAGCATAGAGGTCCTTCCATTTCTCAGCTCTGGGCCCAGCTCCCTGATGTCCCCCACAGCTGGGGGTGAGCTGGGAGTTGCCCTCGTGGTGGCTGACCACCACAGCCGCCACAGGCGAGCCTCCTGCAAGCATCCTCTCCTGCCTGGGGATGGCTGGTCCCAGCCCCCCTCTTCGAGCTGGTGTGGGAAGAAGACTGCTGGGAGTGGCCCATCCTGACCTACGTCCTTGCCTCTGTGGGGAGCTCCAGGTGGAAGGGGGGCCGGGCCCCGTACCTGGGATGCTGAGAACTTGCTATGTGCGGAGCCCTTGGCGTAGGGGCCCCAGCTCTGCCAGAGGGGAACAGAGCGGGTCAGGGCATTTAGAGCAGGAGGAGGTGCAGAGCGGGAGCCTGCTGTTCCGCCTCCTGCTGTTTCTGTCCCGCAGCCCGGCCAGCCGCAACCAGAGGATTCTCTACACCGTGCTGGAGTGCCAGCCCCTCTTCGACTCCAGTGACATGACCATCGCTGAGTGGGTTTGCCTTGCCCAGACCATCAAGGTAGTGGGGCTGGGGAATGCTGGGTGGGGCTGTGGTGTGTGGGTGGGGCTGAGGTGTGTGGGTGGGGCTGTGGTGTGTGGGTGGGGCTGTGGAGAGTGGGCAGGGCTGTTGGGTGTGAGTGGGGCTAGGGAGCACGGGTGGGAATGGGGAGTGTGGGTGGGGCTTGGAGTGTGGGCGGGGCTGTGGAGTGTGGGTGGGGCTGTGGAGAGTGGGTGAGGCTGTGGAGTGTGGGTGGGGCTGTGGGTGTGGGGTGGGCTGTGTTGTGTGGGCAGGGCTGTGTTTTGTGGGTGGGGCTGTGTTGTGAGTGGGGCTGTAGGGTGTGGGTGGGGCTATGAGTGTGGGCGGGGCTGTGGGTATGGGCGGGGCTGGTGGATGGGCAGTGGCCGGCAGAAACACTCTGGGACGGGTGAGGAGCTGCAGGGTCTGGGGTGGAGTCGGCCTGCCCAGCCTGGGGCCTGGGAGCATCTGGGAATGGCAGCTTCAGGAAAGGGCAGGGTCCACGTGTCAGAGCTGCGGGCAAGGCTCTGAGTTCCTCTCCCCCATGCAAGCTGGGGGTGGGCGTATAGGGCCAAGTCGACTTCCCAGATGAGGACACAACGGGAACAGTTGTCTTAGCCTGTCCCAGTTAGTATCTGGGGCGCGGTGTGTGGTGTGTGATGCTACCTCGAGGGCCAGCAAGCTCCTTGTGCGTGGCTGGTGACCTGCTCACTGCCCTCTGTCCGTCCCCGCCCAGTTGGAGTCTTAGTGGATTTAGTGGAGTCTTGGTTGGAGTCTTAGTGGACCACAGCACCTCTCAAAGACTCTTGTGGTTTACAGCGACCTGTGTGCTCCCCCTGCAGGCAGAACCACCCCCCGCCCCATCAGCTTTTCTTCTCCCTTCTCCCCCATCACAACACGCTCCCATGTTACCGGAGCTGCCTCCCCTAGTAGGGGGCCTCCTGCCCGCTCCAGTCCCAATTCTCACCTGCTTCCCTTACGAACCCCCTGCTCCCCTGAGTGGGAACATCTAGGCTTCCCCTTCCCAGCAGCAGGGTGGCAGGCAGCACCACCCAGGACAGGACCCTCCATTTGTAGCCGGCAGCCCTCACCGGGCAAGGCGTGACTGCTTTTTGAGGCCCACGAAGCTGCCCTGCGGTCCTTGCTGCAGGGAGCAGCCCTGGGCAGCCTCACAAAGGCCTTCTCGGCTCAGGTGGCCCAGCCTGCCGTCTTGCCGCGAGTGGCCAGCAGAGGGCGCCCTTCCCCTCCTTGGCCTCCGCTCCTCTGCAGTTCCCAGGCCTACGGGGCTTGGTCTTTTAATGGCCCCCCGGGCAGGCCCAGGCTTCGTATGGAGCCCTGGGCTCTCGGAACGGTGCCCTGGCAGCCGCAGCCTGGGCCAGCCACCCTCCAGGGGGTGGTGGCCGGAGGACGTCCCTGCATGGCCAGCTTCACTGCTGCCCTTCGGTGTCCTGCCCGGCCGCCCAGGTCCAGATCCAGGCAACCTCCAGGATCACCTGCTGGTTCCCGGCCATGGCTGTGCCTTGACCCTGCAGGCGTCCTTGTGCCCACCGTTGTGTTCTTGCCTGACCCGCGGTCTGGGCTTCGAGGCTCGTGCACCACCACAGCCCCCTGCTGCCATGGAGAGGCGCTCTCCCGCCCTTGGGGAGTGTGCAGAGGCCCCTTGGAGGGACTCATTCTCGAGTGCTCTGAGGGGAGCCTCAGCGTGGTGGGTGCACCCGAGTGGCATGGAAGCCTCGGGGCAGGGAGAGCGTGGGAGTCCCAGGACTCCACGCCAGGGGCTAATCTTCCAGAGAGGGACTTCCAGGCCAGGGTCCCACGGGTGCCTCCCCTGAGTCCTCCTCTCTGCATCCGGACCCTTTCCCCCATGCTGCAACCTCCCCCACACCTGCTTGCGAGGGGCTGGCCTGCCTGAGCATGCGCCCCTCCTGCAGAGGCACTACGAGCAGTACCACGGCTTTGTGGTCATCCACGGCACCGACACCATGGCCTTTGCTGCCTCGATGCTGTCCTTCATGCTGGAGAACCTGCAGAAGACTGTCATCCTCACTGGGGCCCAGGTAATCCCAGGGGCCCGGGGCTCCTAGGAACAGGGGCTTCCTGAGGCCACAGGGCAAGTCAGCGCTGTGGGCGGCCGCTGCGGGACCCCGGGCTTCCTGCTCAGCCCAGCAGCTCCTGAGGTGGCTGCTGCAGGGCCCGTGCTGGGGCTCGCAAATGCTCAGGTCCTGCCCGGGTGCCAGCACCACCTGCCCCGCAGGAGGGGGGTCATCTCCTGCTGGTGGCCCTGGGAGCTGTGAGGCCCTGGAGCACCCAGAGCCAGGCCCACCTCGGCCCTGGGGGTGCCAGGCATCCCTTCCTCTCCTCCCGATGCTTCCTTGCGGCTGCTGCCCACCTCTCCATCTGGCGCATCAGGGTGGCCGCGCACAGAGCCGCACCAGGAGGCCCCGGCCATGTCCCTGCCTTTGTCCCTCTCTTTGCTCCGCCCACTGTGGGTCTAGGCGATGCCATCCTGGGGGCCCTGGCACACGATTTCCCTGCCTCTCTCACCCTAACCCAGCACAAATCCCATAAGCCAAGGCCAGTAGAGTGTTCTGGAAAACTGGATTTGAGGGGATGTGGCAGGGGAGGTTGGCTAGAAGCTGACTAGGGGTCCATGTTGCCTGCGGGTGGCAGTGGGCACCTGAACCCCTTGGGATCCTTTCCCACGGCTGAGGCTAAGGTCTTGTATGGGAAACCGGTACCTGTGTCCCTTTGAGCTTGGTGGCAGTTCCAGAAAGCTCCATGGAGGCCCTCTTAGGAGGTCTGCGGGGAGCAGTCCGGGGAGGTGGCTCAGCCACCCCACTCTGCTTGCCTGGCGCCGTCTCCCTTGTCCCTCCAGAGTCTCCCCAGGGCCCACTGCACACACCTGTTAGCGGTGGAGCAGTGCCTCCCGCCCCAGAACTCGAGAAGGAGGGACAGGGCTCCAGCTGGTTCTCCTCTTCCCAGACCTTCCCGAGCCCTGGGGGAGCAGAACATCCCGTGGACCTCTCTAGGGGATCAAGGGCACAGTTATGAGCACCGCAGGACCCACGAACGTTCACATGCATGTTGTCCTCACTCTGATGTTGGCCTGTGCCGGGACATCCTTATCCCTGTTATACCTGTGGGGAAACTGAGGCTTACAGGCTAGGGGCTCACCCACAGCCACGTACCACGTGAGGGCTGAGCCAGGGAGCACCCAGGACCCAGGACTGCCACCCCCTGCCAGGGCTCTCTCCCTCCAGAGCCTCTGACTGACCACTTCCCGGCCGCCTCCTCCTGAAAACCCTGGCCTCTGCACCGCCACCTGCGCCCTCCTGGGACGCGCTGTTCAGTCAACCATAGCACAGTCGCCCATGCTAGACACAGGCAGCTGTGGGAGGAGCTGTACTGTGCCTGGCATCCCGAGGCAGTTCCTTTCTGTCACAGCCCACCCACCCCTCACCCCCACCACCCTCCTTCCAGCCCATAGTTCTGCTGGGGTAGCGAGGGAGCTGGGCAGGGCAGCTGCGGTGGGAGGCCTGTGATGCGTTCTCCAGTATGGGGACCGGCTGGCCCCTGCTGCCAGCACTGGGCTCTTGGACCTGTAGAGGGAGCTGGTGGGTGGGTTGAGGCCCTGGGTGCAGGCTGGCATGGTCTGCAGCCACAGCTGTTGGTGGGTGGGTTGAGGCCCTGGGTGCAGGCTGGCATCGTCTGCAGGGACAGCTGTTGTTGGCGGCCTTGGAGACAGGCTTACTGCCCAGCTCCTCTGAGTGCCCCGTTCCCCCAAGGCACCCATCTCCAGGCTGCCTGCTGCAGTCCAAGCCCGCCTGTCCTTCTCTTTCCCACACCCGCCTGGGGCTCCTGGGCTGGGCCTGGGGGTTTACCTGGAGAGATGAGCCAGACATCCCAGGCTTCTGGGCTTCCCAGGCCTCAGCTACTCCGTGGCCTCTCCCCCAGGTGCCCATCCATGCCCTGTGGAGCGACGGCCGTGAGAACCTGCTGGGGGCACTGCTCATGGCTGGCCAGTATGTGATCCCAGAGGTACCTGCCTGGTGCACGTGGAGGCGGGGCAGGTGGGGTGGGGGCAGGAGCCCAGACAGCAGCCAGGAAACAAAGTCCCCCCAGCCCCTCCCCAGACGCCACTGCCAATAGCTGGGTGCACTGTCTTCTAGATCTTATGTTGTGGATATTTACATTAGAGGTACGTATGGAAGTTCTACGTTAGAGATACGTATGGAGGTTCTGCGTTAGAGATGCATATGGAGGTTCTACGTTAGAGATACGTATGGAGGTTCTGCGTTAGAGATGCGTATGGAGGTTCTGCGTTAGAGATGCGTATGGAGGTTCTGTGTTAGAGATGCGTATGGAGGTTCTGCGTTAGAGATGCGTATGGAGGTTCTGCGTTAGAGATGCGTATGGAGGTTCTGCGTTAGAGATGCGTATGGAGGTTTTGCGTTAGAGATGCGTATGGAGGTTTTGCGTTAGAGATGCGTATGGAGGTTCTGCGTTAGAGATGCGTATGGAGGTTCTCCGTTAGAGATACGTATGGAGGTTCTGCGTTAGAGATACGTATGGAGGTTCTGCGTTAGAGATGCGTATGGAGGTTTTACGTTAGAGATACGTATGGAGGTTTTACATTAGAGATAGGTATGGAAGTTTCTATAAAAACAGGTTGCAGCCAGCAGGGCTCTGAAGGGTGTCACTTTCCCTCCCCCATGTCTTTCCCTGTTTCCTGTGGCGTCCCAGGAAGGAGTGTGCAAAGATCTCCCCCACCCTGGGGCAGTGGCTTTACCCAAGGCTCTTGAGCAGCTTGACTAGAGCCCCCACACGGGCTCCTGAGCAGGGGCCTCAGGGACTCCCATTCACCGTGGGCAGGGGCCTCCAGCAGCTGTGCTCGCTGCACCTTTGGGATGAGTTCCCAGGGCTCTGTAAGAAGCAGGGTTGGGGGCAGTGGGCAGGTGGGAAGGGAAGGAAGTACGGTACCCTCCTGCCACCCAGCCACTTGCACGCCCCAGGCCCTGGGGTCCCCAGGCCCCTGCAGGCTCCGGTTAGCCCACGGGTAGGTGGCAGGGCAGGAAAGGGCCCGAGAGGGGCAGTACCTGCTCCCAGGAAGGTCTCTGCCTGCGGTGGGTGGGGTTACAGTCCCACCTCCCCCTGGGTCTGGGCACCTCATTGATGGCAGGGAGGAAGCTGGAGGGCAGATGGGTCGGGGACAGGGTGGCCGCTGCTCTGAACTCTGTCGCTCCGTTCCCGCAGGTCTGCCTTTTCTTCCAGAATCAGCTGTTTCGGGGCAACCGGGCAACCAAGGTAGACGCTCGGAGGTTCGCAGCTTTCTGCTCCCCGAACCTGCTGCCTCTGGCCACAGTGGGTGCTGACATCACAAGTAAGCCCCGCAGGAGCAGGGCCAGGTGCCTGCCCAGTGCTGGTGCTGGGCGAGGGGCTGCTGCAGGGAGCTCGTGGCTGGGACTCGGCAGAGTTTGAGAGCACCATGCTTGGTTCTGACTTGCCCTGGCTTGGTTCTGCCCTGGGCTGTGGAGAAGCCAGGGCTGCGTGGACAGGGCTGCTGCGTGGCCACAGAGGTGGGGGCCTCCTCAGGTCCCTGCAGGCTCAGAGGCGGGAGGCCTGGAAGAGAGGTTTGGGGCATCTGGCCCTCATGTGTCCTGCCCAACCACTCGCCCCAGGCCTAGGAGGTCCCCAGTGACCACCTGGCTCTGCCACACCTCTGTGTGCCGTAGCCTCGTCCCCAGGAGTTTCAGGGAGTCTTTCTGTCCTCTGGTTCCGGCGGGCAGCCCAGCCATCCTTGTGGGGCTGACTCGAGCGATCCTGTGTCCTGAGGCTTCCCCCTGGGGGGGCCAAGCCCGCCCCCTGGCCCTGGCTGTAGGAGCAGCCTTGGAGCTTGTTCTCAGAGACTGGTGCCCTGCCAGGCCTCACCTGAGACGCAGGGCCACTCCAGTGGCCTGCCCGGAAGTCACTCCCTGGCCTACCGTCGCTCCGTCTGGGGTGTGCTCCTGCTGAGGGAGCCCCTGCTTCCTGGACTCTACCCGGCCCCTGCCTGTTCCAGGTCCACGGCCAGCATGGCCAGTCCTGACCCCACGCCAGCACCCCTCCCTGAGGCAGCGGGAGCATCCCCTCCCTCCTGGGAGATGCATCCTGCCTGCCCTGGCCCCCTGCTGTTTCAAGGCAGCCCCAAACCTGCCCTGTGTCTCATCCTGACTGACTGAGGTGGGGTCCAGCCCCGGGGAGGCTCCAGGGCTTGGCAGCACTGGCCTTCCTTTGGGGGCATTTGACACCTCACCCGGGGCTGGGTGGGGCTGCCTGCCCAGGACCAAAGCAGCTGTTCCTGTCTGGGCGGGTGGGGTGGAGGCGCCCCCTCACCCACACTGGGCTTCTGTCCAGGCCTGGGCCATGGCGGGCTGGTGGGTCAAGCCCACAAGGTCACTGGACGCCTGGGGAGGCCCTTCCTAGGGAATCTCCCGGTGCGGCAGAGGCTCCCCACTCCCCCATTTTAAGGAGGAGCAGACCCTCCTGGAGAAAGGGTTGGGCTATGGGCTGCTGGGGCACAGCTTCCTGGAAGAATCCCCAGACACAGGCAAGGACCCTGGGGAGCTTCAGGGCCTGGCATGAGGGGGCCCTGGGAAGGGTCTGGCAGGGCAGGGGCCTTCCTGGAGCATCTACCAGAAGTCGGGGGACAGGAGGGGCTCTGGGCATGTCTGGCTGTGGGGCCGTCAGCAGAAGCGGGTGGAGGCAGCGTCTTTGGATCTCAAGACAAGGCCTGTGTGTGGGAGTCCGGGCTCGGTGGCTGACTTGCTTGTTGCCCCAGGGCCCCTCAGCAGGACAGGACAGAGGAAACTGCCTGGTTCTACAGGTGAGAAACGGAGGCAGAGAGAGGCAGGCTCCCACAGGGAGGCACCGACTCAAGCCTGTGCGCTGTCTCCTGTCCTGGGCTCACACCCCGTCCCTTCTTCCTGCTGTTCCCTCCTGTCCTGGGCTCACACCCTGTCCCTTCTTCCTGCTGCTCCCTGGAGCACCTTCTAGGGAGTGTGAGGCCCAGAACACATCAGTGTGTCTACTGTGTGTGCAGCACACCGGGTCTCAGGGGCTTGGGCAGGGGCCCACTTGCTCACCGAGGGCCAGGGCAGCCCTCAAGGCTTCTTGGAGGAGGTGGCTTGTGAGCTGGTGCTGGTAGGGTACTGGCTTGCTTGCCCATGCTGGATGCTGGCACTCGGCCCCTCCAGCCCAGGGAGAAGGAGCAGCAAGAGGTGTGGGTGGTGCCCTGCAGGCCCGGCTCCCCCATGGGGCCTGATTCACACCTTATCTGGGGCTCAGGAGTGGAGCTTCTGCTGGTGGGTGGACCCCGCCCCAACAGTGCACAGAGGACCGTGCTCTGGATTCCAGGGACTCCGCCAGCACCGGGTGCTAAGCCCGGGCAGGCCACGAGGCTCAAGACACACCGGCCTCAGGCCCAGGGCCGTGGGGCAGCTCCTGGGCGCAGCACTAAGGCTGGTCTGGGTGGGAGGCTGCCCTGGCCCCAGCCCCCCACCCCTGAGTGTTTCCCACGTGCGTGTGGGTGTGGGAAACTGATGCCGGGCTGCCGGGCCGGTTCTGGCACCCAGTGTTGAGAAACCTCAGGCCTTGCCCAGGGCGTGGCTGCTGGGGCCCCTGGGGAGGGGCACAGGTTGGCAGTGTGCACCCTCAGCCTCTCTGAGCCAGCTGGGGGTAGCAATGCCGGCCTGGGCCCGGGTGCCAGCTGCCAGCACCCTGTCGAGGGCTTGTCCTGGGCTTTTTACCCACTGTCTGGGAAGTGAGGGGCTGGGCTGGTCCGGGAGTCATGGGCGGGCTTGGTGCTCCTGTCCACAGTCGGCTCGGCGCCAAGGGGTGGGGGGATGCGTGGGAGGCTGGAGGAGGCCCTGCTGGCCCTGTCCTTTCCATGTGTCTCAGGAGACCACACTGTCACCCCCAGGCAAATCCTGCACCCTTACCCTTCTGTGCTGAGCCCTGACCCCGGCCCACTCTGCTGGGGCCCTTGGAGCAGAGGAGGGTGGAGAAGGGGATATGGCTGTGGGGTCAGGCCAGGCCTGTCACTCACCAGCCATGGGTCCTTACGCTGGGTCACCCCAAAGCAGAGCCCCAGAGCCCTCCTCTGTGCACTGGGAGAAGCCACCTCCCTCCCAGACGTGACCCAGCCACCCCAGCTGTGCCGCATCCAGCTTTGAGGCCGCAGACTACACCCTTCGGCTCCTGTGCTGAGCTCCCGTATCTGTAGAACAGGGCCATAGCCCCTCTTGGGGGTAAGGGGCTGAGCCTGCAGGCCTCACCTGGCCATGGAGCCACCAGCGCTCCTCTCTGCCCCCGGGTGTGGGGTCACGATTCCCCTGGCCTCTAGCAGGCCTGGGCAGGAAGGACTGGGATCCCAAGGGTGGCATCCACAGACTCTCAGGAGGCGGGAGGTCAGTGCGGGGTGGGTGTGGGCCCTCTTTGTCTCTGTGTAGCCCCCTCTCAGCCATAACTCTTTGCCAGTGGCAGCGGTGCCCCCTCCTTTCCTGTGCTGATGCCTTATCTGCTTGTCCGGCTGAGACACACGCCCTCAGTTAAAGGGCATCTCACGCTGCCATCATGTGGGGCTGACTGATGCTGTGGGCTCTGGTGGGGGTGGAAGACTCACTGCTGGGGGCTCCGCTCCCCCCTCTCTCATCCCCAGCACCCCACATCTCCCCCCTTCAGCTCCACCATGCCAGGAAAGTCCTTTTTATCGCATGCAAGCTGCTCTAGCGGAAGCGGCCGGAGACATGTGGGTGACATCTCCCTGTGGGCAGGAGGAAGAGCCCTGTGCGGGGGTCCTCCTGCCCAGGTTCCTGTCCCAGCACCGTGCCGGGCTCTCCAGGCGCCCAGGCCCTTCCCCACCCCTGGGCCTCGGTTTTCCTGGGCTGGGCTCTCCAGCCTCCAGGGTGTTTACTGCCCTGGGCAGCTCTGACACCTCACAGTGTGGTGGGAGTCCCCAGTGTCCAGCCCTGCTCTGCTGGAGGCTGCCATGAGTGTGGAGAGGGGCAGAGGGAATGGACCTCAGCCTTGGCGCTGGCCTCTGAGGGTTTGGGGGCCGGGCCTGTGGCATCAGCCTCCCACCCCCACCCACATGGAGCGGGAAAGTCGGCAGAACCCTGGGGGCTCAATTGCTGCCAGAGTGGCGGCCTTCAGCTCGAGGACAAGCATGTCCTCTGGGGAGCCCCTCTGCATGGACGGGTTCAAGGGGCACTGACCCCAAATAGCCATCCCTCCCCACTTCACCTGGGGCCTGCACCTCCACCATCACCCACCCTGGGTGTGGGGAGGGGGTGATGGGCACACATTAGGATTTTGGGGTGAACTGGATGGAGGCCTTCTCTCCCCAGAGGTGAGGGGTCCGAAAGTCCATTTGTTCGCTCATTCAACCACTGACCCGGTGGGCAGTGGGCACAGTGGGTGCCTGGCAAGGGGCAGAGGAGGCTGGCTGGTTCGACGATGCTGCCCCATGCCTGTAACCCAGCGCAGTGACTGCTGGTGGCTCCCCAGCTGGGCATGCCTGCCCTCCTCGCCTCTGCGCTCGCCTGACGCCCCCATGCGGCCTGCAAGACACAGCCGGGCCTCCATCTCTGCAGGACCCTCCTGCCCCTCGCCTGGCCAGCGGAGTTTCCCTGGGCTTCACCCTTGAGACTGTGTTGCCCATTGCTCGGCCATCGGTCTCTCGCTGGCCAACGAGTGCCTCCTCCCACAGCCCCGTGCACGCTGCGGAGCCTGGCACAGGCCGGACTGCGCGGAAGCCCGGGAGGATTTGCCTGCGGGAGAGGAGGCAGGGCGAGGGGGCTGAGCCGCGAAGGCTCAGGGCTCTGAAAACAAGGGAGGAGGCGGCCTGTGCAGAGGGCCAGGCACTGGGCTGGGGTCTCGGCTGGCAGGAGGCCTGAAGGCACCACACAGGCCCTTCCCTGTCCTCAGTCAACAGGGAGCTGGTGCGGAAGGTGGACGGGAAGGCTGGGCTGGTGGTGCACAGCAGCATGGAGCAGGACGTGGGCCTGCTGCGCCTCTACCCTGGGATCCCTGCCGCCCTGGTAGGGACCGCCCCGGCCATCCTGCCCCTGCAGCCCTGAGCCCCAGCCCTCTGCAGCTCCCACGGCCCTCAGGCTCCCTGGGGCCCTCACCAGCCAGTGCAGACCCCGCGTGGACCTGAGATGTCTGCAGTGTGGCCCCACCAGCCCCAGGCCCTGTCCCCTGTCCTCCGTCGTGGTGCTTTCCAGCCTCTCGGGGAGTGGGCAGGGTTGGGGCGCGGCTCACAGCCAGAACGGGGTCCTCCATGCTTTTCTAGAGGCAGCGTCCTCCCGCAGATTCCAGCTGGCTGGGAGCCGCCCCTGCTGTGCTGGACAAGGGTGTTTGCTCTGGGGCCTCTGATGGCCTTCTTGGCTCCTCTCCCACCTCTCTGAAGTGTTTCCACGGCGTTCTGCCACACAAAGCCTTCGTCCCTACAGACAGGGCGACCCTTTGGGAGAATGTGGGGGGAGCAGCCCCCTCCAGGTGCCAGCAGCCATGCACGTCTGCCAGGAGCCCCACTGTCCCGGGAGCAGAGCAGGCACCAGCTGCCCCTGGCTTGGGGTCCCTCTCCTTGGGAGGGCATGGGGCGAGTCTCAGTGGTGCTGAGGGCAGAGACCCTCACCATCCAGCCCCCACCCCACCGCCCCACAGGTTCGGGCCTTCTTGCAGCCTCCCCTGAAGGGCGTGGTCATGGAGACCTTCGGTTCAGGGAACGGACCCACCAAGCCCGACCTGCTGCAGGAGCTGCGGGTGGCCACCGAGCGCGGCCTGGTCATCGTCAACTGTACCCACTGCCTCCAGGGGGCTGTGACCACAGACTATGCAGCTGGCATGGTAGTGCCGGGAGATCAGGGCCTAGCGGGGAAGGGGACAGCCTGAGGGCCTGGCAGAGGTGGGCTCTGACCCACCCCTCATGGGCTGGGGGCCGTGGTGAGTCGCCCTTCCTGCCCACACGCCCCCTCCTCACAGGCCATGGCGGGAGCCGGCGTCATCTCAGGCTTCGACATGACATCGGAGGCCGCCCTGGCCAAGCTATCGTATGTGCTGGGCCAGCCAGGGCTGAGCCTGGATGTCAGGAAGGAGGTGCGGGCGCTCTCGGGCTGTGGGCAACCCTCGGTGTGCACAAGCATGTCAGTTGGCTCCCAGGGGCATGTCTGGGGCGATGCCGGAAGAGCCTGGGGGCCGGTCCAGGGTGTGTCCTGTTTGGGAAGGGGAGGGATGTGGCTCCCTATAGTGGGGAAGGGCAGCTCTGGGCCCAGGCTCCCCACAGCCCTCACTGGACTCCCAGCCCAGGCTCCGCCTGTCCTTGTGCCTTCTCAGACTGCATGGAGACCTGAGGCTCCCCTAACTGTCGCCAGGAAATCCTCTCCTGCTCTCCACTCTTCCTCGAGGGTGGGGTTCAGACACAGCTGGCCCCAGACCCTTGGGTTGCCAGCCTCTGGGGCTGGACGGAGGCTTTTGGGGCCCCTGGAGACCCTGAGCTGGTAGGGCCAGGGAGTGGGGCTGGCCTTGGGAGGGGACCCAGCCCGCTCTGGCCCGAGGGATGAAGCACACACGGCCGAGGCTCAGGCCAAGGGCAACCCCTGACTGTGCCCGGGTAGCCCGACCCTCCAGGCTGTCCTGGGCTGCCCATCCAGCCCTGGCAGAGCCACTTCACCTCTGTTCTCTCCACCAGCTGCTGACCAAGGACCTTCGGGGGGAGATGACGCCACCCTCGGTGGAAGAGCGCCGGCCCTCACTGCAGGGCAACACGCTGGGCGGTGGGGTCTCCTGGCTCCTCAGTCTGAGCGGCAGCCAGGTAATGGCGTGGGACACGGGCCTGAGTGGCAGCTGGGGACTGTGCACCCTCTTGGTCACCCTGGGATGCACCAGGCAGGCACGAGCCCCTGTAGCCATCACTCGAGCCCAAACAGTTAGGCACACCCGGGTTCTGGGGCCCAGGAGGAGGGTTTGGGGTCTGCAGCAAGGAAGGTTTGCAGGGTCTATAAGGCAGGAGGCAGGAAGGGCCAGGCGGTGGGCACACAGCAGGGAGGCCTTCTGACTGGCGGCGCTGCCTTAGTGCGGGGCTGCCTCGGGAGCTGCCTGTCCAGAAGAAGGGCGGGTGAGTGGGGGCGGTGCTTGCTCTGGGCTCTCCCAGGCTCTGAGCACCAGGGGTTCCAGGTGAGGAACCCGGAGGTGAGGGCCAGCCTTTGAGCACGTCCCCTGCACAACTGAGGTGCCCAGACCTAGGAAGGGGGGCTTTCGAGGCCTGGGGTCTGCAGGGGGATGGGGCCTCCCTGGACCCCGCAACATGCCCCCTTGGCTGCTGGGCCAAACATCCAGGCCTGACATGGGGCCTGGCAGGCCAGACAGCCTTGCTCCCCACTGTGTGGGGTCCTGCCCCGGCCTCAGTGCCTCGGTTTCCCCCTACAGGGATGGACCTGTCTTGTGAGCCATGTGCTGGAACTGCCACTTGCTGGGGCGGGTGATGGGCAGATGGAAAGGACTGGCGTGCATGGCCTGTTATTAGGGTGGCTGCATAGGGCCTGAATGCTGTAGGGAGGCAGGCCAGAGGCAGCAGCCTTGTCACCAGGCCACGTTGTACCCGCTGGGTGTGGTGGCACCTGTGGGGCCTCTGCCAGGACCGCTGGGTGTGGTGGCCCCTGTGGGGCCTCTGCCAGGACCGCGGCCTTTTGGCGTCTTGGGGAGCTCCTGGTGCCCGGTGCTGGGGGCAGGTGGCTCTTCTGGGAAGGTGCAGCCGTGGGAACAGGGCCTTCCTTCCAGGGGAGGGGTCTGGCTCTGCTTCCCACGCTCTCCTTATGTGGGTGACCATTCCGTCCCGACGGCGGTGGGAGCAGACGGGGGAGTCTGGGAGGGTGGGTAGCAGGTACTGGCCACACACCCGTTGGGGACAGGGCTGGATGGTGGTCTCGTGGCCTGGCCTTAGCTCCAGGGGAAGGGGTCCTAGGTGGGCCTGGATGGGGTGGGGTGGTGAGGCTCAACCCCAGGCCTTCCGATGTGGCAGCTCAGGTTCCTTCTCACCCACGCCCTGGGATCTGCGGGCCCTTGTGTGGGGGCTGGCAGGGGTCATACAGCACCGGGGACTGCCAGTTCCACCAGATGCCAAAGGGAGGCGTGGGTCCCAGGGTGCCGCCTTCCCCACCTAGGAGGCAGATGCCCTGCGGAATGCCCTGGTGCCCAGCCTGGCCTGTGCTGCTGCCCACGCCGGTGACGTGGAGGCGCTGCAGGCGCTTGTGGAGCTGGTGAGCCTCCCCCACCCTGGGGGCCCAGCCCCAGCCACGCCTGGCCTGGGGGCTCTGAACCCTGTAGGCAGGACGGCCTTTCATCCACCCACTGACCACACTAAGCCCTTGTCAGCCAGACTGGGCAGCAGGACTGTCCTGCCAGCTTGTCAGGTCTCACTGAGGCTTTGAGGGTGGGCGCAGGGGCTGTGCTGGGCCCTACCCTCAGAGGGACCCCACCCTCCCCATGGCCTACCTGGCCCCGCCTGGGTCTCCCTCAGGGGTCGCATGTCCTTGTGTTACTCCAGGGCAGTGACCTGGGCCTGGTGGACTTTAACGGCCAAACCCCACTGCACGCGGCCGCCCGGGGAGGCCACACAGAGGCAGTCACCATGCTGCTGCAGAGAGGTGTGGACGTGAACACCCGGGACACGGATGGCTTCAGCCCGCTGCTGCTGGCCGTGCGGGGCAGGTAATGGAGCTAGGGCTGCACAGAGCTGCCTTGGACAGGTGGGCGCAGAGAGGCTGTGGGCTCCTGCACTCAAACAGCCTCCCGGGGCTGGGCTGGGAGAGGTGGAGGACACCTGCTTCCTAAAGGCTGCCCCCGCAGCCCGGGGCCCAGTAAGACCCCGGCCCAGAGTTCCTAGAAAACAAAAATGTTGTGGACAAAGCTGGGAGGACACGGTGCATCTCTGTGCACCTGTGGGTATGGGGGGCTGGGGTGGAGGTGGGGCAGAAGGTCCTGGCCCAGCAGCCAGACGCGGTCAATAAAAAGCAGGCTACGTGGCAGCAGATCTGGGGCTGTGACAGGCAACTCGGGCCCTGGAGGACAGGCCCAGCCTGTGCGTGTGGGGGTCCCCTGCCCCACCAAGCAAGCCCTGGCTGGTGTCTCTTCCCAAAGTCCAGAGCAGCAGCAGAGACGGAGTGTGTGCCTGTGCCCCTGCGTGGGGGGCGGGGCCAGCACTGGTGGGATCTGCGTCCCGTCTCCCCTTCCTACTCTTTATTGCCCCAGCCTGGGAAGGCCAACGACCTGTCTGCTGGTGCCGCTGCCCGGACCCATGGGCTGCTCAGAGATCCCAGGGCCCCTGGGGATTCCTCCCTGTGGGTGGGAGGACTTGGCCTGCAGGACCCTGGGTTCTTTTCGGGGAGGGAGTGCTCAGGAGTCCCATGGAGAGAAGGCCGGGGTGTCTGAGCCTGGGGTCATGTGACCCTGACGTGTTCAGTTGTGGGTTCCCCTCCCCAGCGGTGAAGCGGTGAGCCCTGGGGTGGGGTGTGGCACCTTTTGTGAAGTGGGTGACTGGGGTAGAAGGTTCTTTCCAGCCTCCTGTGATCATTGACAGGGTGCTCAAAAGAATAGGAGAGAACAGGGTGGTGGACAGGAGGGGGCGGGGCTGTGAGGGTCCCCCCGAGCAGGGCTGGGGTGATCCGGACTGGAGCTTCTAGACTGGGCGTCCTTGGGTGTGGGTGGGTGGCGCGGAGACGAGCTCACACAGTCCCGCCCCCTCGTCTCCTCCTGACTCACAGGACCAGGCTCACAGCACGCCCCCAACCGGTCTCCCAGCCTCGCTCCGCTGCCAGGCTCCCTGAGGCCGCCTGCCTGGCCCTGCTGTGCCTGAGTGGGGTATGGGGAGGCCACTGCCTCATACCTATTCCCAGGCTCCCTAAATGGGGTGATGGGGGGATCTGTGGTGCTTTGCAGGGGTGGGGGCACGGCCAGCGATTATGGCACAGTCTTTAGGTCACCCTGTACAATGGGCTGTGTGGCCTCCGGCCTCGGGCCTTTGTGCCTCTGCTCCTCCTTGCTAGAGCCCCGACCCCACCCCCACAGACTCCACTGTCCGGGTGCCCTGCCCCCACTCCTACCCAAGGGCAGTCGGCCGGATTGATTCAGTGTCCCCTGCGCCTGGCTGAGGAGGTCACCACGGGGTGTGATCAGCGTTTGGGTGTGCAGTGGGGCCGGTCAGCTCATGTAAGGCTGTCCTCTGAAATGGGCTGTCCCCTTGGAATGGGTTGGGGAGACTGCCCTGGGAGGAGCTATTCTGCTAGCACCAACTAATGCCCTCCCCTGGGTGCTGGGTGCGGGGCTGCCACAGAGTTGACCCCACCCCTTGCAGACCTCAGCTGCCCTAAGAAGGAGTACTGGACAAATGGAGGTGGTGGGATCCCGGGATGATGTCACATGGGCCTAGGCAGAGGATGGGGGGATGGGCCCTTGTCTGAGGCTAGGGCTGTGGGGTCTTGGGCCGGCCGGTCCCCGTCCCTGTGCACAGGACATGAGCTCTGCTGGCTCCTGAGTGAGGTGCAGCGGGGCTGGGCTGGCCAGGGCAGAAGGTCAGCATGCTCATTCTCACACAGGCATCCGGGTGTCATTGGGTTGCTGCGGGAAGCCGGGGCCTCCCTGTCCACCCAGGAGCTGGAGGAAGCAGGGACGGAGCTGTGCAGGTGAGTGCAGCTAGAGCACCTGCTCTTCCAGGGATGTGGGGGACACAGCTTGGGGAAGCGAAGCCAGACCTGCTGGGAGGGACAAGTGAGTCAGGGTGTGGGGGCTTTCAGAGGCGAGGCCCGCTGACCTCAGTGTGCACCAACCTGGCTGATGGGAAGAGGTGTCTACCCTGGACCATGTCATGGGGCAGGGGAAGGAGTTGTTCTCAGCTGAGCGAACAGTCCAGCAAGGGTGTCTCTGTGTGCACATGTGTGCATGTGTGTATGCATGTGTGTGGGTGCATGTGTGTGTGTGTGGTGGGCTTGAGGAGGGGTATGGGAATTGGTTGTCGGGTGTGAGAGGGGCTGGGGTGTGGACTGGGGGGTGGCTGGGGCTGCATTTGGGGAGGTTGGGGCAGGTGGGGCACAGAGGAGCTGAAGCCCCTGGCAGGTGACAGGTCTCGTGAGCTCTGTTCTCCCCAGCGTGGTTCCTGTCCTGGGATAAACTGACCTAGGCCCCGCCTCCACCTGCTGGCCGCATGGCACCAGTGGCCAGTGTGCCTTCCGATCTCATGCTGCCGAGTGACCACCGAGGCAGGCTCAGGCCTTCTGACATCATGTTGTTGTTGGGGAGACTGAGGCGCAGGGAGGCCTTCGGCGAGGGTGTCGGTTGTGGGTGGAGGTGGGCCAGGGATGCAGGGATCCTCCTCTGTCCGCCACAGCCAGAATCGCTGCCCCCCACCCCATGCCTTGTGCCTGGTGACTTGGCGCTGCCTCCTGTGCCCAGCCTGGGCTGCCCGAGGCCAGGACGACTCCGAGGGACCCAAAAAGGAGAGTCGGAGGCAGGAGACCTGGGCCGGGTGCAGGTGGTGGCTGGGGTGGGGGTGCTGTGAGTGGTGGGGTCTGTGCGCCTGTAAGTCCAGAGTCCCAGGCTTGGGGAGTGGGTGATGGCGGGGGCTCGGCTCACTGGCTGGGAGGGGGTGGGTGCAGGCGCCTGCCCAGCAGGAGGAGGACTAGCAGCTCTGGCTTCTCCTCTGGGACCGGCCCACAACCCCTGGTCTTGCTTTTGAAGGGACTTCCGGGGTGACTTGGTCAAGATTTGCACTCCAGACAGGCCTTGCTGGCTCCATTGACAGATGGGGAAACTGAGGCAGTAGTCAGGTCCTGTGGGAGCTGGGACCAGAACCCTGGTCCAGGACTCTGCTTGGAAGTGGCCTGGCCAGCCTGAGCTGCTGGCTGGACTTGAGCCCCTCGGCTAGGCCTTCCTAGGGGCCGGTGTGTGTGTGGGGCTTGGCCTCTTGGAGCAGGTCCAGGAGGGGCCAGTGAGGCCATCCAGCAGATTCGCTGCAGAGATTACCCAGTGCCACTGCAGGGCTGCTGCTGTTTCCTGGGTAGGCGCAGAGTCCCTAAGGGCCCTCCAGAGGAGGGGGCAGCCCCTTCCTCACCAGGCCACTTCCCCCAGCCCCTGCACACCATGGGTGGGTGGAGCCTTCCCTGCCGGGTCCCCACCTGGCCTGCTCCTGGCCTCCCCAGGTGGCGAGTGAGTTCTTCCCAGGAGGGTGGCAGGGTGAGGAGGAGCTGGTGAGGGCCTGGCAGGTGCTCCCCACTCCAGGGCAGGTGGGCCCAGACCCCTGTCCCAGCCAGGACCCCCCCATGCAGTCTGCCGGGGTCCAGGGCCAACCGTTATCCTGGGTTGCCTCCTGTGTCCCCCTCTCTGAACCACTGGGCTGCCTCAAACTTTCCTTCCACCTTTGCGGACCCCGCCCCGGGAAGAGCGGTGTGTTGTGTAACACGAAACTGGCGTGGGCTGCTCGGCAGGTGGGCGTGCATATGTGTGTGCAAAGGCGCATGTGCTCATGTGTGTGTGCACATATGCTCGTGTGTGTGTGCATGTGTAGGTGTGTGCTTGTGTGCTCCTGTGTGTGTACATGTATGCTGCTGTGTATGCTGCTGTGTGTGCATGTGTGTTCATGTATGTTTGCGCATGTGTACCCGACTTGAGTCGCAGTCCCACCCACTGGGTGAAACCAGGCTCCAGGCTGCCCGATGGCCCCCAGTGACTCCTGCCCCAGGACCAGGTCGCTGCTGGGTCAGCTGTTTGGGGCTGGCTTTGTAAGAGCGTCCAGGCCACCTGGGGGACAGGCACGTGGGCAGATGGACAGGTGCCCAGCAGGCCCCAACAACTCCTCCTCTGCCCCCACCCCCAGGCTGGCATACAGGGCCGACCTCGAAGGCCTGCAGGTGTGGTGGCAGGCAGGGGCTGACCTGGGGCAGCCGGGCTATGACGGGCACAGCGCCCTGCACGTCGTGAGTGCCCCCACCCCCTGCACCCTCTCCAAAGGCTGCCACCTCCAGGAAGGACACCTGGACAATTCACCAGCTCACTGCTCTGCCCCTCCCCGCTCTGCCCCTCCCCCAAATGCCTGGCCCTCCCCATGCAGGACCCGCACAGACTGGGTCCCCTTCCCGGGGCTCTGAGTGGTGGGGGTGACGAGAGTGGAGGAGCTGCTGGGGCCCTGTGTGTGTGGGCTGGGGACAGGGGAGGGCATCCTGGGGATGGGGATCCTTGGGCCAGGCTGCTAGTCAGTGGCCCCAAGGCAGCCCCTCCCCACTGCTTCCCCATAGGCAGAGGCAGCCGGGAACCTGGCAGTGGTGGCCTTTCTACAGAGCCTGGAGGGTGCGGTTGGTGCCCAGGCCCCATGCCCAGTAAGTCCCCACCCCAGGCGGGGCTGACACCCCCCAGTGAGCTTCTAGTGCAGGGCTGGATCCTGGCTCGGGGGGGCGTAATCAAGGGGAACAGAACCGGAGGAGGCTGAGATGGGTCCCAGCCAGTTTAGGGTCTGCAGAGCCCCTCCTGGGGATGTCCAGGGTGGAACACAGTTTAGAGGTGAGGAGAAGGAGAAAGGAGCAGTCAGGGAGGGCTTCCTGAAGGAACTGACCAGACTTGAGCACTGAGGGCCCAGCCAGGGCTCAGCATCCCCTTACCCACCCCTGCCCCTGCGCCCTGCCCCACCGGGACCCCCTAGGCTGGGTGCTTCCGCTTGTCTCCCAGGCCAGTTCCCAGCTGACACCCCCATTCCCACTTGGTTGTGTGGCCCTCCCATAGTCTCAAGCTGGGTTTGCTCAGGCTCTTGGGCTGTGCCGTACAGACGGGGTGCCTGGGCTTGTCTCTCTGCCCTGCCTTCGCACTCTACCTGGGTGTCCTTCTCAGGAGCCCTCATGTTTTCAGGAAGTGCTGCCTGGTGTCTAACCTGAAGGCGTCCTGCTGCAGTATAAGCCATTCCTTCCTCCCATGACCTGCTGGAGGGGTCTCAGGCATGACCCCACTGCTGGGGCTGCTTCCCAGCCTGCTCTCATGTAAAGCCTGAAGGCCTTTGTTGGGCAGGACGGCAATAAAGTCTCTGACATCCCCTCACCAGGTCTGTACAGCCTGGCTCTGAGAGGCTCTGTCTGGGTCCGGGACTGTGGATGTGTGTGGGGAGTCAGGCCCAGGCTCTGTGGGGTCTCTGCGGGGGTCACTTGGCCCATCCTTCCGGGGGCAGCTGTGCGTGTGAGCTGGGCAGGGTGGGGTGCATGGACGTGACTTGGCCAAGTGGTCCTTTCCCAGCTGCCACTCCCCCTTCCTGCCACCCTGCCTTTGCCCAGGCTGGTCCCTCCTCCAGACACCCTCTGCCCATCTCCTTACCTCCTGCGCCTTCATTCTGGAGCTTGAAGTCCCCTCCCCCAGGCAGCCCTCCAACCCCTGGATGAGCATGCTGCCCCTGCTTAACTCTTTAGTCCTCACAGTCCCGTCCCAGTTGCTGTCTGGTTTTCTGTCACCCCAGTATCGCTGCACCCGGCCCCCCTCTCAGGCCAGGGCCACACCAGGGCTCCATAGGGCTGCGGAAGCCTGTGAGTGTCAAGGGGGCTTCACACTCTGGTGGTGAGCCCCTGGGGACCATTCCAGCCCCTGCTCTGCCTGAAGCTCCTGATGCAGCCTCCACCGTGAGCCAGGCCACCCTGTAAGGGAAGAGGTGAGCTGTGCCTGCCTGGTTGCACAGCCTGGGCAGGTGGGCGGGTGGGGCGGGCCCTGCTGCTGCCCGGTGGGGGTGGTGCTCCAAGGCCAAGGGCAGCCTCGTGCCTTCTTTCAGCTGGGGCTGAAATCGGGGGTGTGGACCCCTGGCCCCCATCATGTGTGCATGCACTGGCCTGGGATGGCCAGGGACTCCCTGCTGCTGCCCCCAGCCCCTGACCCCTTCTTGCTGGGTGTGAGGAGCATGGGGGCTGCCTCCCTCCAGGCCTCTCTACCTGCCCAGGTGACGGTTCCTTTTGTCCCTCTGTTTGGCTGGCCTCTGGACTGGAGCCCCAGGAGGGCAAAAGCATGACCCCAGAGCTGGCCCTTGGCACCTGGGCATACCCCAGGCTCCTCAGCCTGGTTCCCAAGCCTGGCTGGTACTGCCGCTGGCATCCTTGCTGTCCTCACCCCGACACAGGTGTGCCTGGGCCTTGCACAACAAGGTGACGCCATGCGAGCGTGGCAGGGCCGGGGAAGCCTTTGCTCCTCACCCTGGTGAGGCCCATGAGGGGCTGCAGGTGGAGGGAGGGTGGCACCGGGCCCCAGAGCCAGGAGCCCCTGCTGTCCCCGGATGGCCGAGACCCTTGGAGGGCCTTGGGAGAGGCGGTGGGGCATCTGGACAAATGCCTGGTGCAGGTGAGAAGGGGTGGGACTACCTCCGGCATCCCTGGGCTGAGCCCACCTGGTCTCCCCGGTTGCTCCTGCACACGGCAGTGCCCACCTGCTTCCCTCAGCTCCTGAGGGGCTGGGCAGAGCCTGTTGCTCACGCCACCCCACTCAGTGCTGCTCCGGGTTGTGAAAGCTGCAGGTGGCTCACGTTAGCCCACATGGCAGCACCCTCCCAGAGCAGGTGCCAACCTGCCAGTGTAGACACACCGACTGATGCCGGGGGTGAGTGTCCTGTAGTGTAGAAACGCCCACTCATCCTGCTTGTCCCGCAGAGAGCATTTGTCAAGCTGGCCTTTCTCCAACTGGGTCACTGATGGAGTTCGGCAGAGACGGCTTGGGGGCCACGGGCTGGGCAGATGGGGAGAGCTCCTCACAAGGCTGGGCAGCCAGACCCCCATTGTCAGTCCCCTCCAAACCCTCGTGGGATGTAGGGCCCTACCACAGGGAGCCCCGGGACTGGGCCAGTGTCTCAGGAGGCTGTGAAGAGTCATAGGCTTGAGTCTGGGAGCTTTCTCGGGGGCCGTTTTGTGCCCCTTGGGGAGAGGCCAGAGGGGCCCTGGGTAAGGGGACTCCTCTAGAATCACCCAGAAGTGGCAGGAGGTGCAGGGCCACTGCTCGGGGCTCCCTGGGCTCTGAGCTGGGCAGTGACCTGGCCCCAAGGCCTCTGGCTCTCTGGCGTGCAGTGGGAACAGCCGGGACAGACAGGCTTGGAGCGTTCGTGTCCTGCGCCGCGTTGGTGTGTTTCGTCCCCACTGTGCCTGTAGGAGGGCACCGGGTCCCCGTCTATCCTACTTCATGGCTGAGGAAGCTAAGGCACAGAGTGGCCCCGTCCTGCGCCCAGGGCTCTGCGTTGGCACAGGGCAGAGCTGGGCTGTGAATCAGGGCCGCCTTGTCTCTTGCTGTGGTGTGAGGCTGTGGGAGACTCAGGAATGAGGCACAGCCAGGTGCCCAGTGCCCGTGGGACCCGCCTCCCCACAGTGGGGTGGCGCCGCTCACACCTGGTAATTTCACGCTGGGGGAGGCCTTGGTTCCTATAGCCCATCTCGAATCACCTGGATCCCAGGGCTATCTCTGGGGAACATCTCCTCTCCATCACGACTACTGTCTTTTTCACCAGCATTTTCTATCCTAAAATCAGACTCCTCAGCTGAGGGCCCTCCAGGACCGCCCTTCCCCAGCTGGAGGTAACCAGATTTCTCGTGTATGCTAGGAAGTTCCCCTTCTGGTCACACCTCAATATTTCCTGCTGCTGGTGGGAACTGCAGGTGCTTGTACTTGTCACCTTCTCCCCGTCCTCTCTCGTCAGTTCCCTTGGATGCTGGACACGGGAGCCACCTGGGCGAGGGGAGCCCATCCAAGTGGCTGTGCGTCGGGAAGAGTCTGCCCAGGACTGGGCTAGACCAGAACTTAGAATTAAGGAGTGGTGGCCAGGCTTGGTGGCTCACACCTGCAATCCCAGCACTTTGGGAGGCCGAGGCGGGTGGATAGCTTGAGCCTAGGAGTTTGAGAACAGCCAACATGGCGAAACTCTGTCTCTTAAAAAATAAATAAAAACATTAGCCAGGTGTGGTGGTTTGTGTCTGTGGTCCCAGCTACTTGGGAGGCTGAGGTGGGAGAATCGCTTGAACTGGGAAGATGGAGGTTGCAGCGAGCCAAGATCGCACCACTGCACTCCAGCCTGGGCAACACAGCAAGACTAGGTCTCAAAAAAAAAGAAAAAAAAAAAGAAAAGAAGAGAGGTGGGTTCTTCTTGCCCATGCAGTTGTGTTGGGGGAGGAGCTCCCAAGCTCCTGTTCTTGATCTCAAGCTCCCCTATGCCCACTTCCATCCCCACCCCCATGCCGCAGCCCCTCGGACTCCACACCCAGGCACTGAGACCCACAGATGCAGCGATGGCAAGGCCTGTCATCCCTTCTCTACCACCAAGAGCTGTGCAATCCCCAGAAGTCACTGTCCCTCCCTGAGCCTCAGTTTCCCCAACTGCAAAATGAAAATAACAAAACCTTTCTGATTCCCTTTCCAGGGTGGCTGCGGTGGTTGAGCCACACGCGGCCCATGTGGAAATGTCTGGGGGGTCCCTCAGATCTGGTGGCTGTGTTCTGGTCTGGGGCTCACCTTGGCTCCTGAGCACTTGGCTCCTGGCTGGCTGGGCGGGTGGTGGGATGGCGTGTCACCGCCCTGCACTGGAATGAATGGTCACCACCCTGCTGCCCAACCCCATACAGACACACTAATGGCTCCAGACTTGGGGCAAGTGCTGAAGGGGGCTCTAGGGTATTTCCTAGAGCCTGAGCCCTCCCCTCAGCTGCCATGTTCTGCTGAAGCAGAGTCCCTGGGAGGCGCCACTGGTCAGGCCTGGACACCTCCAGGTGACTAAGTGGGTAGGACCGGCAGGGCCAGCTGCGCCAGGACGTTCGGGGCTGGGCTGTGAGTGGGGGGAGCGAGGCTCAGGCCCTTGCTGCGTGAGGGGGTAGGGCGTCCCTCCCCCCGCGTGGGAAATGAGGAGGCAGGTACGGGGCTACCCCTGTGGGCTGCGGGGTGGGGGTTCAGGGTCTGAGAAGCAGAAACCTCCCTCCCTCCAGTTTCACTTTCTCTTTACCCCTCCCCTTCCCCCTCCCACGAAGTTCCCTTTGAAGTGAGAGGGGCTGGGGTGGGTGTGTCCAGCCCAGCCCCCACACCCACCGGAGAGCTAGCGCGGCCCTGGGCTCCTGTCGGGCGCTGGTCCTCACCTGTTCCGGCCACCCTGGGCCTCGACCCGGCCAAGGTGGAGCCCCGGGCCCTCCGTGCGCCCGAGCACCCCCGGCCCAGACGAGACGGTTCGGGCGTGGCCCGGCGGGGACCCAGAACCCGGGAGGCCAGGTGCGCCCAGGCCAGGCGCTGGAGGCTGGGGCGCCGGATGGGGCGGGGCGGCCGCTGAGTCAGGGCCACCCCCGCGCGGGCGCGCGGAGCAGGTCCCCGGGCCGTGGAGGATCAGTCGCGGGACCTATGGGCCCGGGAGCCGCCCCGCCCGGAAAAACCGGTCGGGCCAGCGCGGCGCGGGCACATTCCGGCGCCGGGAAGGGCGGCTGCGCCGCATAAAAGGCGCCGCCGCGCTGGCCACCGCCGCTCGGAGCTCAGCCGCCCTGCCACGCGGGGCCCGCGGGACGAGGGGACGCCGGGGCCAGCGAGGACGCGGCGGGGCTGGGCTTGGCGGCTGGGATCCCCCAGCGCCAGGCGAGGGCGTCTAAGGCGTCCGGTACGGCGTCGGGGCCGGGTGGCTGCAGCAGGGCAGGGGGTGCGCGACCAGCGGGGATCTGGGCGCAGGGGCCGGTCCCCGGGATCCGCAGGCGACGCGGGCGGTCCCAAGGGCGTCGGGGGCTCCTCTCTCCGCAGCTCGGCGAACCGACGGTGTTGGGGACTCGCGCGCTGGGTCCAGTGGTTCTTAACAGTTCAACAGTTCTGTAGCGCAATTGTGAAATGTTTAGGACCACTAGACCCGGCGGGCGCGGCGACAGCGACGGAGCGTCCCACGCGCGGCCTGGAGTCAGAGTCACAGTCAGGGGTGCGCCGGCGACCAATCCAGGGGAGCCCACGGACCGGCTCCGCGCTCCAGGTCGGCCGCCCCATGCGCCGCGCCCCGCAGTCCCCAGGGCCTGGCTGGCTCCACCTGCTGCCAGGGAAGACCCTCGGCCGGAGAGCCAAGTGCTGCTGGGAGGTGGCCGGGCGTGGCCGGGCTGTGCTGTGGGAACCGCTGGGTGGGGGCGCGCTGGGTTGCCCACGCTCCTGGCGCGCTGCCGGCCTGGAGACGCCGCCGCCGCCCTCTTGCACCCCGAGGGCCCGCACCTCGAAACTCCGTGGAATTCCCAGCGAGGAACTGGCGGTGGGCCCGTAGGGTTGAGGAGCGCTCCTTGCCCTGGGCTTCCTGGGAGCTGCCCATCAGGCTGCCGGCAGCCGCACCCTGCTGGGCGGCCGATGGTTCCCGCTGCCGGCTCCCCGGAGCGTCTCCACTCACTGAGGCCTTAGGGAGCGCTGCGCGGCTCCTACGAGTGCGCGCTAAACTCGTGAAGGACCTCGAGGCACAGGAACTGGGGGTGGGGAGGAAGTTTGCAGACTACACCCAGGTAGAGGAGAAGCGGCGCCCATGATGACAGGTGCCTTCGCCGGAGCCTCCCTGGAACCTCGTGGTAGCTAGCGCCCACAGGAGAGGTGTGCGCGTCAATCTGCGTGTGAAGCCCCGGGCGGCCCTGGGAGGGACTCAGCAAAGGGTCGAATCTGTCCCCACCTCCAGCCAGGGGCCGGGGTCTTCTGCCTGGTGCTGCCTGGCCTGCTGTGTCCTCTGGGGTGGAGGGTCCCCCTCCAGTCCCCACCTCCTCACCCAGTGTTTAGAGAGCTGCGGGGAGTCCTGGGAGATGGGTCAGACAGGCCTGGGTTTGAGGCCTGCTAGGGTGGCCTTGGGCCAGTCACCTGCCCTCTCTGAGCCCGACCTGCACACATAGGGGGTTGATGTGAGGAGACAGGAGGTGACTGTGGAGGGCTGTTCCAGAAGAGGGCCAGCAGCAGGACAGCAAGGTCCCCTGGCCACCCAGGTGGGGGGAGTGGAGTTCCCGGGAGAGCATCCACCACTGGCCAGTGCCTCCTCTGTTGCTCAGCAAATGCCATTGTGGCCACCTCTCAGGATCTGGCTTCAGAGCTTGGGGCCGTGGGAGCGCCCAGTGGGTCTGTGGCATCGGAGGGGTTGGAGTGTCTTCCCCAGCTGCTGCCTGCTGACCACCGCAGCCCCCTGTAGCCATTTCATTTTACAAGCACGTTCCCCCGTGCCCTCTGCATGGGCCCTCAGCCCTCAGCAGCCCCGTGAGAGGGGCTGAGGCTCAGGTGGGAGATGGCGGCTGTGTCCCTGTTCTGCGGCTTGGAGGCATTCTGTCCGGTGTGCGTCTGTACAATTTAGACTGATGACAATAAACATGTTCCAAAGCATCGCTGTGTCCCTGGGGTGCTTGTCCTTTTCCCCCAGGCCTCAGCGTGGTTTCTCCCTTGAAAGCAAGCCAGCCTTTTCCTTCTAATCTCAGAGAAGCAGAAATGAGGATGGTTGGTGGAGGGGCAGTGGCCTGGTCCTTACCCAAGACCCTCCCTCAACTCTGCCTCTGGCACTTTGGTCTCCAGGGAAGCCCCCAGCCTCTGCCACCAGCTTTCTCGTTGCAGTGACCTCCCCTGGGCCACTGGGCCAGACCCCCTCCCTCGGGTTTGAGCTGCACTGCCTCAAGGAGCCAGGCTGGGGAAAGGGCTTGGCTCCCAGGGGCCCCACTTTCAGGGGCTCCAGCCTGCTCCCACTCCCCCCACTCACCACAACACTGCTCCCTTGGCTGGCTCCCACTCATTCCCGCTGGAGCCTGTAGGCTGGCCCTGGGGACCTGGCCAGGAGAATGGGCAAGGTGGGAGGGTTGAGGGATTGAAGAGACAGAGGCACCTTCCTCCACCCTCCCTGCCTCTGGCACAGGGGACCGAGAGTCTGTCGTGCATTCAAACCCCAGCTCTATGCCTACAAGCAAGTGACCTTGGCAAGTCCCTTATCCCCTCGGAGGACCTGTTTCTTCCTTCTGTAGGATGACGTGGAGCTCGCTGGAGGTTCCCCTGACATGATGCAGCACACTTCCTGAGTGCTCAGCAGGGCAGAGCTCAAGCTGTCACTGGAGCTGATGTGGTGGGAGGGCCAGTGGGGGATCCTTGAAGAGGCCGAATTTCAGCCAGGGCCTCGGAGGACCAATGGAAGGCCTCAGGTGGCAATGAGGTGTGGTCTTACAACAGGCCCCTACTTGGTCCCTGGGGACACCAGGAGGACAGGCCCCTACTTTGCTGAGACTAGACCTGTGCTTCCTGGCACCCCAGCCCCTCCACTCCGGCCTCTCCAGCCTCTGCCCCTGACCCAGGTGGAGGATGGCTCCTCGGGGTCCATTCCTTCAGCCATGGAATTCCTGAAGGGAAGCTGGGCACGTGGGGCTCCTGGGCTGCTGGTGGAGACACATGCCACCTCTACACAGGGGAGTGTGAACAGAGGCAGATGCAACTTCTGGGTGGAACTGGGGCACTGTGGTGCTGAGACGTGCCGACTGTGCTGCTGGAGGGCCACGCCGGGGCAGGGCAAAGCATCCCTGCATGAGGCCGACCCACCTGTCCAGGTGTGCCTGCGTGTTTCCTGATTTGGCACCGAAACGTTCTTGGAATCTTCTGAGTCTGGGGCAAACTGGGACTGCTGATCACCCTACGTGGGACCAGCTCATGTACACGCTGCCCTACCCACTTGGACAGCTGAACAGCTTGTCTTTTCCACAAGAGAAAGGAACCTTCTGCCTTTTAAAGCCAGTGTTATTTTGGTCTCTGTTAAAGTAGCTAAACCAGTATGTGAAGGCAGGGGTTCTGACTCACTGCAGAGGCCCAGGCTCAGTGAGTAGGATGGGTGGCAGGGATCTGGGTCTTCACCAAGTTCCCAGGCGAGCCTGATAAATGCCCAAGGCTGACAGCAGCTGTCTTAGGCGAGAGACCTCAGGAAGAGAGACAGGCTGGGGGAAGGGGAGACAGGTCCTGAATCTGCAGCTATGGGTGGTGCCTGGCCTCTACTCCCTGGGAGCAGGAGCCTAGAGTAGAATTTGCATCTTAGCCTCTCTGTCCTTCCCCAGAGGAGTCCATAGCGCCCGCTGAACAGGTAACCTGCCAGGCCAGGGTCTGGGGGTGCCCACTCGAGGCTCATGGAATCTAATTGTATATGCAGGTCTCAGGCCATTTGTGCTGCTGTAACAAAACCTCTGAGATGGATAATTTATAAGGAACCACGAGAAATTTATTTCTTCGGATCTGGAGGCTGGAAGTCTAAGATCAAGGTGCTGGCAGGTTCAATAGCTTGTGAGGTCTCAGTCTCTGCTTCCAAGTTGGTGCCTTGCGTGGGTGCTCTGGAGGGGAGGGACACCATGTCCTCACACGACAGAAGGGATGAACAGCAGAAAGGATGGGAAGGGCAAACTCGCCCCCTCATGCCCTTTTATAAGGCACAAATCCTACCCATGAGGGTGGAGCACTCATGGCCTCCTCAGCTGCTGAAGGCATCAGCTCTTCATCCTGTTGCACTGGGGATGAAGTTTCAACATGAATTTTGGAGGGTCACAAGCACTCAAGCCATGGCAACATATTTGCAGTTGAGAATCATCAGAGGGAGGACAGATGATGGCTCCTTCCTGGGTGACTAGATAAGCCCCATGGGACAGCACATCTGTCACAGGGCTGTGGGGTCACTGTGACTGGCTTTCTGAGTATCTTTCCGTGGTTCTGAGGCTGCCCGGGGAGCAAAGTTGTGCTGGGAGGGCACACATACAAGCTGAGTTGCCTTGAGCCCGCCAGTCTTTGTCGGGGGTGTCACTATTTTTCTTGGGTTTATTGAAATGCCACTGACCTACAGTAAAGTGCACAGGTTTACAGTGTACAATTTGATGACTCTTGACATATATATGCACATCTGTGAAACCATGACCACAGTCAAGATGATAAACCGTTGACCAAACACAGCTACCTGCAGGGTTCATCCAGCCCTTGGTGATCCCTCTTTACTTCCCCAACTCCTCCCACCCCTGGAGTTTTCTTTGTTGGAAAGAACTCCAAATTCAACTTATTTCCTAGATATAGGAACATTCAGCATATCTATTTCTTCTTGAGTGAGTTTTAGTGATTGTTTCTTTTACAGGATTTATTTAATCTAATGTTGAATTTATTGGTATAAAGTTATGCATACTATTCCATTATTATCTTTGAATATCTGTAGACTGTGGTGATGAACCATTTCTCATTCTTAATATTAATTATGTGTTTTCTCTTTTTTTCTTGATCCATCTGGATAGAGGTTTATAATTTTTATCAATTTTGGGAAAGAACCAGCTTTTGGTTTTATTGATTTTCTCTATTGTTTTTCTGTTTTCTATCTCAATGATTTCCACTCTGATCTTTATTATTTCCTTTCTTCTCCTGACTTTGACTTTTATTTGCTCCCTTTTTCTAGTTTCTTTTTTAAATGTTTTATTTATTTGACATATAAAATTGTATATATTTATCATGTACAACATGTTGTTTTGATATACATATAATTATGGAATGCCTAAATCAAGCTAATCAATATATGCATTACTTTACCTACTTATCTTTTTTTGTGGTGAGAACACTTTCTTAGCAATTTTCAAAAGTACAATACATTGTTATTAACTATAGTTACCATGTTATACAATAGATCTCTAGAACCTATTCCTCCTAACTGAAATTTTGAATCATTTGACCAACACCTCCTCAACTTCTTTTTCTTAAGGTAGAAGCTGAGGTCACTGATGACCTTTCATCTTTTCTAATGTAGTCATTTTATTGCTATAATTTCCGTCTAAGCACTGCTTTAGCTCCATTATACAAATGTAGATGTAGTGTGCTTTCAGGTTCATTCACTTTAAGATACTTGCTAATTCCCGTTTTGAATTTTTCTTTGACATTTGGATTATTTAGAATTCCCTTCCCTTACCTTCTCTTCCCTCCCCTCCCCTCCCTCCTTCTTTCTTTCTCTTTCTTTCTTTCTTTCTTTCTTTCTTTCTTTCTTTCTTTCTTTCTTTCTTTCTTTCTCTCTCTCCCTCTCTCTCTTTCTTTCTTTCCTTCTTTCTTTCTTTCCTTCCTTCTTTCTTTCTTCTTTTCTTTCTTTTTCTTTTCTTTTCTTTCTTTTTTTGACGAGTCTGAGTCTGTTTCCCACATTGGAGTGCAGTGGCACGATCTCCACTCACCACAACTTCTACCTGCCAGGCTCAAGCAATCCTTCCACCTCAGCCCCTGAAGTAGCTGGGACTACAGGTGTGTGCCACCATGCCTGGCTAATTTTTGTAGTTTTTGTAGACATGGGGTTTTGTCATGTTACCCAGGCTGGTCTCAAACTCCTGGGCTCAGGTGATACACCAGCCTTGGCCTCCCAAAGTGCTGGGATTATAGGCATGAGCTGCCACACCTGGCCTGGGAGTGTATAATTTTTAGTTTCAAAATATTTGGGAATTTTCATAGTCTGTTTCTGATATTGATTTCTAATTTAATTCCATCATAGTCAGAAACCATACTCTGTATTACTTGAGTCCTATTAAGTTTATTGGACTTGTTTTATGGCCCATAATATGTTTTATTTTGGTAAATGTACTGAAAAATAATGTGTATTTTGCTGTCATTGGGGGCACTGTTCTACAAATGTCAACTAGGTTAAGTTGGTTGATAGTGTTGTTCAAGCCCACTGTATCCTTACAATTTTGTGTCTAGCTGTTTTATCAATTACTGAGAGAGGACTGTTAAAGTCTCCAACTATAACTATGGATTTGCCATTTCTCCTTTCAGTTCTATTCATTTTTGCTTCATGTGTTTCTGGACCTCTGTTATATGGTGAATAAACATTGATAATTCTTATGTCCTCTTCTTGAAATAAGCCTTTTACCATTATGAAATTGCTTTCTTTTTTTTTTTTTTTTTTTTTTCTGAGGCAGAGTCTCTCTCTGTTGCCCAGGCTGGAGTGCAGTGGCACGATCTCAGCTCACTGCAACCTCTGCCTCCCGGGTTCATGCCATTTTCCGGCCTCAGCCTCCCGAGTAGCTGGGACTATAGGTGCCCGCCACCACGCCCAGCTAATTTTTTTGTATTTTTAGTAGAGATGGGGTTTCACCATGTTAGCCAGGATGGTCTTGATCTCCTGACCTCATGATCTGCCTGCCTCAGCCTCCCAAAGTGCTGGGATTACAGGCATGAGCCACTGTGCCTGGCCTGAAATTGCTTTCTTTATCCTTGATTATATTCTTTGCTCTGAAATTTCTTTTCTTTTACTACATTAAAGTTGTTCCAGTGTCTTCTGGCTTGCATTATTTCTGATGAGAACAATGCTGTCATTCTTATCTTTGTTCATTTGCATTTAATATGCCTTTTTGTTATTAACATAGGCATTCCAGCTTTCTTTCGATTAGTGTTAATGTGTTTCTTTTTGTATCCTTTTACATTTAACCTATTTCTCTTTTTACATTTAAGCATTTTTTTTGTAGGTAGCACATAGTTGGATCTTATTTTTTTATTTGGTCAGACAATCTCTGTCTTTTAATTGAGATATTTAGACCATTTACATTTACTGTGATTATTTACACATTTGAATTTTGATCTGTCATCTTGCTCTTTGTTTTCTTTCTGTCCTATTCATTTTTTTGTTCTCCATTTATTTATTTTTTTGCCTTCTTTTGGATTGATGGACTATTTTATGATTCAAATTTATACTCTTTGTTGTCTTATTAGCTACAACTCTTTGATATGTTTTTTCATTGTTTGCTTTAGGACTTACATATACATCTTTAACTTATCATATTCCATTTTAAAATAATATTAATTTATGTACAGTGTAAAAAATTATGTATAGTATTAGAATCTTGCAGCCTTATAGATACATAACAGTACACTTCCATTTCTCCCTCCCAGGCTTTGTGCTATTGTTATTCTTCATTTTATTTCTATATATGTTCTAAGCCCTACAATATAGTGAATTTTTTCTTTAGTCAGTTATCTCTTAAAGAGATGTAAAAATGAGAGAAAAAAGATTTTATTTTATTTTATTTAGTTTTTGAGATGAAGTCTCACAATTTCAGGCAGGCTGGAGTACAGCGGTGTGATCTTGGCTCACCGAAACCTCCACCTCCCGGGTTCAAGCGATTCTCCTGCCTCAGCTTCCTAAGTAGCTAAGACTACAGTTGCGCACAACCATGCCCAGCTAATTCTTGTATTTTTAGTAGTGATGGGGTTTTGCTATGTTGGCCAGGCTGGTCTTGAACTCCTGACCTCAGGTGATCCACCCGCCTCGGCCTCCCAAAGTGCTGAGATTACAGGTGTGAGCCCCACGCCTGGACAAAATATTTTATTTTTGCCAGCATGTTTACCATTTCTGGCGCTCCTTTGTGTTGATCCAGATTTCCATTTGGTATAATTTGCTTTATGCCTGTAAGACTTCTTTAACATTTCTGGTAGTGCAGGTCTGCTGTTGATAAATTATTCACCTTTTCAACGTCTGAAAAAGTCTTAATTTTGCCTGTGGTTTTGAAACATATTTTCATTGGCCATGGAATTCTAGATCAAAAGTGTCTTTTTCTTTCACTGCATTAAACTTGTTCCAGTGTCTTCTGGCTTGCATTATTTCTGATGAGAACAATGCTGTCATTCTTATCTTTGTTCGTTGCATTCAATATGCCTCTCCTCTACCACGTAGTTAAGATTTTATCACTTGTTTTCAGAAATCTCATTATGTGCCTTGATGTTTTCTTCATGTTTCTTGTGCTTGAGGTTCATTGAGATTCTTGGATGTGTGAGTTTACGGTTTTCACCAAATTCTGAAAGTTTTCAGCCATTATTTCTTTAAATATTGTGCACAAACCCCTATTCCTTTTCTGGCATTTTCATTACATATATATCAGGCCACTTAAAGTTGTCCCAAAGATCACTGTAGCTCTGTTCATTTTTAAAAATAGTTTTTTTGGGTTTTCTTGTTTCATTTTGAATAGTTCCTATTGCTATCCAAATAACTACTTCTTCTGCAGTGTCTAATTTGCTATTAATTCTATCCAGTGTAATTTTCATCCTGGACATTATATTCTCCATCTGTGGAAGTTTAATTAGGTCTGTTTTATAACTTCTCAATGTTTCCATATCCTCTTGAACATATTAAAATATAGTTATAAAAACAGATTTAATGTTCTTGTCTATTAATTACATCATCTGCTTCATTTTTGGGTTCTACAGATAGGTTTTTTTCTTCTCATCATGTATTTTTCTGTTTCTTTGCATGCCTGGTAATTTTTGTTGGTTGTCAAACATTGTGAATTTTACATTGTTGGGTGCTGGATAATTTCATTTCCTATAAATATTTGTGAGCTTTGTTCGGGGACATGGTTAAATTACTTGCAAATGGCTTGATCCTTTTGAGGCTTGCTTTTAGCTCTGTTAAGTGGGACCAGTTCAGCCTTTATTATGGGACTAATTTTTCCCCAACAATGAGGCAACCTTTCTGAGTAGTCTACCTCATGTCTTCTAAATGATAAGATTTTTCCTTCTGGTTGGTGGGAACAGAAACTATTCACACCATGGGTTAATTTTTTTTTTAATTTAAAAAATTTTGATGAAATACATAATGTAAAATTTACCATTTTATCCATTTTTAAGTGTACAGTTCATGGCATTAAGTACACTCACATGGTTGTGCAACCACCTGCTACCAGCTAGCTCTGTAACTTTTCATCTTCCCAAACTGCAACTCTCTACCTCGCAAACAATAACTCCTCATTTCCCCTTCCCCAGCCCCTGGCGACCATCATTCTCCTTTCTGTCTCTATGAATTTGATGACTCTAGGGACCTCATCTAAATGGAATCCTGTGGTATGCATCCTTTTGTGACTGGCTTATTTCACTTAGCATAGCAACTTCAAGGTTCATCCGTGTTGTGCTGTGTCAGAATTTTCTTCCTTTTTAAGGCTGAGTAATATTCCATTGTATGGCTATACCACATTTTGTTTATTCATCTACTGGCAGACACTTGGGTTGCTTCCATCTGTTGGCTGCTGTGAATAATGCTGCTATGAACATAGGTACACAAACATCTGCTTTAGCTCCCAGAATGGTGTGGAATGTGGGCAGCTTTCCCTCAGCTCCTTTTAGGTGGTTTTATCCAAAGCCATGGGTAATTTATGGATCCTCATGAGTTGATCCATACTCAGCTGAAGATTCAAGGGGCACTCTCTGCAGATCTCCAGAGCTAAGCTTTTGTGCAAACTCTATTCTGCATTCTCTAGCCACCTTGGTCCTACCAGACTCAACTGTGTCTCCTCTGTTTAGGGGCACCTGTGGGCCCCTCCTGGGTCCTCCCTTCTCATGCTGAGGCCTGTCCTCTCTCCAGGCTGGGGCGGTCAGGGCTCGCCTTTGTTTTCCTGCTCTCAGGGATCACTCTCCTGTCCTGCCTGATAGACAATGTCTATAAACTGGTGTTTCATATGCTTTTTCCAATGTTTAAGTTATTTCTGGTGGGAGTGTAAATCTGGTCTCTGTTACTTTATCTTGGCTCAGAGTGAAAGTCCTTACCCATCTCCTTATTACCCCAAGAACACTGGCTCATACTCCTACCTGTGGACTGTTGACATTTTTTTTAACCACATTCCTTTTCCTGAGACATTTGTGGTTGTCTCCAGCGCCTGCCAATGTTGTTGCAGGTACGCCCTGGTGGCCTCTGCCACACCCTCTGTTAGGCCTTCATTTGGAACCAGAGCTCTGCCAGACTCCTCACACCACCTGCTGCATTCTCCTGGGGGCTCAGACGTACCAACTGGCTCAGGGATGGGACGTGTGCTCACCCATCATAAGCAAGTTGTATATATATGTACCATTTCATATACTCACACAGCTTCCCTGAAGGCTTGGGGTCAGCAGAAGTACCATGCAGGAGAGGTATCTTTAGAAGTGTCCGCTTGATGATGTCTGAGTAATACAGCCAACTCAGACCCTTTTTTTTTTCTTCTTGAGACGGCATCTCACTCTGTCGCCCAGGCTGGAGTGCAGTGGCACCATCTCGGCTCACTGCAAGCTCCGCCTCCTGGGTTCACGCCATTCTCCTGCCTCAGCCTCCCGAGTAGCTGGGACTACAGGCGCTCGCCACCACGCCTGGCTATTTTTTTGTATTTTTAGTAGAGACGGGGTTTCACCGTGTTAGCCAGGATGGTCTTGATCTCCCGACCTCGTGATCCGCCTGCCTCGGCCTCCCAAAGTGCTGGGATTACAGGCGTGAGCCACTGCGCCTGGCCCAACTCAGTCCCTTCTGAGGGAACTCTCCAGGTATTTCTCTCCCCCACCTCACTCCCTGCCAGCCTTCCTTTAGTTCCAGTTAAAATTTTGCCCAAATCATCCTCCTGACTGAATAGTTTATTGGAAAGACATGCCAATACACAGGTTAAGCAACGCTCCATAGCTAAGGTAGCACAGAGGAGGACATTTTGCAGTCTGGCTTATTTAGTCTTTACATTTATTAATTTTTTTTTTTGAGATGGAGTCTCACTCTGTCACCCAGGCTGGAGTGCAGTGGCACGATCTCAGCTCACTGCAACCTCTGCCTCCCAGGTTCAAGCGATTCTCCTGGTTCAGCCTCTCGAGTAGCTGGGATTACAAGTGGGCGCCACCACTCCCAGCTAGTTTTTGTATTTTTAGTAGAGACAGCGTTTCACTGTGTTGGCCAGGCTGGTCTTGAACTCCTGACCTCAGGTGATCCACCTGCCTCGGCCTCCCAAAGTGTTATTTAGACTTTATTAATACTCCTTCTTGCCTCCTAGTAGACACATGTAAGGATTTAATTTTCCTTTGAGAACCACTTTGGTCTCAGACCACACATGGTGATATGTGGTATTCACTGACTCGCTTTCTTTACAATTTCCATTGAGACCTCTTCTAGGAATTACTCAGAAGTATATATCTACATATTTAAATTAAACAAATAATTACTTTAAAATGAAATTTAAACAGTATATAATTTAAGAAGTCAAATGCTCGTCAATGTTGGAAGAAAAACAGAAGCCTCCTGCCCCACCTATTCCTACCCCAAGTTCCACTTCTTGGCAGTGACCTCTTTTAGCTGCTTCTCCTATTTACTTCTGTATTCCAAATAACCCACTTTTCCTGCAATTTTTACTTTTCAGTTTTATGTCCTTTCTAGGGATCTACTATGGAAGCTGAAGATTTTATATCACTCTGACCATTTTCTCTGTCCACGCTACTCCTATCCTTCTTATAGCTTGGTCACAATGTTTGATTAAATCAGCATTCAGAGTTCACATTAGGATTGTGAGCTATGTAAAGATCATTCACAGCTGAGCGTTTCAGCATCTGTGATCACAGTTCTTTTCCGATATAGCTTTAAACTTAAACATGGTTTTATTTTAAAATTGGCGTAATTATTTTTTGTATTATGAATAATTCCCATGCTCTTTGATTTTTTTTTTTTTTTTGAGATGGGATCTTGCTCTGTTACCCAGGCTAGAGTATAGTGATGTGATTTTTAGCTCACTGCAAGCTCAAACTCCTGGGCTTAAGCAATCCTCTGGCCTCAGCCTCCTGAGCAGCTGAGACTACAGGCCCACATTACCATGCCTGACTAATTTTAGTCCCTTCCCTTCCCTTCCCTTCCCTTCCCTTCCCCTCCCTTCCCCTCCCTTCCCTTCCCCTCCCCTGCCCTCCCCTTCCCTTCCTTCTTTCTTTCTGTAGAGTCAAGGTGTTACTATGTTGCCCAGGGTGGTCTTGAACTCCTGGCCACAAGTGACCCTTCTGCCTCATTCTCCCAAAGTACTGAGATTACAGGCATAAGCCACTATGCCCAGCCCCATGCTCTTTGATAGAAGTTTAAATTTCTTCTAAATGTGTTAAAATACATGAAGTAATCTAATTCCTTCCTTTTTTTCCTTCTCTCTACCTGTAGAGAGTGCTTAATGCTTGCTCCAATATGAACCCGTTGGGACTGCCGTTCAGTGGACATCCTTGATCTCCATTCACCACTTTCTTGGGTTAGCTCCCATCTCCTTGATTCCACATCCTCTTTTTCCTTGGTTTAGTTTCTTGCTGTGGGGGAGCCCATTATCCAAGAACTTAAAGAAAGAGAAAAATCAAAGGCAAACCTTTTTGTCTTTACTTTTATGCTAAGCTGATATTAATAGTTTAGCTGGGTATAGAATTCTAGACAGGGAATCATTTTCCCTCAGTTTTGGACACTGAAATCCATCATCTTCTAGTTTTCATTGTTTCCATTGAGAAGTCAGATGTCAGTTGGCTTCCTGATCCATCCTCCTCCTCTCACCCCCAGAAGCTTTTAGTATCTTCTGTTTTTTCCTGGTGTTATTTTGAAATTTCAAGATGTTGGCCTTTTCTTCCCCGCTTTCTTGTGCTGGCCATTGAAGATTTCTAGCTCTTGGTTCTGGGCAAATGTTTTGGCATTATTCCTTCACTCATATTTTTTCTATCCTTCTCAGGAACTCCTGTGATTCAGATGCTGAATTTCCTAACTCTGTAATTCAAAAAATGCTCCCATCTTATTTTCCAACTCTTTTTTCTTTACTTTCTGGGAGGTTTCCTTAATTTTATCTTTCACCCTCTTTCTTGAATTTTATTTGTTATTATATTTTTATTTTCCAAGTGCTTTTTAAAGTGTCCTCTGAATTGCATCTGCACTTAAGTTCATGGAAGTCAATATTTTCTTTCTCTGAGGAAATTCCACGGTCATGCTCAGGACTAGTTGTGGAGATGCCATATCCTGTTAGGCCCTGGGTGGCAGCTCCTGAAGTGTGTGGTGTCTTTGGTGTGGTTAATGGTGTTGCCTGGACCCCAGGGTCTGAGGGAGTGGCACTCTCAGCATTCCCATCTTCACTGATTCAGCACCTCACTCTGTGTGGTGCATCAATGCTCTACACTCTCGTGTAAGCCATATTCACACACACACACACACACACACACACACACACACACACACACACAGCCTCTACTCATGAGGCTGCCTTCATGCCCAGCCCTGGTCCCTGGGGATCCGGAGCTGAGGGAGGCTGGGGGTTTTGTATGAGGTTCACCCCCAGGCTCTTCAGGAAGCAGCGGGGCCACTTCTGGCATGGTGGCGGGGCTGTCTAGGCAATGCACCTGTGCTAAGGGGTTTCTCAAAGTTTTGCAGATTGCACCTTCAGCCAAAGTGCCTGGGGACTCGGTAAGACTCCTGACCCAGGTGTTCTTCTTCCCCGGTCACTGCCTATCCTCAAGCTGGAGGCTGAGCCCAGCCTACAAGGAGTAGAGGGAGAAGAGGCAGGAACAGGAGGGGAGAAGGAAGTCAGGGGTATGGGGTTAGATGCGCCAAGGCCTGTTAGGTGGAGTGGGGGCACTGGTGAGGCCACAGGGCTGGCCTCATGGGCCTTGAAGGTGAGCCCTGGGCTCCATGCCCTGGTGCACCCTTCACTGTCTCTGGGCCTCAGTTTTCCTATCTGCATAAAAGGGGAACTGGACCAAGAGAGTGCTTTAATCGTCCTCTGGCCACAAACTGTGGCCAAAGTGTGCCATCTGCTGGCCACAAGTGACAGTGTCCCCATTCGAGATGTGGCTGAGGGAGGTAGAGACTCTGGAGTCCTGCCAGGGCTTGGGTATTGTGGGCATGGAGGGAGGTTCAGGCAGCCAGATCCCGTGTTGGAGGGGAGAGGGGAGCCAAGCACGGCGGGAAAAGATCCAGGCTGCGGGCCTTGCAGGCTGGGCTTGGGGCCAGGGCTCTCCACCCTGGTGGGGAGGGCACTGGCTGGAAGGTTTGGAGGCCACTTGGTGCTACACACGTCCTCCCAGGAAACAGAGAAGGTGCAGGTAGGTCAGGAATGCTTCCACCTGGGCCCAGGAAGAGTCCTCAGGCTGGGGCAGCTGGGCGCCGCACACTGGCTTGCAGGTCCCATGAGGTCAACCTGGCTGACTTAGGGCTGGGCTGTGGGAACCCGGGCAAGGCATCCTGAGGGTGGGGTCTGGCACTGCAGCCTCGAGGTGCAGTGTGGTGGGGGGTGAGAGGAGCCAGGGTGGGGCCAGTGAGGTGGCCAGAGCAGAATATAGGGTGGGGGCATGGCAGGGCCGGGAAAGGCTGGGATAGGAAGGACAGGAGCCCCTCTGCAGGGGGAATGCAGCAGGACCTGGTGGCACAGAGAACAAGCCTGGGGTTCATGCATTCCTTTATTTCTTCCACAAATGTGAATGAGCTTCAGTGCTGTGCCAGGTGCTCAACCAAACATTTCCTGCCCTCATGGAGCTGATATTCTAAAGGGGATGAAGGACAATAAACTAGACAAGTAAGAAACATCTAAGTCAGCTCCTGGTAAGTGCTAAGGAGGGAGAGGAAACATGGGCAAAGCTGCAGGATGCAGGAAGGGCCTGACATTTTAGGTAAGGTGGGCAGGGAACACTTTGCTTAGAAAAGGCCTGGTGGCTCACGCCTATAACCCCAGCACTTTGGGAAGCTGAGGCAGGAGGATTGCTTGAGCCCAGGAGTTCGAGACCAGCCTGGGCAACATAGTGAAACCTGGTCTCTACAAAAAAATCAATAAGTTATCTCAGAGTGGAGGTGCGTGCCTGTGGTCCCAGCTACTCAGGAGGCTGAGGTGGGAGGATCGGTTGAGTCTGGGAGGTCGAGGCTGCAGTGAGCTGTGATTGCGCCACTGCACTCCAGCCTGGGCGAAAGAGCAAGACCCTATTTCAAAAAAGAAAAGACCTGGAGAAAGTCAGGCATGTGGATGTCTGGGGGAAGAGCCCCCTGGCAGTGGGAACAGTGGAGCAAACGCTCAAATGGGGGTGACTGCACGTTTGGGAACAGCGAGGAGGCCCTTGGGGCTGGAGCAGAATGCGTAGGGGGTGCAGAGCGGGAGGAGACGGGTCAGTCAGCCAGGGCCGAGAAGTGGAAGGAGCCCACCGCCTTCTTAAAGGCTCACCTGGCGGCTGTGGTGAAGCAGGCATGGCATTGCAGAACCCCCTCCAGGGGCTGACATTCCATTAGGGTGGTAGGGACAGGAGATCCTGATGGATGGGCTGCGGGGGCCGTGAGCAAGCAGGAGTCAAGGACGACTCCAGGATGACTGAATTGAAAGAGTGAATGAGCGAGGCCGGGCGTGGTGGCTCACGCCTGTAATCCCAGCACTTTGGGAGGCCAAGGCGGGCGGATCACGAGGTCAGGAGATTGAGACCATCCTGGCTGACACGGTGAAACTCCATGTCTACTAAAAATACAAAAAATTAGCCGGGCATGGTGGTGGGCGCCTGTAATCCCAGCTACTCAGGAGGCTGAGGCAGGAGAACGGCGTGAACCCAGGAGGCGGAGGTTGCAGTGAGCTGAGATTGTGCCACTGCACTCCAGCCTGGGAGACAGAGCAAGACTCCAAAAAAAAAAAAAAAAAAAGAAAGAGTGAATGAGCAAATGAGTGATGGAGAGCTTGACACCCCAGGACACTCCCCCATCCCCCTTCCCCTCGCCTGCAGAAGCCCCCTCCTGGTGCTGGCCAAGGTGCTGAAGCCGCGTCCTAGGCTGTCCCTCTGTGCTGGACCTGGGGCTCCTCTGGCACAGGGTGAGGTCTGTGGAGCCATCAGCTGTTGACCAGCGAGCATCCCCAGTCTCTCCCTACTCAGCAAACCCTTAGCCAGGATCCGTGGGATCCTGGCTGGGCTCCCAGACCTCAGTTCAGAGCTGACCACCCTTGTTCGTGCTCCATCCTGGCTCCGAGGCCAGGGCTGGGGTCCCTTGCTCTGCAGCTGGGCCCTGGGGGAAGAGGGAAGGAGGCTGTAAACACAGGGCTTAGGAGCACAGACTCCTGGGGCGAAACCTGGAGACTGACCTCCCCACTCTGGGCCTCATTTCCTCATCTGTAAAACGGCGATCATACAATACCCGTGCCTAGCACTGTTGGGCAGATTAAATGAGTGGATGTTACCAAGTGCGTAAGACAGAGCCTGGTCCGGAGAACAGGTGGGTGTCAGCTAAACCCCATGGCCGGCCACCCTCCCCCAAGCACTCAGACACCCTCTGAAGAACTGGTGCAGTGACCACCTGAAGCCTGCCCTTGGTGCTGAGGACGAGGGGCCTCGCTTTACTAGGAGGCCCTGCCCTGAGCCGGGGTCGGCCTCCCTTGTGGCTGCCTTCCTGAGGCACCCTCTCTCCTGCACCCCAGACATGGTCCTGGCCTCCAGGAGGGATAGGTGAGCAGGGAGCCCAGGGAGCTGGTCAATCCTGGGAACGTGTGGGGAGTGTCCCGAGGCCTCCTTGAGGAGAAGGGTTTTTTCCATCCCCCTCAACTCTTGGAGAGGATGAGGGTCTGTCTGATGCCAGGTGTGATCCTAGGGCCATGGGCCTTGTATAATTTTATTGTGGACAGTTTAGGCCCTGTAACCCTTCCTTATCTCTTTATTAAATGCTAAACAGGATGGTTAAAAACCCCACAAAAGTCAAAACCGTGCAGAGGGGTGTAAAATGGAAGTGAAACCTCTCCCGAACCCCACTCCTACTCTCTCTCCAGAGGCAACAATCGTTACCTGTTGCTTGTGTCTGTCCCAGGAAAGGTCCCCGCCTTCATAAGCATAAACCTTCTCTGCAAAGGCCAACGGGGCTGTGCCGCACACTGCGTGCCCGTCCCTGTCCCGGGTCCACCTGCCGTCCATCCACTGTCGCCAAGGATGAAGAGACGATTGGCCATTCCTACCCAGCCGGTTTCCACTACTAAAGACACCTCTGGCAAGTGTTCAGTTTCCGTGGGAGCGTGTCTGGGGTGCCTCCCAGCTCTTGCCCTGCACACTGAAGGGACGTGGATGGGGGTGGGGTGGGCTCTGGAGGGACTGGTCTGCCTCCGGGTACCGTCCACCTCGTCACACATGAAGACACGAAGGTGCGGAGAGGTGGGGGGCGGGGCTCTTGACCAGCACCAGCAGGCTGGGGAGAGATGGCGGTATGGAGGGCCCTGGGCTCCAAGCACCCAGGGAAGGAATCTGAGCACTCAAGCCCCATGTCCTCCTCCCTCCCTGAAACATTGCTGCGTGTGGTCTGAATGGAAGCCGAGTTCCGGCAATTAATCCCATCAGAGGGGCCCTGCTGAATGGTAGGAGGTTTTTTTCTGTTTTGCTCCCTTGGTCTAGATTTCCCTGGGGACAGCTCTGACCAGCCGCCGCGTGCCTGGTAAATTAAATGTTAAAAAAAATCCCCACAATGACTTTAATCAATCCACTGACATGGCGGGTGGCCTCCCAGAAGCCCTTGGTCCGCTGAAGGGAGCCCCCCCCTCCCCGCCCCAGGCTCAGGGTCTTGGATGAGACAGGATGGGGGAAGAGGACAGTCTTCCCCAGTCCCCTTCCTGTGGGGGAGGGAGGAGGGTGGGTGGTCCCCAGAGTGTCCTCCTGGAGAGGGACAGAGAGAAAGGGGGGACTCTGGCCCCCTTTATAACTTGCCCTGATCCCAGGCCAGGAGTGATGGTGGACGCAGGGAGGGGGCAGCTCTTCCCCGCCTCTCTCCTGACCAGAAGCCTGGGTGAGTACAGAGCAGGTGGTCACGATCGGCCATGTGGTCAGCAAATCCAGCGTTTATGGTGATTCTGTTGGAGACAAATGGCAGTGCTGGGCTCTGGGTTGGAGTCAGGTTGAGACAACGTCCTTCAGCCTCCACTGGGGGGAGTCAGGGGAAGGACCGGGGGAGCAGGACGGCCTTGCGGCGCCGCCGGAGCAGTGGGGTTGTGGGGCGTGGCCATGGTCCTTCCCAGGGGAGAGTAGAGGAGTGCAGGGGGCAGAGAGCACAGAAAGTCTAGCCCAGCCTTAGCACCCCAGCCAGGCCATAGGTGCGCGCTGGCGCCGCTGAAAACGTTCTCCTTCCCTCGCCTGTCCACCTTCCAGGTCCTGCTCAAGGCGCCTAATATCCCCTGGGCAGGGTCCCTGACACTTCCTTAACTCCCAAAGACCTTCCGCGTGGGCCTAGCGCATTTAGGCGAACCTCTCTGCCTGCTTGATCCTCTCCCTTCCTCCCTCAAGCCAGGCATCTCACCCACTTGCGCGCGAGGCTGGGGCAGCCCACAGGAGGAGCGCGGGACCCGGGCTTGAGTTTGCACCCAGGCAGAGCGCCCACCCCCGCCCCTAGCTTCGGACCCTGAAAGTAAAGTCGTCGTGCCCGGCAGCCAGCCCGAATCTTCCAGCCCTCAGGGAGTCGGGGTCGGGGCAGGGAAGGCCACGGGTGGCGGCACAATCGGGATCCTGGAGTGGAGGCGCAGACTGCGGGTCCCGCTGCGCACGCTCCGTGGTCCGGTTGGGGTGGGCCTTGGAGGTCCATAGGCCAAGGTTGAACGGGGGCTCTGGAGCGTGGGCGGGGTGGAGTGCACAGGTCACTGGGCTCTGAGCGTTTCCATGGGCCAGGACCCCAACGCGCCGTGTCCTCAGGACAGATTGGAGGGGGAAGGGGCTGCGATTATGCCCCAGTCGGAAGGGTTTTACAGCAGCCGCGCTGCCCTCTCCCTGCCGGATACCCGGCAGTAGACACCGACGTCTGGGGGCTAGCGAGGCAGGTGGGCGCGGACCGCGACCCGATTCTGGCTTCCAACCTCCGCCCAGTGGCGCGCGGGGCCGTCGCCCCACACCTCCAGTCCGCGTGGCTGGTGTCTGGCTCGCCGCCGGGGCGGAAGGGGCGCTGTCGGCGCAGGCGGGCGGGGCCGGAGCGCGGGGGCGCGCGGCGCGGAGCGAGCGCAGGGCTCGGGGGCGCGGGGCGCGGAGGACCGGGGGCTTGACGGGCGGCCCTGCGCGGTGCGGGGCGCGGCGGCGGCGGGCGCGCGGCCAGTGAACGCGCGGGCGGGGCGGCGGTGGCGGGAGGCACTAGGGGCCGCTCCCCGCGCTTCCCTCTTCCATGGCGCTGCCCCAGCCGCCCGAGCCGCCCCGCGGCGCGCCCCGCAAGGCTCCCAGCCTGCTGGAGATGGGGGCGCTCTGCCTGGACTCGGAGATCATCCTGGGCTTCACCAGCCACCTCCTGCGGCGACGAGGCAAGGTGAGGGCTGTCGGGAGGGGGGCGGGCGGCGTAGGCGCCGTCCCGTTACTTTGCCGCGCGGCTCGCGCGGCCGGGGGTGCTGCGCCGGGAAGGAGACGGCAGGTCCGGAGCCGCGTCCCGCAGCCCGGGCTGGGACTCGCTGCCGCACTTTCCCCCATTAGCGTTGTCCAAGTCTCCCTCTGCCTTCAAGGCTGTGTCCCAACCGGACCCACCCGGAGGCTGTGGCTAGGGCGGAGAGCGCAGCGCAGGGATTCTCGGGCTCACCTTGCGCCTTGCTAGGATGGGCGAAGTAGGGGGTCGGGGCCCCTGACTGATCGTGAGCCCCCGAGGTGACTCCAGCCTTGTGCACCCCGTGTTCTGCGGATATGGGATGTGAGCTTGTGCTTCCCGAAGCGCCGCGGCGGTAGAAGCGCTGAAGTTGCGGGTGTGGCTGGCCAGGGGCGCAGGACCGGTGCTCCCGACCGCTGCGTGCTTCTGTGTTGCGTGTGTGGGTGGGGGGACGGGATATAGAGAGTGTGTGTCCCGGAGCAGTGGAGCGGCGGGAGGCGGTGCTGTCTGCCGGCAGTGCGGGGTGGGGTTTGGGTGTTGTCCTCAGTACCCAGATCCAGATGTGGGCTGACGCCCGTTTTCATTCTCCAGGCTGCGAAGAGACGGGTAGGGGAAGCGCTTCCGGCCCCCCAGGCTGGGTGGAAAGCGACTGCAGGCTTACGGATCTCAGAAAGAGTGGAGAGCCCCTGCCACTTTATTCCATACCCCCTTGCGTTTTCGAACCCCTAAGGTCATCAACGACCCGGAAAGCCGGGAGGGGATCACCCACCCCACTTTCTGGGGAGTGCGTGCGTGGGCGGGGAGGCTTATCCAAGTAAAAGGGGGTGGGCAAAACGGAAAGGGTCACTTTGACGTACTGAGTCTCTGCGAAGGCCTCACCGTATGTGCCGGCAGCCGCGTGTCCTGGTCTCCGCCGGGTCACGACCTTCGGAGTTTCCGAGTGCGCCTCAGGCCTGGGACGCGCGGCGCTGTCTCCCCAGTCTCGGAGCCGTGTGCGCAGCGGCCGGCAGGGGGCACTCGCGTCACGGGGAGCCCGCCCGCCGCGCCCGCCTGGCTTGACCCGGGCTTTGGGGCTGACCCGGAGCCTGGCCCGGAGCTGCCTGCGGCCGCGGATGCCGGCGACATTTGGGGCCCGGCTAGGCACAGAGCAACTGGTCGCCAGGGAAGGGCGGGGGGGCGGCCTCCCAGCCGGAGACAAACAAGCAATTAATTCCGGAGCTGAGTTCCCATCTGCCAGGCCTGCTGACAACAGGTCCGGCGCACGCCCGCAGGACCTCCCGCTTCCCGGGCGGCACGGCGCGCACACCCACTTGCGGGCACACGCGCGGCTGTAAAGACACGTGCCGTTCGCAGACGCGCCGAGGCACAGATACGCCGGCGCGGTCGCTGCCCGGCTCGAGGCGCACACCGCGGCGACACTAACCCACGCGCGACAGTTAGACCTAAAGTGGCCCGCGACACGCAGAGTACGCTGGGCTTGCTGGAAAGGCGCCTGGGAGTCTCGGGGCCGGGGTCCCGCCCCTTCCTCGGCCCACCTCGCCGTGGGCCTTGGGCAAGAGCGTCCCCTCCGCAGCCTCAGTTTTCCCGCCTGTAGAGGGAGGGGCGTCGGCGCCTCCTGGGAGACGCGCAGCCCTGGTGTCCCGGGAGAGGGGCGGGAGGCGCATGCGCGCGCGCAACTAGATCCTCGCCGCCGCCCCCAGCGCCCCTCCCCGGGGCAGGGACTCACCTAACAGGTTGGGGTCCTTGGAGTGCGCGGGGCCGCGTGGGGAAGCGGGGACCCTACCCCCCCCACGCGCCGCCCAGCACTGGGCAAGGGCGGGGCACTCTCTGGGCTCCCGCCCCTCGCCGCCCGCCCCGGGAGCCCGAGCCCCGCCCTTCCCCGGCCCCGCCCTCGCCTCCCGAGCGCGCCCACCGGAGCCACCGCGCTCCTCGCGACACTCGCAGGCTCTGCGAACTTCCGAGCGGCTGGGCCGGGCCATGGGGGCGCCTCGGGGCCGGATCACGTAGCCGCGGCGCCCCCGGAGAGCCAGCGTGGCCGGGAGCGCCTGCCGGGCTCTTCCCGCGCCCCGGCCATGGTCGGCCGCGGCGTCCCTCTGTGCGCTGCGCAGCCCGCGGTACGCGCGGCCCGGCCTGGAGAGGGAGGCGGGCGGCGGGGGCCCGGGACGGCGAAGATACTCGCGGTGTGCGCTGGATCCCTGGGGGCCGGGCCTCCTGCTGAGGGTAGCGGACCCGCAGGCGGGACCTCCGGGGATGGAGGGAGTGGGTGAGCGCCAGGGTCGTGCCCAGGGCTCCTAACTTTGGCAAGAGCGTCACGCTGGGGCAGGGCGCGCAGGGGTCTGGATCCGACGGACGTCCCAGGCTCACTGTCCGCTTCCGCCCCCACACCCTGCAGGTGGCCGAGGGCGGCCCGGCCCGCGAGCCGCCGCCGCTGCTGGAGGTGTCCCCCCGAAAGAGGCTACCCGCCGGGCCCGACCAGGACCCATGCGGCAGCCGCCCTGCTCCCGAAGGCGCCGGGGCCGGCCCAGAGCAGGGCCACTCGGCCGGCGGAGGCGGCTGGTGCCGCCACTGCCACACGAAGCTGGTGGAGCTCAAGCGACAGGCGTGGAAGCTGGTCAGCGGGCCCGGGACCACCCTCCGGGTAAGTGACACTTCCTTAGGCCGACCCCTCCGAGCAGGGCCACGCCGAACTTGGGTAGAACTTGGGGCTTGGAGGGAAGCAGGGTTCCACTCCTTCCCTGCTGCTGTTTCCACAAAGAGTTATCAGCCAGGACTTCCCTTCTGCGGGCCTCAGTTTCCCGGTCTGTAACACCATGTGTGAGCTAGGGAGCTCAGCCCGAGGGGCCCTGCTGCCTCGGATGGGAGGGGCCTGGGCTGGCGTTCCTCCCCCAGCCCAGATGTCCCACAGCTGGAACGCAGGTTTGTGTGGGAGGAGGAGGGGAGAGAGCGGATGGCAGGGACTCCACCCAGGGCGGGACAGCTCCAGCCCTACCAGCAGGGAGAGGTTATTTGGTGCATTGTGGCCCTTGGGGCACCTGGGCCCCCAGCCAGGTGTCTGGAAATTACATACCTGGGGCCGGGGGGCCTGGCAGGTGAAAGGGTGGGCCACAGCAGCTGGGGGGTCCCTGCCTACTCCTCTCCCAGCCTCAAGGATAAGAACTGTTGTCCCATACCTCCTGGGATAGACTGAGGCAGTGGCCGCCCATGGGGAATTGAGTCGGGGCCCTCTGGGTTCCCCAGGCTCCAGCCCCAGGGGCAGGTGCTTGCAGGGGAGGGGTTCTCCTGGATTTCCAGCCAGTGGGCCTGCCGGCTTTGGAGGGAGCAGGGACCATTGTTCCAGGAACAATGCATGCTGGAAGTTTGCAAAGGCTGGGGGCGGGTGGGGGTCTCCAGAGGAAGCCCGCTGCCGGGCCTTCAGCCTTTATGAAAGAGTTCCTGGGAAGTCCGCATAATCCCCATTGAATCTAAATATAGTTCTCTAAGGGCTGTGGGGGTTGGAGTGAGCTGAGACCCTGACTGCCCTGTCTGGGGCAGGGCAGGGTGGGGCAGGGTACCAGTCTGGTTTCTGTCCTGGGCACCGTCTCCGGGCTCTCTGGAGTCTCGGCGAGGGATAGGATTGCTGTAGCCTCTCTCTGGCTCAGGCCAGGCGCCTGTGGGCCTGTCCTGGGGTGGGGCTGGACCCGCCCTGTCCTCTGCTCTGGACAGGCTGCAGCCTTGGCCATACTCTGTGCCCCAGTGGCCTGTATCTAGTTTAAAAGGTAGCAGGAGACCCTTGAGGGCCCCCTGGAGAGGGCCAGCCAGAGCTAAAGGCCCATCTTGCTGCCCCATTAGGGGAAACACGCCAGAGACAGGAGGGGCATTAAGATTGAGCTGGTCTCCTCATTCTTGGAGTGGGCTTGGACTGCTGATGCTGCCTGGCCCTGGGGCCATGGTCCTGGCATGGACTCGTGGAGGGGAGGGGGCTCCTGGTCACGGGCAGGCCAGGGGTCCTAGTGGAGAGGGCTGCAGGTGATACTAGTCCCTGGTGGATTCTAGGTTCCTCATCTAGGGGGGTGTCTTGGTCTCTTCTGGCAGACAGGTCTTCAGGGGAGCCCCAGACCACCCATCTCCAGCCTCCCCTGAGCTTGGCCTTTGACACTGGAAACTCCTCTTGAGTGCCAGCTGGGGGCTCCCCCTTCCCTAGCTGGCGCTGGCACTCAGCACACCGGGGTCCCGGGCTGGTCTCAGCCAGGGCTTTGTTCTGCTCTGGGCCCCCTTCTTCTGCTTTGTGGTCTCCTCTGTCACCTGGGGCCTGTTGTGAAGTGCTGTCCCACCTGCAGGGTGCTGTGCCCCCGGGAGAGAAGACCCCATCCTCCACTGTCTCTCCACAGGGCATGGGGGGCTGCACCTGCCATCCTGGGGCCTTACGGGTGTCATTGTCCTGTCCCCTGTGCGGGCCTGGGCTGTCCCCAGAGTCCCAGCAAAATTGCAGCCTGCAGCCCTGGCCTGGCCCGCTGGGCCCAGATGTGTGGACATGGCTGCTTCTGTGTTTGGGTTGGGAGGGAAATCTCTGGGGTGGCCAGGGAGACCCCAGTGTGCTCCCCGGAGTCTGGTGCACTGTCCAGTGGGCCCTGGCCTCTGCTCTGTAAGGCCAACGTGGCAAGGGGTATTTAGGGTTGGTGTTCTAGGATTTCCCCAGGGGCCCGTTTCGTATTTTTTAGGGGAGAGATGAGCTTCCTTGAGGATAGCTGTTTACAGGGAACTTCACAATCATCCATCTGTCTCATGCTTGGATCTTCAGAAGCCCAGAGAAGTGGAGAGACTTGCTGGGACCCGGCCTGGCTATTAGAGGCCCTCGCCTCCGGGCTTCCTGCCTGTCTCCGTTGTAGAGGGAGGCGTAGAGGGTCGGGGCCCAGCCTGCCAGGGTCTCCCTGCCTGTCTCCGTTGTAGAGGGAGGCGTAGAGGGTCGGGGCCCAGCCTGCCAGGGTCTCCCTGCCTGTCTCCGTTGTAGAGGGAGGCGTAGAGGGTCGGGGCCCAGCCTGCCGGGGTCTCCCTGCCTGTCTCCGTTGTAGAGGGAGGCGTAGAGGGTCGGGCCCAGCCTGCCAGGGTCTCCTTGAATGTGTTGCTCTTTAGCAACACCCGATGCCTGCATGGTCCTGCCTATGCTCATCCCCTGCTGGGCCCTTGCCCACCCTCCTGCCAGGAGGCAGCTCCCCTGAGCAGGTTCCCGAGAGTTCTTGGCCACTGTTTCCTGCTCTGCGACATGGGACCGTCTTTGTGCCCATTGCATAGGTACGTAGAGCAGTGCCCGGAAGGGATGCACTCTCACCTTGGCAGCTGCTGCTGCTGTTTGCTGAGTTAGGGACTCCGAGTCCCTGGGGCTGTTGGAGCCCAGGTTCCCGGCCTACCTCTCCCTTGCTGTGTGCTCTTGTCTGCCTGAGCCTGTCTCAGTTCCCTTGTCTGGGCAGTGAGGGTGACCATGGTCCCCTATCTGGGGACCTCATCCCTGTGGCATGGATAAGACTGTGCCCTCCCCACCTTTCTGAGCTCTGGTGCCCCGTCTGGGGCCGTAGGGGAGGGGGACATTGTCTTCCTGCCCCTGTTGGAGCCCCAGGGGATTGTCTTTCCTGATCTGAGAAGGGTGCTTGGCCCTGGGTGTGGAGGGGAAGCCCCATGATGGGACTCTGGCCGTGGCTCCTGCTCCTCACTGTGTCCCCACACTGTGCCCTCTGCTCTCACCAGGGTCCTCAGGCCTTGTCTCCGGGCTGACTACTTCAGGACCCCCATGGCCTGGAGCGGCCCCCTGTGGCCTGGCCTCCTGTGGCCTCCAGGGACCTTTCTCTAATGGGCTGCTCTGTCTGCCCTGCCATAGATGCTGTCCTCATCCCAAGACCCCCTGGCCTCCCTGGGCTGGAGGCCCCTCAGTGTCCCTGCTCTGGCCTCAGGGGCCCCTTCTCAGGTGCCCCCAACTCTGAGATGTCCCTGTGGGAGGTTGCAGCCTGGTGCCTCCCATTCAGCAGGCAAAGCTGGGGCCTCCCTCTTTCTCCACATCTAAGGCCCCCCTCGCTTCCCCATGCTCACCCACCACCGCAAACTGTTGTGGCAGACCTCTTCCCTCTCCCTGACCCCAGTCCTGGTTTCCCCCACAAGCAGGAGCTCTGCCAGGTCAGGCATGGGGTCCGGGTCACCTGGAGGTGTTTGTTGAATGACTGAATGACCAGGCTTTTCCTCCCACACCCCACTTGCTGGTGGTCACCCCCGGGACTGCTGGGGCTGGATTCCGGCTATCCGCCCCTCAAAATGACAGTTCCCATGGAGGATGACCATCCCCCTCCCCCACAAAGGATGGTTCCCTGCTTCAAGGAGAGGGTCCCTGCTTGGGGATCCATTCCAGCTGCTGACAGACACGTCATGTGAGGTGTTGACTCCTCCTGAGACCCCGTGACATTTGAAGCGTCAGTACCGGTGCTGAATTGATTATCGCCCCCGATGGGGAAAATGATCAATTCTCATTTAGCTCCCGTGCATCTCTTGCTTATCCAGGCAGGGGCCTCATCCTTATGCCCCCAAGAGCTCCAGAACCACTGTTGGTGCCGCCTGCTGGTGCCACGCAGCTGAACAGTGAGGGAAGCTGCCCATCGAGGCTGTGGCTCTGGACTCTCCTCCCGGCGAAGCTCCGGGTGGCCCCTGTGTACAGGGAATCAGTTGTCATGGTCTGAGGCTGGGAGCCCTCCTACCGCTCTGTGTGGCTTGGCGAGTCCTGTTTCTCCTTGGACGCTGCTCATGGGCTTCTGTTTGCTTCTCCTGTTGCCTCTCTGGTTTGACTGGAGGTGACTCCTGCCAGCTTTTCGTTCCTCCTGCCAGCTTTTCGTTCCTCCTCTGTCACTTGTCCGAGGAAGCCCTCTTAGCCCCCTGGATGGATGGGGGCATCTCTGTCTCCACAGCCCCCAGGCCTGTGATTTGGGGGTCCCAGGTCTGTTGCCCCCAAATAGGCAATGGTCCTGGGAGGGTAGGAGCTGCGCCCGAGTGGTCCCATGACGGATGCTCGCCACTTGTGGTCAGAGCCCCTGGGCCCCCAGACTTGGGGCTGCCACCTTCCCTCGCTGCTTGGAGCCTGGCCCGGCTTCCACTGCTGCCAGGGCCACCTTTGTGCCTGGCAGTGGCACCCGCCTCGGGGATCCGCAGGGTGGGGTGCCTGGCATCAGCAGCATTCCCAGCTGAGCCCAGGTGTCACAGGCTTTGGTGGCAGCCTGGGGAGGTGTGAGGGGGCACGGCTCCCTGGCTGGCAGGCGGGGCACTGGCTAACTCTACCAGGAAGGGCTCTGCTCGGGAGGCCGTGGAGCTCGGAGCTCCCAGTTACTGTTGGGGAGGGAGCCTGGGGAAGGGCCGGGAGGGAGGAAGCCTGGGTGGGCCCAGCCTCGCTGTGCAGCCTCTGTGGGACCTGGGCTTTCTCTTCCCTGGACAGGCGGTGCTGCCTCCGGGATTCCCTGTGGTTCAGCATGTGATGGGTGGAGGGCACGTCCTTGTGCTCGTCTTGTCTCTCTTGCTTCTTTGGGGTCCCAGGGGTTGAGGATGGGCATTTGGGGGAGGACTTGAGCTTGAGGGATGTGAACCATTGTCCTCTGAACACCAGCCAGAAGCAGAGATGGAGCCCTAGCGGCTTCCGGGGTACAAGCTTTATGTCGGGGCAGGGACGTGCTCTGGGGGAGTCTGGCCGTGGTCACATGTGGGCTGGGTGGGGATGGGATTGTGGCCGCTGGCCTCACTGCCTCTCTGCTGCCAGGTAGAGGACAGGGAAGGAGGGGGACTGCAGGCTACCCCCAAACCTTCAGCTGCTCAGAGTCCTGCTGGAGGGGCTTGTGAGGGTTTGGAGTGGGCTAAGGGAATGGGACTGGGGCCTTCCCAAAGCTCCCTTAAGTACCCTGGAAGGATCTCTTATTTGGGAATCAGAAGAGCTGGTTTTTCCCTTAAGTAACAAAGAAAGTCTAGTTCTTCTCTTCCTTTGCCTGCTAGGAAGCTCACAGCAAATGTGCTGCTCAGCTCTGGGCCGCGTGGGACTTTTCTTCTGCTCTAATGGGAACGGGTCATTCTTTTTGTTCCAGTTATGACTGACTGTAGTTGCATGGTTTTGTTTTTAGCTTATATTTTGTAGTTCCTGCGAGCCACCGCACAATCTTTGTGCAAGACAGTGTGGGCTATGAGTAAATAAGTAAGAGTAAAAGTGGACTGACCGTGCCTTGGTCGTGTCTGCTTCAGCCTGTTCATCTGGTCCATGGAAGCGGAGCTTGTGCTGTTGGGGGGAGTGGCTGTCAGCTGGGCTTTCCCTGGTTCCTGGTGGCAGCCAGGCTGGGTGGTCTGGCCTCTGGAAGTCCTGGCCCAGGAATGGGCAGCCCTCGTCAGCCTCTGAGCTCTGCACCCACGCTGCTCCCTTCCTGCTGGGGTGAACACTGTGCTTGGTGAGACTTTCTCAGGGCAGGCTCTGGAGGCTGCCACCCCCACCACGGTGTGTCCTTGTCCTGCGGGGCCTCAGTTTCCCGCCTGTGAACAGTCCTTGGGCTGCGTCGTCACTGTTGCTTCTTCCGGCGCTCAGGGTCACTTTTCCTTCCAGTGTCACAGTGTCTCCGTTTCGTTCACGGGCGTGCCCTGGCCATAGCTGCCTCTCCAGGATGGAGTCTTCTAGGCAGGACCCGTGGGCTGGGGTGGCCCGAGGCCCTCCGCAGGGCTGCACTGTGCTCCGTGGAGACTCCCCAGCCCACCTGTCCCCGACCCCAGCAGCATCCCAGGCCTCAGCTGTAGGGCTGGGGATGGGTGGGTGGCCCAGCCCGGTGCCCGGGGCTGATGGCAATGTGTAGTCCCGCCTGGCCCGGCGCCAGGTCACTCAGCTCAGCGCGCTGCATTGGACCTGGGATGGTCGTGCTTGCGTCCCTCCTGCGCTGGCCTCTGACCCCATGTGATGGGTGTTGCCTGAGCTTTGGCCTCTGTTTCTGGCGGAGGTGCCGCATGCTGGCCCTTGCCTGGTGCCCTCAGGGAGCTCTTCCTAAATGTCCTGTCCCCATCTTCCCTCCCCAGCTCATAGCTTCGGTTCACGGCTGTAGCCCGGCTCTGCCCTCAAAACCCTCACCCCTGCCGCCAACGTGGCCTCCACAAAGCCCTCGTCCTCCAGCCGCTTGACCTAGCCTGTGGGGGCTGCCCTGAGCAAGGCTGAAAGGCCCCTCCTGCTCTCGTCCCTAGGGCCCCCTCTCCCCGACCCCCGCAAATTTGCCTTCACCAGGAAGAAGTGTCAGGCGACCTGGCTCCAAGCTTTATCTTCCACGCCTGGCTCTCCATCTTTTTCTCCTGAGGGTGGGACTGGGGCCACCCCATCAGCCCAGAGGCTCCCCAAGATGGGGCCAGCAGGGCAGTGGCAAGGGTGCGTCTCTGGGCCCTGGAGTCACCCAGGTCTGAGTTGGAACCCCAGCTCTGCGACCCTGGTGGTGTGGCCTGAGGCAGGTGTCTCAGTCTCTCTGAGCCTCAGTCTATAAAGGGGTCACAGACTCCTGGTAGCCAGTGAACAGGGTGGTTGTTTTTGGGGGTGGGTGGCCCCTAGGGCTGTGCAGGGAGGCCTGGGGTACCTGGCAGGGGAGTGTCTGGGTGTTGGGATGGTGCCAGGGGCCCAGCTTGCCTGCTGGGTGATTGGGAGAAGGCTCGTCCTGGTCCTGCCCAACTTCCTGGCTGCATTTGGTGTTGTGGGAGGGGCTGTAGCTTGTGGGGCATGGGGTCCCTGCCCTCTATAGATGCCCTAGAGGCCTGTGGGGAGAGGGTCCTGAGGGCGGAGGCCAGGAGGTCTGAACTCATCCCTGTGCCTACCGAGTGGTGGGAAGAGCATGGAGGGCTTGGGCCTGAGGAGCCGGGCAGCGGGTATGCAGAGGGTGGCGACCACCGCAGATCCTCTGTGCCTGCTGCTGCCCCACGTGGTGGGGAAGAAGTGGGGGCAGCCACAGAGCCAGGCTGTCCCTGGCTTCTCCTTCTCCACTGTGTTTCCATAAGCAAACTGCTGTGACCATGGGGAGGGCCCTGGGAAGGTGCAGTCCCGGCATCCGGACGGCTCCTGGGGCGGCAGTGTTTGATCTCAGAGTTAAACCAAGGAGACGGGGTGAGGGTCTCCAAGGGGTGGGCATGTGAAAAGCCCCGAGATGGGCCTGGCTGGAGCTCACGTGGAGACCGCCACGGGGCAGGCCAGGTGACAGGAGGCGGGCGCTCTGGGGGCTGTGTTTGGAGTGGAGCTGTGCTCCAGCCCTGGGATCCTGGGCACTCTTGGCAGCCTCGTAGGAGGGGCTGGTGGTGTGGACAGTCCTGTGGCCCCTCACATGCAGAGGTTTCCGGGTTTCTGCCCAGGGATGCCTGGGGCCGCTGGGAGGCAGGGGCCTGATTTGAAACCGAGTCCACGGGGCCCCTTGGTTCACCCGGTGACTGCAGCCTACATGGAGTTGGATTGAGTGTGCAGGTGACCCCCAGGCCCCTGCAGTGCACTGAGCATGCCTCTGAGCATTGGGGCTCCTGATGAGCCTGCCCCTCTGCCACCCCACCTCGCCGGGGCCATCCTTGCCTGTCTGGCCTTTAACCACCCATAACCCCAGATCCCAGTCATGGCATGCGATGGAGGACAGGGGAGGCCATTGAGGGGATGAGGGTCTCAATGAGCTTGTCTGTGCCCCGAGCTGCCCAGCTGGACTGGCGCCTGGCACAGGCCCTTGGGGATGGCGTGCCGGCCAGTGCTGGGTGGACTGGGTTGTGTCCCCGCTCCCTCCCCTCCCAGCAGAGGAGGAAGGGGGTAGGAGGCCTTCAGAGCTGCAGACCCACAGGATGGGAATGGTCCCTGGAGTCCTGGCTGGCAGACCAGGGAGGGTCTGGGCCTTTGGAGAGGTGCCCAGCTGGGCAGGAGGGGCACCGGGGCAGCCAGGTGTGGCCAGCCAGTTTCCAGACTGGAGCACCGAGCCCGCTCCTTGCCCCCCGCCCTGATGGGCTGCACCAGACGTGGAAATGTCCTGGACAGCAGGACCTGCGAGGGCTGCTGCCTGGCCGGGGGTCCCTTCCTGGACCTGTTGTCAGCTCCGGAAACAGCGGCTGCTCGGGGTTGCAGCCCAGCACGCTTTGTTTGGGAAGGAAAGGGAGGGCAAGATCTGGAGGTCATGGCCCATGGGGTCCTTTTGAGGGCTGCCCGCACACGCATGCCTCACTGCGTGGGTCGGGGAGGGGCTTCGGGGCCTAGTTACCCTCCCAGCGGCCCTGCCAGTGGGTGCCAGAGCTCCTTTGTGGAGACGGGTGATGGGGACTCAGGGAGGGCCCCGTATGGCTGAGGTCTGGGGGTCTGATGGCGTGGCGTCTCTGAACTGGGAGCAGGACTCCCCTCGCTGTCCCAGGGTGGCCTTACCTGGCGGGGAGGTTTGATCAGCTGTTCTTTCCCATGGGCAGTGGCTTGGCTGGAGTGGGGAGACTTCTCTCCTGCAGTGACGGGGAGCGGGGAGTCCCCGGTAAAGTCCCCCGGGCCTCACACGCAGGAGAAAATGGAAGGATTACTTAAAGCAACTCGGAGACCCCAGAAACAAAATAAAGAACAAAGTCATGATTTGTAAGTAGGGGGGAGACTCCCTAAAACCCAGGCGCGCAATGGGTGGGCTATGTTTGATGCTAAATTGAATCAAATGAAGAAAAACATTTTCCAAATGCAAGTAAAGTATCTGTGTAATTAGACCATAAAGAGAAAATTAAAAGTCATATTTCGCAGTGGAGTAATTACTGTCTTCCTCAAGACACCAGGCTGTGGAGGCCTGGGTGACAGGCGGGCCTGCTGGCTGGGGCTTTGAGGAGTTCAGATTCCTGAAATTGGGGGGCAGTAACCCGTTGGGGGCTTGGGCCAGAGGACCCCGTGAGCTGCCGGGATGGCTGGGAGAGGAGGCCTGGTCCCACTGCCCAGCCTGTGCAGAGGTTGGAAGGTGCAGGAAGTGGCCACAGAGCAGGATTTGTTGTTGTTGGCGGTGGGGGCTGTGCGTGGCCGGGGAGGGGGAGGGGGAGGGGAGGGGCAGGGCTGCAGGGCTGGGCGGCTTTTGTCTCTCTGAGGGCTGCGTCTGGGGTCTGCTGTGCGGGGAGCAGTCAGTGGTGTGGGAGACCCTCGCCTTCACCTTCTGGGGCCCAAGATGCCCATCCCTGGGAGCCACCCATGTCAGCAGCGGCCTCCCTGAGCCCCTCCCTGGAGCCCTGAGTGCTGGTCCCGTGTGCTGAGTGGGGTGCCGAGTTCTCCTCTTGTCTTAGCTGGACAGTGTGCTGGGCCCCAGGCTGGTCCTGCAAATAGGAGGTCTCGGGTCCTCTGGGCTGGGCTGTGTGGCTCTGAGTGGCCCCGGCAAGCAGCCCTGTGGTTCTGTTCTACCCGAGCAGTCTGTGCCCTGGCCCCTATGCTGTGCCAGCCTGGTGCAGCCTGGCTGGTGTGATGGCTCAGTGGTGGGGGCGATGGCGCCTGGTCCCATCCAGTGTCTTGCTGTGTTGCCCTAGGCCGGTCTCGCATAAGTGACTAGGGTTGGAGAGATGGCCCCTGCCCTGTGCCTTGAATTCCTGGGGCCTTGGGTGGGCCTCTCAGTGCCCCCCATGGAGCCTGCTGGGTCGGGGTTGGGTGGTGAGAGTCCCTGAGAGGAGGGCCTCGTGGCCCGTCCTGGGGAGGGGTGCGTGGCCCACTCGTGGGCTTTCGCTGTGGGGCCCGGCCTCCAGGATGCTGGCTGGCACCTGGGCTGCTGGGGGAAGGTACCCTGGCCCAGATGCCTGGGCCGCCGCTGTTGCTGAGCAGGTGACCAGCAGCCTCGGCTTGTCCCCAGTGGGGGCTTCAGCTTGATGGGCCCCCCTCCAGCACTGGCCCCCAACACCTGGGACTTGGATGCCCGGAGCTCCGAGGCCTGGATAGGGCTGGGGCCTCCCTGGCAGCTGCTGTCTGAATTCCTGATGGCAAAGCTGGGTGGGGGCTTGGGTGGGGGCCACTTTGGCTTCCTGTCCCCTTTTCCCTGTTGCCCCTCTGCCTGGCCAGCCCGTGGTGGGTGGTGCATTCTCAGGTCGATCCGGGCTTCCTCCCTCCCCTGCCCTCCACTCTCCTTCCTGCCTCCTGCTGTGCAGCCCTGGAGAGAAGGGCAGGGTGGGCTTCCCAAGGCCTGAGGTCGCTGGACGGGCAGAGGCTGCCTGGCCTGTCTGGAGGCTCCAGAACGGCGAGCTGGGGGCCGGGCTGCCTGTCAGGTTGGGTTAATAGCTCCAGCAGGCGGGGACTTCCTTCCCCTTCACACGGGGCCACCAGGGCAGCCTCCTGCTGAGTGGAAAATCAGCATAATCTGAGCCTGACTGGAAAACAGGCCCTGTCTGCCCTCAGCCTGTGCAGGGGCCAGTTCTGGGTTCTACATGTAGACCTGTGTGCCCACTGGCCGCATCAGCAGAGCTAAGCGGGGCTCCTGCAGTGTCTGCTCTGGTAGGGCCCTCCCCCTCCTGGTCCCCCTCCCCGTCCCCCTCCCCCTCCTCCTCCTCCCCCTTCCCCTTCTCCTCCTTCCCCTCCTCATCCCCCTCCCCCACCCCCTCCTCCTCCTCCTCCTCCCCCTCCTCCTTCTCTGCAGGGCTCCTTGTGGCTGACCTCAGCGAATCTCCGAAGCAGCAGGAGGGAGGGGCATTGGCTAATCGGGACCAGACGCGCCAGGCACTTCAGAGGCTCTGCAGGCCCTGGGTTGGAGGAAATCCAGGCCTCTGGAGTGGCCCATAAATCAGGCAGCTGGGCCTGATGGGGGTCGCCTTTTCATGCGACCTGCCTGGGACTGTGGGGAGTGTGAGGTGGTCCTGGGGGAACATGATTGCCGCACATGCTTGGCTGGCACCGGCCACCCTGGACCACAGCTGTTACCACTGTGAGCCTCCAGGGCATCTGTGGACAAGGGCCCAGCCAGCCAAGGGCAGGCTCAAGGAATGTGGGTGGGGTGACTAAGACACCCCCTCCCCGGGATAATGGGCCTCAGCTTCCTCATCTGAGAAATGGGCACGTTTGAGAAGGCTGCAGTGCCTTTTGTGGCCAACAGGGTGGCTGCATTGGAGTCCGGTCTTGCCTGGAATCCCTTGAGGCAACATGGCCAGCCATCGAGCCAGGGACTGCCTGGGGCCAGGTTTCGGGTGGTGGGAAAGTTGGGGGCTGGTGGAGGACCCCTGTCGGGTGGTGTTCGGAAAGCCCTAGGTGGTCACAGCCACAGCAGCGCTGGGCTGGTGCTGTCCTGGGGGTTGCCCGGGCTGGGTGCCCTATAGCTGAGACACCCCTTGGGGAGGGGGTGCAGACGCAGAGGGCCTGGCCCCCTCCCCAGAGAGCAGGACAGACACTGGTCCTGACTCTGGCCCTGACTGTTGCAGAGTGGTCCCAAGGAGGGGCAAGGCCAGAGCCTGGTGGGGTGGTGAGGGACACGGGTGGGCCCCAGAGAGGAGTAAGCCTCTTGGTCGATTCCCTCCCAGTGAGCTTTGCTCTGTGGCTTGTCTCCTTCTTGCTCCTCCTCCTCTTCCTGGAAGATGTCACTGCCTCCAGGAAGCCTTCCCTGACTCTGAGGCTGGGTGAGGCGCATCCTCCTCTGGGTTCTTCTGGCTCTTGTTTTTAGCCGTTTCTAGAACCCAGTCTCAGGGTTCTAGAGAAACCTGTGTGTCCCCCCAGTTCAGGGAAGGGGGCAGTCACCAAACAGGGTGCATCCCAGCGTACAGCTCAGACCTGGGTGGGGGAGCTGGTGGAGTGTGCGGCGGGGGGTGGGGCCCTGGGCTGTACCCGATCCTGCGGCTCTTGCGCCCCTTCGGTGAGCTCATGTGCCCTCTAGGAGCGTCTCCGAGGGAGGCCTTCGCTTCTGTTGACACCTTTACAGCAGCACTGATTTGATTTTCCACCTGCCCCACCGGGGCTGGAGACCTGAAGAGGAAGGGAGAGGGTCTCCTGCCCCTGGCTCTGCCTTGAGTGAGTGTGGGTGAGGGAGGCCCTCGTGGCTCTGAAGAGACGTTGCTTTTAAGGGGCCCTGCTTCTTGCCAGTCTCCTGCGTGTCCCCGGCCAGGCGGCCTTAGCTGACAGTGGTCCGGTTGTCCGGGAGCCGCAAACCTGCCTTGTTAGCCGCAGGCCGGGGCGCTTAATGACGGCTGGGGAAGGTGGACAGTTAACAAGGACATTGTGAGCCTCACGATGAAGCCCGATCATTATTTTCCTGCTGGGCTTGTGTGGGTGAAAGTGTTTGGGCTTATTAATCTGTTACGGATGGTGCGGTGGCCAGGCGGGAGCTCGCAGCGTCATGGACGGTGAGAGTGCTGGTGGGCTCTGGGTGCCGGCCCTCCCTCCCCAGGCACTGACCCTGCCTTTGTCCCTTGCTGTCCTCAGGATCCTTGCCTCTCTGCCCTGCTTCTCGACAAGCTACCAGCACCTGGGGCCCTGCCAGCCTGTCGCCCAGAGGCCGAGCGCCGCTGTGACGTCTGCGCCACACACCTGCAGCAGCTCACACGGGAGGCCATGCACCTGCTGCAGGCCCCTGCCAGCCATGAGGACCTTGACGCCCCCCATGGAGGCCCCAGCCTCGCACCCCCCAGCACCACGACCAGCTCGAGGGACACGCCAGGACCAGCGGGTCCTGCAGGGAGGCAGCCAGGACGAGCTGGGCCAGACAGGACCAAGGGGCTGGCCTGGTCCCCCGGGCCCAGTGTCCAGGTGTCTGTAGCACCTGCGGGTCTTGGAGGGGCGCTGAGCACGGTCACCATCCAGGCCCAGCAGTGCCTGGAGGGCATGTGGAGTGTCTCGCGGGTCAACAGCTTCCTCCCGCCGGCGTGCCTGGTGAGTGTCTTGCTCAGCGGATGGGAGCTGCTGGCCTCCTTGTCAGAACTGGGCTTCCTTCGGGGGTCTCTGTCCACGTTGAGTGCCCTGCAGTAAGGCTTCCCTGAAGGGAGGGGACGGCGGGCATGGGGGTTCCTGACACTCCTGAGGCCCCACATCAGATGCACCCTTGATGGTGCACAGCAGCTGTTCTCAGGTCCCTGCCTGACTCAGGGAATACCTTCTCTGGGAGCACGTGCCCCTCCCTGTCTGTCTTTTGAGACTGGGGCTGAGGGCCCACCAGTGCCCAGCACAGGGCTTGGCGATGCACAGGGCACCGTGTGTAGATCGGGGCTCACGAGGCAGATGGAGTAGGAGGGCCCTTGTGGCAGAGCGAGGGCCTGTGTGGAGGCCTGGGGGTGTGAGGCGTCCATGGACGTCGGGCGGGGGACCGGCAGTTGCAATTGCTGGAGATGCGTTGCCTGCCCCTGTGGCACCCTGGGGGCAGAGGGACATGTGGGTGGCTGTGAAGAGCCGTGTTTCTGCCTGGTACACTGTCTAGTCACCACACAGCGACCAGCACAAGCTCGCCCTTCTCCCTTGGTCTCCAGGCCTGGTGGTGTTTCCAGGGGCAGACAGAGGTGCAGAGACCCCGTAGTCTCTGGGGCAACATTGGCCACTGATCCTAAGGCCAGGCAGACCCTGCCCTTGCCTTCTGGGCTTTCGGCCTCCCTGTGACTGGTGAGGTGGCCTGTCTGGACATCAAGATCCTGCCCCAGCTGGGGGCTGGCCTTGGCACTAGCTGCCCTGGCAGTGGCTGCTGGGCTGGTCCTTCTGAGGCTGCTGGGCTGCCCTAGGGGTCGAGGTACGCCGAGGCTCACTGGAGGAACTTCTGGACACCCCCCGGGTCCCAGCTGGTGTGATGGTTCCCCTGTGGCCTTGGCACCTACACCCTTCCACCTGTGAACTCTGTGGTGAGGCCGAGGAGAGGGAGCCCCACCCTTGCCACGAGGTGCCTCCTGGCCCCAGAGCTGAACCCCACCCTTGCCATGAGGTGCCTCCTGGCCCCAGAGCCGAACCCCACCCTTGCCATGAGGTGCCTCCTGGCCCCAGAGCCGAACCCCACCCTTGCCACGAGGTGCCTCCTGGCCCCAGAGCCGAACCCCACCCTTGCCATGAGGTGCCTCCTGGCCCCAGAGCTGGGCATCCTGGGAGGGGTGGGCGGGGATGGTGCTGGGGGCTGCAGCAGGTGAGCTGGGCAGCATCCTGGAGGAGGTCTCATTGAGCTGGGCCTGTGTGGAAGCATCAGGGGCTGGGCCTGAAACCCAGGATGGTGGGCACAGGCACCTCCGTCTCCTGCTGTCTCCCTGGGCCACTTGGCCTCACTGCACCCTGCCCGTGGCTGAGGGTCCCAGCGGGTGGGGGTGGAGAAGATCGCAGGCCCCTTGCTGGGCAGCCCTGCTGGTGGATGGCACACCATGAACATTTAGGCACCCTCTCCCAGCGTTATGTGCACATTGATCGTGGCCAGGGTGGGTGGGAATGGATTTATAATTAGACAGCAGTCCGGGCGATCGATAGGGAGATTATTAGAACCATAAATAGAACTTTAGGATTCAGATGAGGTAATTTCCCCTGAACCAGGGCATCGATCATTAGCGTGGCCCTGGAATGTTAATGGTGCCTGTTAGACTCTAGAGTTAAATACTTGTGGAGAGATGCGCTGCAAATCTCCACCACAGACCGTCAACCACCCCTGGGTCGAATGAGATTGTTCCAAGGCAAACACTGATCTGGGGCCAGCGGGTGGGACGGGGGTGCTGCAGCCCCCTCTGTTACACGATGTGGAGAGGAGGGGCAGGGACCAGCCATGGCACTTTGGCCTCGGCCGAGGCTTGGCAGGGGATGCTGAACGTTACTGGGTCTGGCCAGAAGGCTGGTCCTTGGAGGGGTGGTGGGTGGCCCAGGGCTCCCAGGGCCTCCTGCGGCCACAGGTGGGGCCTGGAACATCCCACATCTTGAGCATCCAGAGACTCCTGGGCTATGGAGCCGCCGGGCAGGGCTGTCCAGCGGTTCTTCCCGGACTGTTGGGCCGGGGCAGCGCTGCCGTTGCAGAGGGCAGAAGCTGCCCACGGAGCCTGGCCCTGTGCCTGTGCCCCACGCCTCCTGCCCTGAGAGCTCTGGACAGTGGTCATGGGGCCCACCCCAGTGCCCTGCCTGCACCACCAGAGGCTGCCATGGTCTGGGACATGCTGCGAACCGTGGCCCATTTCACGCTATGAACTGAGCTGCGAGACCGAGGCTCTGGCCTTCAGAGCCCACAGTGGGTTGCAAGTGGCACCGTGGCCCTCCACAGAGGGGCGGCCCGGTGGGCAGTGTGGGGTGCTGGAGGTGTTGACGGTGGCCCTGAGGAGCGGGGGTGCCTCCATACATGGAGATTGGGTGGCACCGGCTTGGGGGCTCCTGCCACCGCTGTGCTGGGCTGCAGGGGCCCTGGAGGGTGTCCCGTGGTCCTCACGGCTGAGATGGGCCAGGCAGGGGCAGATCTTTGAACTCAGGGCTGTCCAGGCCCTAGGGCCCTTTGAGTGACGAGGCTGGAGCTTCGCGTGGGTGGGCGAGTCCGCCCCATGGGGCTCTGCAGGGTGGCGCACATCCACACCCGTGCAGGGGTGACACTGGTGACAGAGTTCGGCTCTGAGCCTCCCTGGCCGCTCCTCAGCCCCTCCTCCTCCCTTTCTCCCCCACTTCTCAGCACAAAATAGCACCCAGTGAGGTGTTTATCTGGGGGGCTGGTGTCTTTCACGGGCCAGAACCTTACAGATGCGTTTGGGCCTGGAGGGCTCCTAAGAAGAGAGTTAGCTTGGCATTTCCTAAACTGTGCTCCACGGAACCCTGGTGTTCCCCGAGGTTGCAGGTGCTCTCTGCTGGCCGCCTGGTGCCTGCTGTGGTTAGGAAGCTCCCCGTGGGGTGGGTCCCGTGCGGCTATGCTTGGGGCCCTTGGCTCTGCGCCCCTCGGCCTCACGCTCCCCTCTCTCCTGCCTTTCCTTCCGTTTGCTGCTGTGGCACCTCCATCACATGCTCTGTCTGGCCGCCCGCCCCCCCTCTCTTCTGCCCCCGTGTTGTGGTCTTCCCTCTCGCCGTCCTCCCCTGCCCCCGGCTCTCGCTTTGCCAGACGGCTTCTTTTGGCATGCCCGGGCTCTGCTTCCGGCAGGAATTGGCAGTGGCCGTCCCGGCGGATGGGGCGGTGTCCCGGCAGCGCGTGGGACGGTGGAGCCGAGGCGCGTGCCGGACTCCTGAGACAGGTCAGTGTGGGGAGGCCCAGCTGGCCGCAGGCCTGTACCGTTGCTGGGCGGGGCCGGAACCTTCTGGCCGGAGGTGGAGTGGCTGGCCTGAGATGGGGGAGGGCTCGGGCCCTGTGGGAAGAGGGTGGAGGGGCCGGGTGGGCTGTGGTGTAGCAGCTCTGTCCCTGCTGCAGCCCCTCCAGCCTCGGTGCCCCTGTCCAGTGGGGGAGGCAGGGTGTCCTGGTGCCTCACTGGACACTGTGATTGGGCCTGGCCCAGGATGCCAAATGTGGCCCCACGGTGGTGCCATCGCGACGAGCCACCTGTGGGTGCCACGCTGGCTGTGGGTGGTGCGGCCCCGGCCCCCAGGAGAACTGGCCCTGGGTGCTGACTGCCATGCCCAGGGGTGCTCAACCAGACCCGGCTCTGCTCCAGGGGCTCAGGACCTGCTGTTAATGTTGTAACTTTAAAGATCACTCTTTCCTGTCTGCTCAGCAAAGGAGTTTAGGCTTTTGATAGGGAGCACATACATTAAGTGATAAAATAGAATTCACACTTGAGGTGAGGGAGTGGCTGGGAGAAGGAGAGGGCTGGCCGGGCTGGGTTCAGAGGGATGTACAGGAGTTCCTGGCCTGCAGGCTGCTGGTGGGGTGTGGTGTGCTGGCGCAATGTCCAGTGAGCTGTTCCAGGTCCCAGGTTCGCCCTTTTCTGCTACTGGGCATTCCTTCTGGAAGCCCCGGAGGAGTGGCTGGTGCCTAGGGCCCAGGGGGCACCCAGCTTCCATCCAGCCTAAGTCTTGGGGCTCCCTGTGAACTTCCTTTCGCAGACATGGTTCTGTTCCAGGTCCCGGGAGGGGCCTGGAAGCTGGTACCGGCCATGGGTTGGGCAGGGTGAGCCGGCCATGGGTTGGGCAGGGTGAGCCCTCCATGGTGGTGAGGAGGGATACTGTCTGGGATGGCAGGGCCTCTGTCTGGAGTGTCCCTCCTGGGTCCCGG